>NW_018654718.1:697892-1046838 GCF_000001405.40 Homo sapiens
GAGGAACGCACCTTGCACAGTGTCTGGCACACAGCACCCTCCGAAAGGGGCTCTCCATGTACTAGGTGCTCAGGAAAGATTGCAATCTGACTAGGAGTTTTGAAATTTGTGATTTACTTAGTCTTGGGGAGGAAAGAAGAGTCGTTTTCCATGGATCAGTATGTGTAGATGTGGTTGCAGAGACAGTCAGAGAAAGAAATGGAGCCAGGACAAAGGGGTGGCCCCAGCATTCACGAAAGGTTTCAGAATTCCTTTTTGGGTTTTTGGCTATGACACCCCTCTTAGGAGTCATGTTTGTTCACTGTCTAGTGAGAAGGTGATCTTCTAGTAACCTCCTTTTGGGGGGCCTATAAGGAATTCCTTCTTGCTGTTCGTGCCTTCTCTCACAACACTAGTGTGAGACCAGAGACCCCACCTCACCTCCATCAGGTGAAGATCCAAAGCAGAGAGGAGTCCCTGACTGGACCTTCCCCAGGGGTGGGTTGTGATGAGATGAGTGATTATCAACACTGAGTGAGGGGTGGTCATGGGCCAGATGCTGCTGAAGCCTTTACTTCCTAGCAGCCTTGTTAGGTAGGAGACTGTGACTCTCCCATTTTACAGATGAGGAAGTTGAGGTAGTAAACAGTCATATAACTTGCCCAAGCACACACAAATAGTGATGTTGCTTTGATTTCAGCCAGACAGTCTGGCTCCAGAATCTGTCTCTTTCATCTCTAAGCCTTTTAAGTAGCAGAAAGAGAAAGATCAAGGGGGCAATGGGGCCTGAATGTGTCCACAATGATGGCAAACAGAAGAGGAAGTGTGCTGGGCTGCGGGGCCATTGATGCCCATGAACTGAAGAGCCCGAATGCCTGGATGATGAATGGCTGGTCACCCCCTCATATGGGCAGCAGAGGCTGTCTTCAGGCTCGGCGGCTCAGCTGCCATTGGCCTGAATGGAGTCCTCTTTTTTCCAAGCCCTTTCCCCTGGACAATTGCTGAGCTCTGCCCCCTTTCGCAGGCACCTCCCCATGTCGCAGGACACCAGAGTCTTCAGGTTGGAAGGACCCTGGAGGTCACCCTGTTTATTCTTCCACCTGACTCAGGAGTCCTTTGTAGCCTTCTTGGCAGGACCTGTCGAATCAAGCAAGGATGATGGAGAAGCCCTTGGATGTCCATCTAGTTGATAGAAAGTTCTTGTTCATAAACTCAAGCCGAAGGCTGCCCTGGAGCAGCTCCAGCCACTGGCCCT
Source organism: Homo sapiens (assembly GCF_000001405.40). NCBI lineage: Eukaryota > Metazoa > Chordata > Mammalia > Primates > Hominidae > Homo > Homo sapiens. Next base: position 699,127 of record NW_018654718.1, read on the forward strand.
AGCCAGGCCCTCTGGTCTGTTCCCTCGGGCCCCTTCTGAAGGCAATTTCTGAGTGAACTGTTTCAGATACTCTAATGGAAGTTTCTTGGCCTTGGCCCTATTGACATTTGGGGATGGATAATTCTTTCTTGTCTGGGGCTGGCCTGTGCATGGTAGGATGTTTAGCAGTATCCCTGGCCTCTACCCACTGGGTACCAGTAGCAGTCACGCCGTACCCCCAGCTGTGATGACCAAAAATGTCTCCAGATACTGCCAAATGTCCCCTGGGGCGAAGGTGGCCGAAATCGCCTGGGTTGATCTGCTGTTCTAATTCTGCCTTGCCCAGTGCTCAGAGAGCAGCCCCCACCCCAGCCTCCGATGGCCATTGGCTGAAGCAAAACCATCTCCCTTCACCTGGCCTCTGCTGAAGCGGCCTGGAATAAACAAGGCAGCGGTCCCCAAGGCCACTTCCTGGCCCTGGAGGTGGTCTGGTTTCCTCAGTTGCCCTGTCAGCAATGGGTGGCATAGGGCCTGCCCCACCCTTCTGTCCTTCCTCTCCTCAAGGGTGGCTGATGCAGGAGTTGAGGGACCTTAGGGTCCAGGGCGTGGCTGGCAGTGGAGGGATGGGTTATTTCTAAGGTCTTTCCCACTTGTCCTTCCCCAGGGTGTGTCTGCAGTGATCTTCTCATTTGGTTGGTGTCTGCCATGCTGCAGAAGGGAAAACAGCATTGCACGCCTGTGTCCTGGCTTAGGGTCATGAGAGCGTGTTTCCTCCCATGTGGGTTCTGCAGGTGCTTCCTTGGGCTGCCCCTTTCCCTACCCCTACCCCTAAATACATGCCCACCACCTCTTCTGCACACCGTGGGTCTGGAAATTACCCAACAAGGAGACGGGAGCAAGGAAGAGACATCCCCAGGCTCTGGAAAGTCCTGAGGACAAAGCCAGGATTCCGGTCTTGTCAGGTTTTCTGTCTGCCCAGTGCAGAAGACCTTAGTAACCTGCCCTGTTATCTGTGTCCTGACTCAGAAATGTGTTGGTTGAAACGTCAGGCTTTCACCCAAAATGCAGCACAATCACCCTGTCCCTAGAGCCACAAAAATTCCCTTTCTCTGTTTCCAGTTTGTTCTGTAGCAGCTTGGTGTGAAGACAGACAGTCTAGAGCATCATCAGGTGAGATGCTCACCTAATGTCCCAGACCTGCACTGTGGGCCTTGGCAGAGGCACCGACTTGAAGACATTACTTTCTTCTCCCACTCTCCTGCTCATTTGACGAGGTCTCCTAGGCTGCCTAAGGTTGTCAGAAGGTCTGTATGGTGAGACCTCAATTGACAGGCCCTCTGAAAATACAGTTACCCTGTAATTAAATTCTTATGCTAAAAAAAGTCTTCATCAATCATACAAAATAAGCTGCCTGCATTTGATGTGTGTGGGTTGCAGGAAGATTTGGGGAAACGTGGTCGGGTTTGAAGACCTTCACAAGACATGCCAGGTGAATTCTGTGTCGCTGCTGTCATCCCGCCTTTTCCAGTAATGGCCTCCTTTCTTTATCTTGGTGGGGAGATGCTGGTTACCCCCAAGGATGCTGAAATTAGCACTGCATTATTTGTTGGGGGAAATAGACTCTGTGGACCGTTGAGTGTCTGGCAAAGAAAAATGAGTTCAGGACTAACCCTGACATACCTCTTGGTGGGGAGATGCTGGTTACCCCCAAGGATGCTGAATTAGCACTGCATTACTTGTTGGGGGAAATAGACTCTGTGGACCGTTGAGTGTCTGGCAAAGAAAAATGAGTTCAGGACTAACCCTGACCTACCTCTTTGTTGTGATATAGGATCTGAAAAGGCCCCTTTGACCTCCAGTGTTGCCAATCTGTAAGACTGGATAATGATGTCACACTGACTTTCTCAGAGCAGTGGCGAGGACCAAATCAGACTCTGCAAGACAAATGCAGTTTCAACTTATGAAGCATACACACAAGGGACTGATGGATTGTTATTGTGGAAGAAAAGGGGGGATTGTTATTTTAAGGAATCTTGTCCTTAAAGTAATCTTGGTTGAGCGCTCCACGTGCAAGGCAGTGTTCTGGGTGCTGGGGCGAGGTCACCTGTGGAATTGGCACCGAAGCAGGTCAGGTGGGAGGGAGTTTAGAGGAAGGCCACGTCACTCTGGTTGGGATGCTGGGGGCTGTTGTCCTGGAGAAAGTGGCCTCAGGCTGAGTCTGGCAGGTGGGTAGAATTTCCACAGGGAGAGATGCTGGCCTATGCAGAAGTTCTCACCCACCCTGCAAGTCTCCAAGGCCTGACTCACACAGCAGAGTGAGCCCCCCCTGGTGCTGGGAAATTCTGAAGCCCATGGGGACAACCTTGTCCCCCTGGCCGTGCTCTTATCCTCCCTACCTGTCCCATGCCAGGAGCGCTTCTATGCTGCTGCCTTGGAAGACTGTCCTAACAGGCGGCGCTGCCGCGCTCAGCACCTGGGCTGGGAAGAAGAGCACTTAGTTTGCCTCTTGGAGCCCTGGGGCTCCCTGCAGCAGGAGGTGGAGAGGGAGACGTGGAGGGTCTGCTTCCATCAAGTCAAGGTCCGAAGGGCCCCATGGAGGAGACGGGTCAGCAGCCTCTGCCCTTGGATTTGCCAAGTGCCCCCCATTGTGTTGGGGCTCAGGGAGAATACTCCAGTTTGGAGGGCTTCCTGGAGGAAGTGGAGCATGACCCGTGCCTCAATCTAGAGGAGATTTGAAGGGGAGGCTGTCTGGGGGTGGGAGAGACAGTGCAGGCCCAGGGCTGAGATGGCCAGAGCCTGTTTGTGGGATTCTGATGAGATGGCTTGGCTGAGGCAGAGCTGTGTGGGGAGAGGCAGGGGAAGGAGATCAGGGCGGCTGGGAGCACACCTTCTGGTCCCGAATGCTGGGCTGTGGTGCTGCACTGTCCTGCCATCAGCAGTGGGCCTTCTGTGTGTGGCAGGATGAGACGCTAGTCATGTTTGGGTGTGATTAATCTGGCCACTGTGTTCACACAGGTTAGAGGAAGGAGAATCTGGAGACAAATGCCTGCCCAGCGACCACTGCAGGGTCCCGGGAGCTGGGTGAAAGTGGCAGAGCTGGGAGGTTGCTCTGAAATGCTGATGGGGATGGAGTGGGGGCTGTCGGGAAGGACTGGATGGAGTCTGTTTTTCCAGAACCCCTTAACCCAGTGGAAGCCCCGCCTTTCATGTGGGCCCCGCACAGTTAGGCTGCCCGAGTCCCTCTGTCCTCGCACCCTCACCTGGCTCTCTTGCCTAAGCCTGTCACAGAAGCCCTGCAGAGCAGGAAACACAGAGCAGAAAGCCACGCACACAGCTTGTGTTTCCTCTGGCGCCTCTAGGTCGCTCTGCAGCCACCTGCTTGGAGTGGTGATAAGCCAAATCTTTCTTTAGAGGAGCGAAAACACAGCTAGCCAGGGCTGCAGCTATGACTGCAGCCTGTAGGGAAACGCCGGGAGGAACAGGAGACTGTTGAGAAGGGGACGGAGAACCTCACCAGCAGCTGAATTGAATTCCATCTTTGAGACCCAAGAGAGGGAAAATGCCTTTCCGCATGCATGCTCTCCTAGCTATGCTTGTAAGAAGTGCGTGCTTCTGGTTGGGAGAGCCCAGGAACGGAGTCCATCCTTTCTCCTGGCCTCCAGGGAGAGCCCAGACACTCCTGACCACAGACTGGCTTGTAATTTGGCTTTTCTGAGCATGGCAAGAGAATCCTGCATGTCACTTGGGCCTGACACCTGCTTTTGCCTTCTCCAGACACGGCAAGACTGGCCTTGACTTCTGGTTCCATTCTCGTTTCCCTGGGCTGCTCTCCACCTTCCAGGCTTAGCTGGAGTAACCATTTCAGAGCTGGTCGTTTCCCCGCAGCTTTAGATTCCATTTTGGTGAGGAAATTTACATTACCCAGGTGTGCACTTGGGCAGGCTGAGCGACCTGAGTGAAATGAAGCCAAATCCTGGAGGTGCAGGTGTGAGGATGGGTCTGGGTGTGGGGTGGGGTGGAGGGCTGAAGAAGGAGGCGTAACATTGTGTAAGGTTGGATATTAAACCTACTGCAGCAAAACCAACTCTGCCCGCTTCCCCGGGTATTTATCATGCTTACCTTCTACCGCACACACCGTCAGTGTGAACTATTGCATAGAAAAGGGTTTTCCAACATTGCCAGGTCAGAGCTGATTAAGCTTTCACTTAAGACCAAGAGTGGATTAAACTTTGGGATCTGCCCTCCTCCGGAGGGGGAGAAGCTGGCTGATGTTCACTGACATGTGGCTGCATGGCCACATCAGTTGTTAAATATTGAGAAACTTCAGCTGTCCTGTGTCCCTGAGTGCCCATCCCCCATCCAGGACCTCCCACCCCCCCACATTTCCTCAGTGGAAGGCTGCTCCCTGGACTCATTTCGGTTGGTGGGTGCCACCGTGGTTCAGTATTTTCAGAAGTTCACTGTAGCCTGCAGGTTATGCCAAGTCCCTTGACACTGGGTCCTCATATTTCCTGCTGCTGTATTTTTTCCTTATGAGATAGAAATGAGACTTGTCAAAACCCTACTGACTCTGTTAGGCCCAGCCCAAATGTCACTTTGTCTACTAAGACTGCCCTGGTCACCTGTTTCTTGGCCCACCTGACACTTGGTTTATACCTCTTTTATGGAAAATTATATTTAACTTCCTATTACAGCTATGGCTTGCAATGGGGGCGATTTTACCACCTGGGGACATTTGGCAGTGTGTGGAGACAGATTTGGTTTTCACAACTGAAAGGGGAGCTACTGGCATCTAGCGGGTAGAGGCCGGGGATGCTGCTGAAGAGCCTACAGTAGATGGGACAGCCCCACCCCAGAGAATGATCCAGCCCAATAAGTCAGCAGTGCTGAGCTGAGAGATCTACAAGCCTCCGTGTCTGTTCAGCTCCTTCCTGGGAGCTCCCAGAGGGCAGGACACAGCTGCTTGCATCTTGCCCCAACCCTCTCCTCCAGGCCCGCAACCCCCAGGAACCAGGGTGAGACATTGCATTTAGTTGGACACTCAATAAATGGGGCTGAATTGAATTCATTTAGTTAAATGGAATCAAATCGAATTGAACCTAAGCTGCCCTGCAGATCGTTAGGCAAATGCACCAATTACCTGGTGCAGTAGCTTAGTCTTTCCTTTGCTTCACAATCAAGAAGTGGCCTCCGTGACCTAGACTGGGGACTTAGGGATGAGAGTGAAAATTGAAAATGCTTGCAAGCTGTGGCCTTGAGTGGTTTCAGACACTTCTCATTTATTGTGCATCTTAATGACACAAGTAACTCTCTGACCTTCTTGTCTCAAAAGTGATGGGGCCAAAAACAGCCACTGCCCCAACTGTCTGTTGAGGAAGGTTGGAAAAGTGCAGGACTGTCCAGAGTCTATACTGAGAGGCAGTGTGGTATGGAGCTGAGCTCCTCAGTGTTCTCACATTGGAACCCACAGAGAAGATGCTCCCATCTGAACTGTATGCCCAGGAAAGGGGGCAGGCAGGCGGCTGGCTCAGGCGCTGCCCTTGGCCCCAAGGCTGTGGGAGCAGAGCCTGTCACACCAGCAGTGCATTAGGGGCACACTGTTTGTGTGAGCACTCTGGTGAGGCAGAAAAAACATGACCTGAAGAGGCAGATGACCTCTGTGTGGCCAGCCCCTTCACCAGCGCTAGCTGTCTGACCCTGACCTGTGGGCTTGCCCTCCTCTGTAAAGGGGAATAGAAATTCTTCCCTGCGTCCAGGCAGGGGCTGGACTTGGTCAGCTTACGTGCCTCTCCCCAAATATACTAAGTGCTCTATATGCATTGCTCCCCTCCCCTCCACCTGCATTCCCATTCCACAGATGAGGCCGCTGGGGCACAGAGAGATTGTGTTGCTTGCCCAGGGTCACACAGCTAGTATGCAATAATGACCGGTTTCAAACTCAGAGTCCATGCCTTGGCCGTTCTAGAGTGCTGCAGCATCCTTTCTGTCCACTTCTCAAAAATGCAGCCTCTGCCCATCCTTCCATCCTCCATGGGGTCTTGAAACTCAAGCCTGCTTTGCCTGGGTGTTTTTAAGCTATGCTTGCAATATGCGCAGTCATCTCTGGGCTTTTTATGTGTCACTCATTGATGAGAACCAAAACTGGACAAGATTAGAAGTGAGGCTTTCCTTCTTTCCAAGATTGGATTTTCTGTTCCACCCAGAACAACCTGCTGTTCCCCAGCTGCACGCCCTGGTTTCAAGTAGGTCTAAAATTACAAGAGAATCACCTTGCTCCAAGGAAGCTGGCATCTCTGTTTCCTGATGAAAGTAGGTACTAGAGAGTGGAGCTACCCAGAAACCAGGGGGTGGCATGTTGGCCATGTGGAGGCAAACAGAGCTGTGTTTTCTTTTCTTGGCCTTCTTAAAGATGTATCTAATTTGGGGCATGTTTTGTTTGGTTCATCTTGTATCTGGAGAGGTTCTTCTTTTCTCCCTAAGTGACATCCCTCTTGAGCCCACAATTCCCTCTTCTCAAGGTGAGTAATCCTCTCTCTAGCTGTTCATAATTGCTAATTAGTGAACAAAGAGGCTAACCAACAAAATTAGCTATTGGGCCAGGGTTTAGGATTGAACCAAAGGGTGGAGAAGGGCTTTAGTCTGCTTGTTTTTTATTTGTTTGGGTTTTTTTTCCTTAAAAAAAAAAAAAAAAAAGGAATCGGCCAGGCACAGTGGTTCACACCTGTAATCCCAGCACTTTGGGAGGCTGAGGCGGGTGGATCATCTCAGGTCAGCAGTTCGAGACCAGCCTGGCCAACATGCGGAAACCCCGTCTCTACTAAAAATACAAAAATTAGCCAGGCATGGTGGAGGGTGCCTGTAATCCCAGCTACTCAGGAGCCTGAGGCAGGAGAATAGCTTGAACCCAGGAGGTGGAGGTTACAGTGAGCTGAGATCATGCCATTGCTCTCCAGCTGGGCAACAAGAGTGAAACTCAGTCTCAAAAAAAAAAAAAAAAAAAAATCGCAACAAAACATACAGCCCTTCCCCACTGGTAATTTATCATAATCGTATCTAAAGTGTTCTTACCCAACATGTTCACCATTTGAGGAAAAGTTACTGATGATTCCTTATCTCATCAGCTATGGAGGCCTCAGAGGGGTTTTCCAAAGGAAATGCCTGACCTCAGCATAGGATGGAAGAAGGAGGTGCCGTTCTCCGGGAGGGTGTGTCCACCCCAGCCCATCTGCCACCAGGCTGGCCTAAAAGAAGCGGCGTCCTCCTGTGTGTGTGTGTGTGTGTGTGTGTGTGTGTGTGTGTGTGTGTGTGTGTGTGTGTGTCTCTTTGTCATCTTCAGCATATCCAGTGCAGAAAGAGATAGAGGCATTCATATTCAGCAAATGTTTCTTGGCATGTAATTACATCATCTCTTTAAAATCTCATTACAACCCTTTCCATTTATTGGACCAAGAGATTGAGGCTAAGATTTACAGACTTCCTCTGGGCCACACCTAGTAAGTGGCAGTAACAGGAATTAACTATACTCTCTAAAGTCAGTGGCCGTAGTGTTAGGAATTTACGACTAATAAATGCCAATTCTGTTGGGAAGACAAAAATTATCATATAAGAAAGGACTTGAAAGAAAGGAGAAGTGCTAAATGACGAGTTTCTAAGTGCACTAGGCTTTCTGGAAACTGCACAATCCAGGTTAACCGCAAGCGGTGGGCAGTTTGTGGGTGAGAGAACAGTGCGCACGCCCACATGGCTGTTCTGTGAGATCACCTCTTGGGAAATATTTAGAAACTGGTGCCCACTTTCCCAAGTTTCCAGCAAAGCCTACAGTCACTGTCCTCACTGGAGGTGCAGTCAGTGTTCTTCTGGGCCCCCGAGACTGGGAAGGCAGATTCTTACTCCATTTCTGTGCCTCTTCCACTGCCCTCTCTTCCCTCTGCTGCCTTCTCCCTTTCCTTCTGCTCTTTGTAGAAAATAGGTCTGCAGCAGCCACTGAACTTTGTCTCTCTTTGTTCTGCTCTTGGTCTTACTTCCCTTCTTTCTCCTTCCACCTCTCCTGGCTGATTTTTCATATCATCCCCATGAGAAAGCTTTTTGCCTTCCTTAAAAATCTTCTCAAAAGTGAATTTCTGCTTATGGTTTAAACAGATACCATTGTCAGCAGGGGTCAGTGATGACCCACCCATCTCCTACACTCCTTCCCTTTGCTCTCTGGTTCCCACATTCGATTCTGTTTCCTCCCACTTGCTCGGTCCTTCGGGTAGTCTCAGCTTGCCCTGATCTCTACCACGTGAATGGAGGGAAAGCTAAGCCGTCCTTCCTGGCTTTCCAGTGAGCCAGTGGGTGGACCTTCAGCCCATAGACTCACCTTCCTGCCTATGTGAGCATCCAGAAAACTTTTGGGGTGTGTTACCAAGGAGACAATGGAGTATTTATTGTACTACCTTCCTTAGACTTTCTTATGCAACCTGCCCTCTTTCCCGGATTGCTGTGATGCTGCAGGGAGGTTTCTTAAATTAATCTTGTCAAAATAGCCTTCGAATCCTTTTGGAGCAGGATTTTTTTTTTTTTTTTTAAATCTCACAAGACACAAACTGTTCAAGGGAAGAATTAGGAACAAAGACAACTTGGGGACTGGAGAGAACTTGGAGAGCATTTAGAGAAAAGCGGGGAAATGATTGATGGGTTGGAAAATAGGAGCATGGATGAATGGTGAGGGGAATGGAGATGATTTAACTGGGACAGAGAGGCTGACAGGTGACCTAGTAATAGGCTTCCAGTTTGTGGAGGGTTAGGACATGGAGACTGGCTTCCCACTACCAGGGAAGAAAAGACACTTAAAGTGGGAGGTAGGGGAGCCTGAGGCTACAGGAAGAACTCCTTATCACAGGGTCTGTTAATTATAGCAAGGCAGGATGGATCACAAGCTCTTCCACCAAGCAGTCTTCCCAGACGAGAGCAGCACTGGGACGGTGGTAGGGATTTCTGTAAGTCATCCAGTGCACAGCTTCCCGATCGCTTGTCCTCAGATAGTAGCGAGATGGCTGCCTCAGCATCTCCAGGGACACGTAGTAAAAAATACAATTTCGTGGGCCCTATCCAGACCTCCTGGTTTAGAGTTTCTGGGAGGAAAGTCCAGGTGTCTGTATTCTTAAAACACACACAAACACACCCCACCCCCCCCCACCCCCCCACCCCACACACACACACACACACCCCACCCCACCAGGACAAATGCAGAACTAACTCATTGAGAACCAAGAGGCTGGTGATGTGAGGAAAGAGGAAATGCCTCCCCCGGATTCCTCAGGTTGCTGCCTGCAGCATCCCGCTAGATCTTCCACTGCCCGGGAGCTGCTCAGGAGCCCAGGCCACACCTGCCCTGGTGGCTCCGTCCAGCATCCCTGCTGGGTCACTTGGAATGGACGCTGGGGCATCAAAGCTGCCCTACAGCTCTGAAGAACCCCTGCGTCTCTCCCTAATGACAAGGGTGCTGGGAAAAATGCTCATTCCATGTTTTTATCTGGACTTCACCAGCAGTCACTGAAGTCTTAGGTCACAGTTCTGTGGAGTTTTCCAACGGGTCCCTCAGACACCACCGCTGCCCCACAGGGGCTAGAATGGAATGAGCTTGGGAGTCAAGAGATGTATCTGCCTTGAGCTTGAGCAGGTCATTTTACCTCTCCCCGTTGCAGTTTCTTTCTCTGGAAAAGGAGACACCCGGACTGGACAGTCTCTGAGGTCCATCCAGCTCTACCTTTCTGTCTCTACTGGCTGTTTGAAGAATTGCAATGCTCGAAGAGTATAAAGTAGATTCAGTGTAATATTTCGTAGTGAAGTATTTTAAATTCAATGTTTTTTTTTTCTTTGCATAACTTATCCTAGGGAAGTTGGGAAGGATGAGGAAAAATATACGAATCCACTCGTCTCCAGCTAGCTCAGCTTGTGTGTAGGCCTGCCGTTCACCACACACGACCATGCGCAAGCTCTCTGGTCCCTTGGTGGCAGCATACCAAACTACAGATTCTGTTCTTTGGCCTCAGAACAGTCTTGTGTATGTTTTAAATGTGTAGCTTGGAATCAACGAGTATTTTTCATGGGGAGACTAGGAAGGTTGGGGGGCTGGGATCATTATTTCACACACTTATTTGCTTGTTTCTTGCTGAATTCCAGATTGCGGTGGTACTTTAAAAAAAAAAAAAGCTCCAATATCAATTTTAATTTTGCTTCTAACCTTTTGGACCAGCCACACCCTGACACTTAAAAAATAATAATGAAATGTTAGTATAAGAAAAATTGCTAGCTGACTATCCCAGCCTTCCTCCTTAGTAACTAAACCTGATTTGGGGCACATTGCTACCTAGACTGTAATAGACTTTCCAGTGTCCTGCATGGCCAGGTGAGCTCTGGACGATGATAGAGATAAACTAAATTACTGTAGGCTATAATTTAAGGAAGCCTCCTTTAAAAAAGTAAGGAAAGGATCCTTTTTTCCTTTCTCCCTTCCTCCCTTCATTTCTCCTTCCCTCCCTTCTGCCTCCCTCCCTCCTTCCCAGGGTGCAGTTGTAATGGCTGGAGTTCTAGCAGCCACTTTGGACCATAAGATGGAAGCCAAGCATTGAGGATGGCAAAGCAGAAAGCTGAAAGCCTGGGACAGGATGACCATGGGGCTGCCATCCCATCCCAGGACTGTCTCCCTTCAGACATCTTTTATGTGAGAGAAAAATAAAGCCACTATTATCTTTTGTTTTATTTATGCAGCTGCACCAAATTCTAATGAATCCATATAAGTTCCAGGTGAGCTGGCTTAGATGGTGAGAACCAAGGTCAAAGGCAAAGGGTAGCCCTGATAAGCAAATGCCACTGCTGAGTTGCTCAGAGCAGTAGACTTTTGCTATAACATAGCACAGGAAAGGAGAGATTTTGGAGACAGATGGAGTGTGACGTCGAGCTCTGCCTGAGACCGACTGTGATCTTGATCAACTGATTGTCTTGAGTCTGGATTTCCTAATTTGTAAATTAGAGTAATAATCTCCACCCCGCAGGCCATTCATTGGCATTAGACATCGTATGTATTAGGTGTCTTGTTTAGTACCTAGCACACAGCTGGTGCTTAAAAATAGTGGCTCTGTGTGTACATAGGCACATGGTATGTCCCCCTGGCCACAGACACTGTGCTATGCGCTGGGGACATACAGAGGCATACGGTGTAGCCCCAGCTCTGAGGGGGCGTGAAGGCCACTGGGACATCTCCAGTGTTGTAGCATGGGGCCCAGGTATGCAGCCTGTGTGTGCCTTCATGCTGTGATGCAGGCTTGGGAATGCATCCCAAGCCTGTGTACAGTGCCAGAGATTGAAGGATCCCATCTTAGACTGGCACTTCTTGGCCTTCACTCACGTGGGCCTGTGGCTCGGGATACTTCCCTTCTCCTTTACTCCTTCTGAATCCTACATGTTTTTGTGGCACGCGGAAGTCCTTCCTCCCCCATAGACCCACCCAACCTAGTCTAGCTAATCCTCAACATTGCACTGAGCTTATTTCAAGACCACACAGTTCAAGACAACACTTGTTCTCCTGCTGGGGTGCATGTGTGTCCTCTCCAGCTGGACCATAATCCTCCTGAAAGCAGAGCCCCGTTCTGATCGTTCCTTTAGTGTGGAAGGCACAGTAGGCACTCAGTGTTTTGATGGAGAAAGCTGAGTTTTACAGTTAAGAATATTTTTTTCTGCGAGGGCTCAGATCAGGCCTACAGCCCTCTCTCTCCTGTGGCTGCAGACTGTAATGAGGGAGAATGGAAAGAGAGCAGGGAGGGATGGCTCAGCCCCAGGTGCACACATGGCCCAGCCCAGATTCTAGGCCCAGCGGGCATCAGGACAGCTGTGCCAGGCAGACACAGGAGAGCCTTCCTCTGACCCAGGTGTGAACTGGATGATAAAAGATGGTTTCTCACCCTAAGGAAATCTCTACATAAAAGAAGTTCCCTCATCAAAATCCTCCCAGTGGCCGTAACAGGCTGTTAGTCACATGCAATAATGGCCTGGGGTGAGTAGGTATCAGGCAGCTGGGCTGAACTGCCTCCTTCCATCAGGAGTGAGCTCTTGCACTCCCACATGGTCACAGTATGGCCCTCCAGAGGAACACTCCCCTCACCCAAGAGCCAGTCCTGCATCCTCTTGTCCCAGTTGTGCCCTTTCCCTGGCTGACCATAGCATTGTCTGCTCTTGGAGGTTCCCCGTAAGGAGACAAGCTACCTTGGATGGCTTCCTGATCAGGGGCCTGCTTCTCCCTGGAAACCCACCTTGTCTCATCTCATAATATACTGAGGAGGATCTTGGAAACCACTAAAATGATCATTCTTCCCCTCTCCATATCATTTCTATATTCCTGCTTTTGGAAACTCCACATCATTTTGACCTGGCTCAACCAATTAGGTAGTCCACTCCAAATAAGTTACCAACCCGTACTCACAAAACCACTTTCAGCTGTCGGAGGAGAGGTGGCTATCTGGCGCTGTTTGCAGATGTCTTTCTCTTCTGTTCTTGTTGAATCCTTCCCCAGTTTGCTGGGGTTCCCAGTGGGGGAGTGCTTCCACAGTGCCCACCCCACCCCAGCCTCTGCCTCTCCCCACCCTTCCTGCTTCCTGTTTTCTAGAGCTTTTTTCTTTCTTTCCCCTGAAGGTGATCTCTGTATAAGAATAGCCACAATATGTGTGTGGGAGGTTTAGCAACATAACCTGGAAGATCTCTTACAGCCTCTGGAGTCTTGATTTCCTTGAGTGTCTTGGACTGGATAATGGTGTGTATTAAGGTTTGGGGTAGGGGGACGGTAAAGAATACCTCTGCTTCTTCTTGGACCTGTCAGTGAAGCACAGTTTGGAAGGGAGAAGGCTGGGGATGTTCAAATAGTAGGCAGACCCCCTGAACAACAGTAGCAGGTGTGGTCCAAACTTACTGGCCGGCCTGCAGGCCAGGAGGCCAGTGCCATCATCCCCTCGTGCCTGGTGACGATCAGCCCTTAGAGCTTTGAGTGCCAGTTTAGCAGAGAGGGTGGACTGATCCCTGGTCTTCTCCAAGGACAGCCTAACTCATCAGTCAGCATCCCAGCCCCAGACCAGCCCCAAGGTCCACTGCATCTGATGTGAGTCTTCAGACCTAAACGAGAGGTGAGGCCGGAGTGAAGGCCCACACTCTCCTTTTAGTTCTCTTTTTTTTCTCCATTATTGGCATGATTTTGACAGTCTCTAGGTGAATGCCTATAAGGACAAAGGAAATAAATTTAAAATGTGAATGCAATAGGGAAAATGCAATTTTTACAGGCGTCTCTGAGAGTTGGTTTTCACTTTAAGACCTGGCAGTGGCAGTAAAAGTGCACACCTTGTTTGAAAGGTGCAGTGCCAGTGGGAGAGGCTGGGAGTGGACCAGACATCTATGAAATCCACACTGTTGTAGAAACCTGTAAACCCGGTGTGGCGGCCCAGTGCAGAGACTTAGGATACAAAGAGAGAGGAACTTAAGTTATGTTGTGGAAATGTGACTTCTTAATACCGTTCAGAAAATAGGTACAGAGGCAACAGTCCCAATCTTCTGCTAGAAATTTCACTCGGCTAAAAGCAGAACGTTTAAATACACTCTTGCCATGGGCTGCTGAGAGGTCCAGCTCTCAAGAAGTGGGAGCAGCTCTAGGGATGGCCACGCTGGGCTCACTTCCGAGAAAGAGGAAGAGTTAGTTGGGGTGAGGAAATCATGGAGGAGAAAGACCAGTCATTTCGGGGCTCCTCGTCCTGAAAGCAGAGACTGCCGTACAGAACTCAGCCCACGGAGGTCAGCCACAGACACCTCAGGAAGCACAAAGAAGAGAACGATCTTGTGATTCCAGGAGAGTCTCTGAAAAGAAGGTAGTTCAAGAAGAGTAGAACAAGCAGGGGCTTGCAGAGAATGAGAATACCACATGGGCCTCTGCGGTGAATTTAAGGCAAGAAGGAGAATGAGGAAGCAACAGCCCCTGCCTGTGAGTGGCCTACAGGCTAGAAACAGAACAGCAGACGCTGCCACAAAGGAATTGACCCAATGCATTTACAAAGCATTCCAGTCTTTCTTGTCCAGCTTTATCCCAAGTAGTGGAAGAACCTCCTGATACTTTCTTAAAGCTTCTGACAGTGATCTCTGTGAAATTATGGAGCGTGTGTAGGGGCCAGAGAAGCGAAACATTTTGATTTTCTACAGCTAGGAGGCTGTAGGAGAGTAAGCTCGATGTTAATTCCTGGAAGACTCTTAGGGTATATTCTTTAAACAATAGTGTGTGTGCTTTCAAAAGAAATCGGTAATTTTAGGAACATGGCAAATTAACTGAACTTTCTTTTATTGTAGGTCTACTAGGTTTAGATCAAAAGAATACCGAAGATAGTGTTGATTTTATTAAGGCACTGAGGGGCATCTATCATGATTTCTTTTGAAAAATATGGAGAAATATGTTAATAATTGTTAGGCCAACACTGGCCCAAAAATGCAGATTAACAGATTGATGTCAGTTTGGAGGGAGGACTTCAGTTCATTGTCATGGGGCTCAGGCCTAGTCAGCATGTCTACCACTGGCCTTCATGAAATTGCAAAATAGAAACTTAACGAATTTGTTGAAGACACAAAGTTGGGAGAGATGACTAATGCCATATAAATAATGCATAGAAAACAATATTTTTAAAATCCATGCTGGTTTTTAATTTAACATGACAGGAGACCAAATATGCTTGATATACTTCCTAAGAACATATAAATAAAGTACCATAAATATGCCAACAAGTTTGAAACTTCCAATCACATTGTAAATCAAGGGGCGCTAAAGAGCAAGTGGAATTCCTACCAGTGGGAATGGGTGAATTGAGAGGCATTTTTCTGGCCTGCACTCCACGTGTCTATCCACTGACAGACCCAAAGAGCTGGATTGTTGAATAAGATGTGATTCAGGCAGAAAAATATGAAGACATATGAAAATATGCAAGGTCTCAGAAAATAAAGCATACATGTCCTCCTCCAGAGACAATGAATCAATTAATTTTTAATGTTCCAAGTGATTGAGATGAATGAAAATCCAGGACCCCAGCATAGTATAAAATGGACCAATGGTGAATTGAAACCAATTAAATAGAGCTGAGGCATCCTGAGCAAGAGCACAAGCTCTGGGAGCTGCAAATGAGCCTCACCCCTGCCACTTACTAATTGTGGGACTGTGCGAGAGTTATTTAACCTTTCTGAACTTCACTGAACAGGTGTGATTTCTGTGAGGATTAAATAGAAAATGTAGGTAAAGTGCCCAAAATTACAACTCTTATCAACTTTATTAGTATTATTTATAAAAATAACTATGTTAACTATAGTTACAAAATAAAAATTAGAATTTAGTTTTAAAAATAATATTTTGAGAAATAACAATATAAGAAATTGCCTATATAATACAAGACTAAATTGGTAATGACAAGGAAATATTGGGTGCTGGAGGGAAGCAGGTGTTACATGTATTTTAAAACTTACTTGTGTTAATGAAGGGAACCATGAGTTAAAGTTTTGTTTTGAACTTTGTAAATTATAGAAGTTTAATTTGCAAATGCTTTTAATACGTATAAAGGTTAAAAATCCGGGTTTCAACTTTCAAAAACTCAAGATAAAACAAAAGTATACTCTATGACAGCAGTCCCCAACCTTTTTGGCAGCAGGGACCATTTATTAGTCTGTTCTCACACTGTTATAAAGAACTACCTGAGACTTAGTAATTTATGAAGAAAAGAGGTTTAATTGACTCACAGTTCCACAGGCTGTACAGGAAGCATGGCCTGGAAGCCTCAGGAAATTTACAATCATGGCAGAAGGCAAAGGGGAAGCAGGCATGTTTTATCACAGCAAAGCAGGGGAGACAGAGAGAGAGCGCATGCACAAAGGGGAAAGTGCTACACACTTTCAAACAACTAGATCTTGTGAGAACTCACTTACTGTCATGAGAACAGTAAGGGGAAGTCCGCCCCATGATTCAGTAATGTCCCACCAGGCCCCTCCACCGACATGTGGGGATTCCAATTTGAGATGAGATTTGGGTGGGTACACAGAGCCAAACCATATCACACCAGTCTCATGGAAGATAATTTTTCCACTGACTGAAGGGATGGGGGCAGGGTTTTGGGATGAAGCTGTTCCACCTCAGATCATCAGGCATTAGATTCTCATAAAGAGCATGCAACCTAGATCTCTCACATGCGCAGTTCACAATAGTGCTCGAGCTCTTATGAGAATCTAATGCTGAGAGGAGGCAGAACTCAGGGAGTCATGCTTGCTCACCTGTAGCTCACCTGCTGCACAGCCGGTTCCTAACAGGTCATGGACCGGTACCGGTCCGCCATTGTGGGGACTGGGGACTCCTGCTCTATGAAACAAAAAATGAGAAAGTAAACACACAGATATCCAGAAGCATAAAACAAAATGACAGAAGTAGGGTTGAACGTTTAACTATGCTAAAATATGTAAGTGGGTTAAACACTCTTATTATTAAAAGTATAAGACTTACAGATGTTGGTTAAAACAGAAAATGTATCCATATTCTGTACAGGAGACACTAAAACAAAGTGTTGCAAAAAGGCTAAAAGTTTAATTAATTAATTAGGAAACAGTATCAGAATAGATTTACAATATAAAGCAGCTGGTGCTATAAAATACAAAATTTAATTAATTTACCTCTGGAAATTTAGAAATAAAAAAGAGCAAAAATTAATAAGGAAACATAATAGCATAAGAGAATGAATGCTATTCATAGTGGTATGCTAAGAAATTTGAAAATCTTAATTGTAACTTTCTAGAAAAATATAAATTTCAACTTTAGATAATTTTTTTCAAAATACAGAAGAACATTAAAGTTAAAAATTTATTTAATAAAATTAGCATTATCTTGACAAAGATGTCACCAAAAAAGTCTTAGAATAATCTTATATATGTACACAGATGAAAAAAGAAAAATGAAATAAAATTGAATCCATTGGATTCACAGTTAGGTAAGACACAGCCAATGAATTCAAGGACTATTCAATGCTGGGAAATTTAATACTATAATATATCACATTGGTAAGTCAACTAAAAAATGCAGCATGCAATAAAACTCAATATCCATTTTAAATACAACTCTTAAAATACTAGGAATAGAATGACAGCTAATATGATAAAGAATGTATCTCAAACTAACAGCAAACATTTAGTGATGATGTCCTGGAAGCATTTCCTTTAAAATCAAGAACAAGAAAGGAACGTGCACTAGAACCATTGCCAGTCAGCGTTGTGAAAGGTCGAGGGGCTACAACAAAGCAGGACGTGGAAAGGAAGAGAGAAAATTATCAATATTTGCAAATGGTGTGATTATAGTCCTAGAAAATCTAACTGAAAATAGTTAGCATTAATAAAAGGGCCCCAGAAACGTGACTGGATATGACATAAATAGTTTAATAATCAGTAGTTTTTATGTACCAAAAATGACCATCTGGAAAATAAAATGGAAAAGAATTCCTATTTACAACAATTACAAAACTTTTAAAATGTGCTTAGGGAAAATATTCTAAACACATGGGACTGTATGACAAAATTAAATTTAACTAAAAGATATAGAAGAACAGTTAGAATAAATGAAAGCATGTCGTATTTCTATAGGAAAGATTGAATATCTGAAGATGCCAAATCTTTCCAAATTAATTCATGAGTTTAAGAAGAACCCTAATCAACAGCCCAGGGTGTATTTTCTTTGTTTATATTTTGGTTTGGGCATTGTTTGTTGTTTTGGTGGGGAGTGGAAAGGAGAGTGCTTAGAAAAATAATTCTAGAATTTATCTGGAAAAATAACCAGACCAAATTTACCAAGAAAGATATGTCATGAGCACAGTGAGGAAAGGATAAGAGACGGCATTCCTACAGATGAACAGAATGGTGCGGGTAAAGGAATCCACGGACAGAGCTGTGTGAAACAAACAACCAGGAAACAGCCTCTAGTAATGATATTTGTTGGGGCATAAAATAAAATTTTTAAAAATAAATGTGTCCAAAATAACCTTGTATTCAACAGCACCATTTTAAAAGTAGAAGGCCAGAGCCATAAAATAATGCATCAGTCAAAGGCAGAAGAAAATTTGCATCCTCCTATGTGTCTCCAAAGTAGCATATACTGTGTACTAGAAAACAAAATCTGTTTTCCCTTACAAAACCAGTTTAAAATTCCCCTCAATTTATGTATGGTAAAAATAACTTTAAGGTGCTTCTCTAAAAAATGAAACTAATATGCAGTGCATCTGTGGCTCATGAGAACCTACTATATGGTAAAGGAAGCAAAGAAGTTTTAAGGAAGGTGGGCGAGGGCAGGGACTGGATTGGTAAGTATTTGGAAATAAAATAACTTTACATACCTTTTTTTTTTTTTGAGACAAAGTCTCGCTCTGTTGCCCAGGCTGGAGTGCAGTGGCGCAATCTTGGCTCACTGCATCCCCCACCTCCCGGGTTCAAGCGATTCTCCTACCTCAGCCTTCCGAGTTGCTGGGATTACAGGCACATGCCACTGCAACCAGCTAATTTTTTTTTTGTATTTTTAGTAGAGTCAGGGTTTCACCATGTTGGCCAGGCTGGTCTTGAACTCCTGACCTCAGGTGATCCTCCCGCCTTGGCCTCCCAAAGTGCTGGGATTACAGGTGTGAGCCACCACGCCCAGCCTACATACCTATCTTATACATTTAGACAAAGCAAATTACAGGTGGATTCAAATAGTTAAATGAAAGAAAATAAACCATAAGACTTGGGGGAAAAAGACTATTTAACTGCCTCCAGAATTATGGAAGACTTTATAAACATGAAAGTAATGGAGGAAGGCACAAAAGAAAAGACTGAGATTCAACTCATAAAAATAGAAAACTTTTACCCACAGAAAAATTACAGAAAATTTTGGAAGGCAAACACACACTGGGAAAATGTTTATTAAAGTGGTAGACACGGGGTCAATATTGCTGCTGTATAAGGAGATCTTAGAAATCAATTAAAGAAACACATCCCCATTAGAAAATTTGGCAAAGGACGTGAACAGATTTATTCACAAAATATAAACTACAAACTGGTAAATACATTTTGATTTTTAAAATCAGCCTCACTAGTAAAATAGAAACATAAATTAAAAGAAGATGCTATTTTTCACTTAATAAAGTAACACAGATTAAAAAAATACATTAGCAATAGGTGTGGTAAAATGGGCTCTCATATACTATGATAGAAATAGAAAAAAGTTATAACCTTTCTGGAAACAATTTAGCAATGCATATCAAGGTCTTTGAAATGTTCATACCCTATTACCACTAATTTTCCATCTAGGAATTTGGGCTGAAAAATAATTAGACAAAGTTTTATATTTACGTATAATGATGTTCATTTCAGCTCATGTATAACAGCAAGAAAAGAGGAGAGAACCTAACATCAAAGGGGAATGTTTAAATGTGTTATAACTCATATGATGAGCTAATAAAACTTATGTTTTTGAAGCCAACAAGTTGAAATGCTCATTTCACATTAATAGCAGGATATAAAATATATGGACAGCATATGAATTTGAATAAAGTTTAAAAGGAAAATAAATATGCATAGTATCACATTTTTGTACAGTATAAAAATAAATTCAATAGTATCTTAATAAAAATTCTGGGCCAAAACTAATGAGATAAATTTAGTATTAGAAATGCTAAGTTATGGGCTCAGCCTCAAAAAATAGGAATGAAAGAGGACTAACTTAACTATTGCATTTATGAAAAGGATCGGGGGGATTTCACTGCCCCAGGCTTGGTGTTGTGATTGTAGTCGAAGCTGACCTGGGTTGCCTTGGTGGCAGTCTGCGGTGTCCAGGTGGGGAGGGGGCAGTCCCTATGCTCTGTACAGTCAGGCTCGTCTGCTCTCCAAGTTTAAAGAGAAGCAAGGTGTGTCCTCCTCTCATGTTGGTCACATTCAGTGAGGGACCCCAGGGGAACCATCTGGAAACTGTTACATAAGGAACTGCAGAAGGATCTAGGGATGTTTTACCTGGAAACAAGGATATTTAGGGGCAATGGAATAGCTGATTTCACATACATAAAGGGCTACATGAGGCTGAAAAATCAGACTAATTCTGAGTAGCTTCAGGAAGCAGAACTAGATTTTGGGTAGGAGTGAAAGGGAGAGGCAGGTTTTAGAGCCATGTAAGGTGTAGTCAGGTGTTCATCTTGCAAAATGGTGAGCTCACCAGGACACAAAGCATCCTTGAGGAGTGAAGATGAGAGGCTTCATCGGGCAGAAGTTGGAATAGAAGGCATCAAAAGACCCAGCCGTAGGATTTCTGCAGTCCCATCATTGACTGACTGGAGGCCCAGGTGGGCAGAAAGAAGGCGTTGAAGGGGCATAGACTCCTTTGGCCATTGGTTTTCAACCTTTGCTTTACAACACAAGCACCTGAGGAGCTTGTTAAAACAGTGCTGGACCCCACCTCCATAGTTTCTGATTCCGCAGGTCTCAGGTGAGGACCTGAGAATTTGCATTTCTGACAAGCTCTCAAGTGATGTTGCTGCTGCTACCACTGGTGCTCCAGGAATCACACTTTGAGAACCATCTCCTTAGGTCAAGAGCAAGAAATAAGGAGATATTCTTAAGCCCGATGGTACAGAGACCTAGAAAAAAAATATGGCACACAGGAAGCAAGCACATACTAAATGACATATGGCTTTTTTTTTTTTTTTTTTTTTTAATCTCGGACTCTTGGACAATAGTGTTGAAACTTGTGGAATTAAATCACAGACTGGAGGCCGTTCTTTCCAGATCCACATTTCTACCTGGATGATGGGCTCTGTCACCAGGCCAAAGAAATTGATGTTGAGTATTAAAAGCCTCTAAGGGGAGCGGATGCTGCAATTTTCTTCCTTCCCCTCTTAGATGTTCCTAGATGGTGGGGAAGTTCATTGTCACTTAGAAATTCATGAAGGAAATAGAATATTGCTCATGGACTTCAGAATGGCCCATAATTAGCTCTTTTGGGTTTTGTTTTGTTGGTTGGTTGTTTATCATTTGTTGTTTTACTGGACCTTGGAAGGAGTCTTCCTCAGTGAAACCCCTCGTTATAAGAACAGATAGTATATGATGTAGACAACCACAGATGGGACCCCCAAGTTTGATGATGTCCTCAGTGTCCTGCAGTTATTCCAACAAAGATGCACAATTCCCGTCGTCATCTCCATTCAAAGTAAGGCTCATTTATTTGAGCTTTCAGCTGATTGGTTTAGGAAGAGAACTGTGTACAGCCTCCCCCACATCTCCCCACCCCTTGCTGCTCTCTTCCTGAGCTCACTATGTCAGTGTGAGCAGACTGTGCGCCTAACACACCGGAGTCTGTTGCCATGACGCTGGGGAGAAATCTGGTTCCTATAGCAACATCAGGTTGACTCGTTGCACCTTATGACACAGGCAGATCTCCAGCAGGGGCTTCTTTGATCTCCAGTTAATCCAGGAGAGATGGACACATGTAGTACTGGAAAATATTACATTTTCCCACAACCCACCTAATCCTGCCTGCCTGCCTTTCATCCTCCACATTACCAAAATAATAATAATAAATAAATCCGCATTCCCTTTTTTTTTTTGGCAACCTGAAAAAATAAAGCAATGGATCACTTTAATGTTCTCAGCAGATTAAAACATAGTTTGAGGGTCAATCCCTATCGCCTCCCTTTCCAAGGCCCATCCATCCGTTAGCCTGCCCCCTGGCATGTTCCTTGAGGCCTGTCCATCTGGCCTGGCTGGCTGGTGAGAAGTCCTGTCAGCCTCAGGGGTCCGGGGACATGCCAGTAGTGCAATGGCAGCTCCCTGGGCAGGCCTAAGAGGCCAGGGGCTCGTTAGCAATGGTAGCAGATGGATGCGGGGGCAGCCCCAGGAGAGGCCAGCAAGTCCGGTGCCGAGAAGCTCCTTGACTCACCATCCAAAGGAATGCACGGTGTTGGCTTCTGTATGTCACAAAGTGGGCAGCCAGCCTGGGGCACTCGGCACATTCCTGGTCTGGTCTGTGGCGGGAGAAGTGACAAGGAACTGGATCGTTACTGACAGGAAAGCATCTCGTTGTTCTTTAAAGAGACTTTCAGCGAAGGAGGATCCATGATTTTCCCCAACCCTTCATTTGAGTGCCTTTCAGCCTTCCTTGGGGAAAACATCCATATGTTTTCTACTTATATTACTTACTTGTCACCCCTCATTCATTCAGCAAATGCTCACTGAGCTTCTCCATGTGGCAGGCTCCGTTCTAGACCCTGAGCACTGAATAACACGAACGGGGTTTCTCCTCTCCTGGCACCTACATTCTCATGGGGGAGACAGATAATAAGTAAAGAAAATGTCAGGAACATGAATATACAATGGGGAGTTTTGGGGGAGGCTGCAAAGTGAGTGGTCGGCAGAGGTCTCCTGAGGTGACACTGAGGCCCGACTGCCCTGAGGAGCCTGCCCTGGGACAAGCTAGAGAGAGGGTGTCCCAGGCAGCATGCAGAGGCCAGCATGGAGCGCTCTGAACTGGGCAGAGCAATGGGGCAGGAGTTTGGCGTGGATTCAGGGGCCGCAGCTGTAGGGCTTGTGAGCCAGGGGAGAGATTGGATTTTAAGTGATAGATATGGGAACCATTGAAAGTATTTCAGAAGGGAAACAACAGAATTATATTCGTATTTATGAGTTTGCTCCAGCTGCCTTAACAAACCCTCTTCAAGCCCATTTTCCTTTTGCCTTTCCATTAGTGGCGATTAAAAAAAGATATTTGCCACCCTTCTTAGGCTTGAAGGTGATCTGCAAGTCAAACCTCATGCTTTTCTCCAGTATCAGTAAGCTCAGTCCCATTTTTCCTCTCTTGTGCATGACGAACTTTGTTATGCCAGCCTTCAAGGGATATTCCGAATTCCTTTTTCTTAGAATTCTAGAGCCAGCGGGGGCCTTACAGATCACTGGGTCCAGTCCTTATTTTACAGATGAGGAAACTTGGTTGCCACAGTGGTCAAGGGACCTGGCCCACATCACAACTCCGCTAGCCAGGGCTGGGCCTCTGGTGCTAGAACCCAGCACCCTCTTCCGCCCCACAACTAGTAGACAGTAGACTAGTAGTCTTCCCACGTGCACGTTTACTTACCAGTGCTCATTATTTCTTCTCTTCCTTTTCTGATTCATCTCTCTGCCTTCCTCTGGTCCTGTCATTCTTCCCTGGTATGCTGGAATTTTTTAGTAATGGACTGTTGATTGCAGTATGTGGGAAATTTGGCCATAAGTTTTGGTTCTATGTGGTTTTTTATTGTGGTGGCAATTGTTTTTGCCATTTTCTGCTTTGGTGTTATTTGTGGCTCCCATTGGGGCCTCCCTAAGCCCTGCTTATTTTCCCATGACTGGGGACTGGGTGTTATTGTTCGTAACTCAATATTCCAGCCATGGCATTCAAGGCCACCAACCCTCTGCCTGTCTCAATAGCATATCACAGCCCACGCCACATTGGCCTTCCGTGGGCCAGGCCTCAGGGTGGGAACTCAGCCAGGGTGGTTTTCCTACTCTGAGGCATTGGTAGAGCGGTCAGGGCTCCCTGCTGGCTTACACCCACATAGCAGCTCCTAACTCCACAGTTTGTCTTCCCCTCTTCTGTCCACTCCAGCTCAGGGCCCCTTAGCCATTCACTCAGCAGACAAAGAATACTAATAGTAGGTGATAACCACTGCTGCAGGGATGACACATTAGCATTAGGTGACAAATAAACCATCTCCAGTCAACATTATCCCTGCTGCATCCAACCAGCACAGCCGGGAAAGCAAACAATGAGGCAGAAGCGCGTTTCCTCACTCTGAAAGGCATGCATGCACTGGAAGTTGGGTTCATTGGAGAGCAGGGTGGCTTCACATCGGGATCTGTGGCAGGACAGCCTCAGAGCTTGGCAGTGTTGTCTGGGAACTGGGCAATATCAATAATAAGGTGCTTCCAGTGACAGTCTACGTCTTCATCTTTACAAAAGCTTTCAGAGATAAGATTATTGCTCCAGTTTTCAGATGGGGAACAAAATGAGACAGGATTAGTGATTCTTTCAAGGTCAGCAGGCTGGGGAAAGTCAGGGTTGGAACATGAACCCAGTGCAGGGCGCACTTCTCACACACTGCCCTTCTCTCTGGGCAGCAGATGTGCATGTGCTGAGCGGCTGCCAAGGAGACAGGATGGTTGAGACTCTGCAGAAGAAGGGCTGGCATCTTCCCTGTGCTGCCTCAGTGGGACAGGTTGGGCTGAGATCTGCAAGGTACAAGCAGGGCTTGCTTGGGGTTCTGATGAGAATGATGCCCAGTGAATGATGCCCGGTGTCGTGGCTCAGCAGAACAGGCCTGGCATGAGGCTCAGGAGATGCGTTTCCTGGGTCTGGCCCACCTTCGGCTCCTGTGGCACTGGGAGTACTCTTAAGTCTTAGCTCTCTGAACACCAAGTGAAGGAGTTAGCCTGGAGGTCCCCAACGTTACACTCACTGATACCATTCTATGATTTACAAAGCTCTTCCTTGATGATCAGATGTTTCTTTTCCGAGGTATTTCAACTTCCCATTTATAGTTAGTATTGAAGTGCCACCTGTGGGTTTTCCAGGCCGCTGTCTCTTTTCTTTATACATCATACCCTAAGGATGCTTATTATTGCTGCTGTTGTTAAATCAAGTCCTTGTCTTAGTATATGTATCTTAACATATTGAGTTAGAGACAGTGCCTAACTTGACAATTCTGACAGTGTTGATATAATCCATGGAGAGTCTTTAGCCCACTGGTTCTGCCCAGAGCTCACTGGTAACTCAGGCTCTCTGCATGGCAAAGTGGAAGACGTTGACCACACCACTTGATTGGGAGCTGTCTTCCTTCCCTGGGATGAAACCAGTCAGGACCTTCTCACATGGGAGGAGTATCAAAGACTAAACCAACCTAGAAACAGTCCAAGAAGAACCAAACAACGAAGCAAGCAAATCAAAACAGGGGAAGAGGACAAGCAGGGCCCCAGGCAGTTTGGCTGGTGCCCAGCACAGGGCCTGGCACTAACAAGTGTTTGAGAAACATTGAGTGAAATGACATGGTTGCTCAGTAGAAGGAGCAGCCATGCTCAAGGCCAGAGTCGCCCCTTCAGTCTCAGCCATTGCTTGGGGAAGTGGTCTGTTTTTGCCATTAGAGAACACACTGCCATGGAGGACACTCTAGATCAGAAGTCCAGGTCGGAGTCATGGCTTTGTGACCTCCTGTGTGGCTTTGGGCAAGCCACTAAACTCTGAGCCTCTGTATGTGAGGACAAGCGCCCATTCTTCTTCTTATTGCAGAGTCCTCATAAACTACAACTGGATGATGCCCCCTGAGTACCTGTGCTTGAGGAGGGGGGCAAATAGCACCGAGATGGTGTCTTACCCACCTTTGTATCCCCAGCATGTGGCACAGAGCCCTCACTCATTAGGTTCTCAGCAAAGATGAGTGGGTGTTCGGATGGATGCACAGCTTAGGCGGACAGGTGGACGAATAAATGTGCAAGGAAGGTTCTGGGAGCTGCTGGCGGCAAACTTTGCTTGCTTCCCAAGGATTGTCCTACCTTTCTGTAATAGGCTAGGGGGCTGTGAGCTGCAGTATATTTCTGCTCACAGGAGCCCTTTCCCTTGGGGAGCTATGTGGAGGGCAAGACCACCCCAAGAACCCCAACATGAAACCTTAACTGGGATTCTGCTGCTCTAGGCTAAGCAATCCTACATTCTTGACTAGAAGAGTGTGTCTTAGGCATACATTGCTGCACAGAAAACCCCCCACCTCCTCCCTGCTTCACAGAGATGGGGTGAAAGATGGTGGTGCCCTAAGAATGCAGAACCCCTGCGCCACACAAAGCATGCTCGCTACGCCCACTAGCTGGCCAGGAATGGTAGGAATCGCAGGGACCATGATCAGGCCTTTTCTGCTGGGGCCACCTGCTGCTGCTGTTGTCACGTTCTGTGCTCTGCCGCCATCCTCTGCGGGGGTGGAGCCAGCATCTTGGCAGCCCCAGGGTAATAATTAGGGGAGGGGCAGCTCCCCAGCTGGCGTGGTATTTGAGGAGGGGCCTGGAGGAGAAGGAAGGGCTGGGACACGGCCAACAAAAGGAGAAATTAAATGGGCTGTCCTGGGAGCCCATAGTTAGCATTTAAACACCAGCATGAGCTGTGGGTTTCACTGAGCAGGGCTGTGTGTGGCCTCAATGCCCTCCTCTCCCGGCCCCCGTTCTGTTTGTGAGCACAAGCTGGGAGGACTCTCAGCAGAGCCCTAAGAGGTGATGTTGTCATGCCGAAGCCCAGGATTCAGGGGCTTTCATGCAGTGCAAGGACAAACATGGCGAACACCACATGCACCCAGCTGCAACAGCGCTGCACCCCTGACCTACTCACAGCCCTCAAGGAACTCACCGACCAGCCTAGCCTTACAGCGGCTATCACAGGTGTGCTGGGCCCCTGACGTCGAGGGATTTAGGGTTTTGTTTTATTTGCTGTCAGCATGGTTCGCGTTGCAATTTCGATTGTGGGAAGACAGCCAGGAAATACTAAAGAAACACCCCATACCTCCTTCACCACAGCCACAGGTACTGAGCATTGAGCACACGTTATATGTTCTTTATCTCCTCCAGTCTGCACTGCTCACTTAAAAGGTGGGGCGTATTATCCCCGTTTCACAGCTGAGTAAAGTGAGGTTCACAAGAATGTTGTGGCTGGCCCAAGTTCACACAGCTAATGAGGAGGGGAAAGGATGCCAAGTGAGTCCGCCTGGCTCCTGGAGCTCCTTCTGCTTCTCCATGATTTCTGAAGAACACACGAGGCCTCCCTGTGTCCTGTGGGAGAATTCACTGTCTCTACTACGTGGGAAAATGTGAAAGAAGGTAGGCCTGAGTGCTCCCGTAAGCTTTGGGGAATGAGAGCTGAGTGAATTGGCCTTACTAAGTGATCTGGCAGTAATCTGGTGGTCTTGAGCCTAGAAGAGGGTTGGGGTGAGTGTGAAGAGTATGATCCCCCGCAGAGCCGAGTCATGACTTCTCTTCTGCCAGGAGCTCACTGGACTCCCATACCCTTCTTTGGACTTTAGTTTCTTCCAGTAATAATGATTATAAAGTCTAGAAATAATACGATTAACAACCACAACTGAGTAAATACTTGGGAATTAGTGAAGTGCTAGGTCTTGTGAGCAGATTCTAGAGGTAGAAACAGCCCCAGAAACACAAGCTAGAAAAAGAGGAACAGCTTCCAGGAGAGTTCCAGGCATCCTAAGGGAAGCACGGGCCTCTGCATGTGGATGGGTTCGAATGCCAGATTCCAGCACCCCTCTATGGCCTCTGCAATCTGCAGTCTTTTAAAACTGTTTTTACATTAGAACATCACAGGGTTGGACTGTGCCGCCACAAAAGCGCCTGTCTTCATTACCCATGATTCCTCAAATCATCAAACGTAAGCACATAGATGCCAACCAGTGTCTACGGGGTGTACCAAGCACAGGCCCATGGGAGCCATCTACCCTGTGCGGGCAAGAGGGGAGCAGTTGTCTATGGGAAATTTAAAAACAATCATAAAATTCACAGAAAGATGGTCTACTTTGTATTGTCATCATGGCCTGGCCATTCTAAATAAGGTCGGGGATAAAATACTCCCCGTGGGGGAAGAGTGTTCCCTCACCACTTCACAGGCTACTAAATCTTCATTGCTCTCGGCCATTGCTTGGTTGTCCTTGTTCTTTTTGTTTGTTTATTTGGGTCCTTCCTTCCTTCCTTCCTTCCTTCCTTCCTTCCTTCCTCTCTCTCTTTCCTTCTTTTTTTCTTTCCTTTTCTTTTCTTTCCTTTCTTTGCCAATAGGCCACCGTAGTCAGTTTCATGTGTCTTCCTGGTCAATCCCATGTTTACTGCACAAATTTAGGTTTCTTTTTTGTGGTCGCATTTAGGAAACTACCTAGAGAATAGTGAGAAACCACAGGAGGGAAGGAGAACAGCGAGAAAAATACTGTTTTCTTTTTGTTGTTTACTCATAAATGTCACAGAAATATTTCAGTTCCTTTTTGGTTTTGATAAGTGCTTTTTTAAACCAAGTCCTAAATCAAGGGCCTCTCTTGGCAATGTCCCTTTGACAGAACCGAGGGAGGGTGGCAGGGCAGGGAGGCACAAGCTGCAGAGGCACTTGTACTGTACAATTTTCTGGGTCCTGACTGATAAATTATTGTGCATCTTGTGCGTGCTCTGACATGCAGTACAATTTGTCCATGTAACGGTGATGATAGGCTGTCCCGGGCTAATAATCATGAACCCTTTATTTAGCTCCTTCAGCCTTTTAGAGAAATCTTAAGTAACCGTTCATATCCCTTTATCGGTTTTCTCTTCCACATTTTAGCATAAGTGGAAAAAGCTTTTAACCCTGAGAATTTTACTCACCCTGGGGCTGGGGACAAGGAAGAAGGCACGTTGTTAAAAGTGTACAGGAATTGGAGGATCTTGACGCTCCCGATAGAACAGCTTTTTCTTGGTCTGCCTCCTAGGAGTGTGAGGCTGTCTGGGTGGTAGAGATTGTCCAGTCCATCTCTCATTTTACTGGTGAGGAAGGGATGCAAGCCCTGAGACGTAAGTAACTGGCCCATGGTCACATGGCACAGTCATCTGGAAGTGACATTGAGCTTCCTTCACCCATTACAGAGAGCCTGCCATGATGCGGGACATAATAATATAAATAAAGACATGGCCGGGCGCGGTGGCTCACGCCTGTAATCCCAGCACTTTGGGAGGCCGAGGCGGGCGGATCACGAGGTCAGGAGATCGAGACCATCCCGGCTAAAACGGTGAAACCCCGTCTCTACTAAAAATACAAAAAATTAGCCGGGCGTAGTGGCGGGCGCCTGTAGTCCCAGCTACTTGGGAGGCTGAGGCAGGAGAATGGCGTGAACCCGGGAGGCGGAGCTTGCAGTGAGCCGAGATCCCGCCACTGCACTCCAGCCTGGGCGACAGAGCGAGACTCCGTCTCAAAAAAAAAAAAAAGACATAATATTACCAGCTCTCCTTTGGCACAGGTCCCCTGGTTCCCATCCCCACCCACGTGATGGTCAAGTCAGCTTAAGCACGTGTTCAACACTCTGCCCAAGTGGCTGGGTGTCCCTTGTATCCTTTTCTGTGTCCAAGTTATTGATGGTAGATTGTGTTCTCTGGAAGACAGATGTCGTCCTGGTGTGAATTGTTTCCTGTAGCATCTGTGTAGTCTAACCCTAACTTGCATGGTGCTTGCATGGCTATTTTTGGACTTGGCTTTGCAAGCTTTAACACGTGACGCTGCCTGTTTCTTTACAGGCACAATCTTGCAATTGAGGTGACTAAAAAGCAGTACCTGGACAATGGTATTAGGATTCAAATATAGCTTCTAAAAGATTGGAACGATAGCAAGAGGGCATGCAGGCATTCCATCTGTGTGTTTAGGTGGTAGCAAGGAGCATTCAGTTGC
This sequence comes from Homo sapiens, assembly GCF_000001405.40. NCBI lineage: Eukaryota > Metazoa > Chordata > Mammalia > Primates > Hominidae > Homo > Homo sapiens. The sequence goes on from NW_018654718.1 coordinate 728,618, forward strand.
TCTCTGTCTGCAGCTGATGTTTTTCACCCCTCTGGGAGCCCGGTACTGACCTCTTCTGATAAACTGGGCTCTTAATAGGTTGGTTAGATTCCCAGTGTTCCCCCATCCCTCTTTCATCACATACACAAGGGGTTTGTCCAAGTGAGTATCACAAAGGTTGTTCTTGGCTTAAGGCTGGCACGAAAGGGCTCTGCCAGTGAGCAATGTTAGAATTAAAGACACAATAATACTAATTAACTTCCCCATGCCTGTGATCTCTGCATTTATTATTTGTGTAGAGATAAAGCCTTAAATAACATGACTGGCCTCTTTGGGGGCCCTGCTTGGGAGTGGGTGGGGGGCAATGTCCTCATTACAGCACGTAAGATGGATGGTGTCCTAAGGCAGAGGCACATCACCAAGGATCACCTACGGAAGGTGCAACCTCCTTCCCAGCTGGCCCGTGTGCTTTTTCCCAGCAGCACGTGGGATGGGGAGGGGGACTGAGGTGTGTGAAAGAAGAGAAGCAATTTCCAGGGATGTGGCCCTTTGCAAGGTCTCCACGTCCATGGCCATCTGCCTTCCAGGACCTGCTGTGAACTGTGCAGCAGACACACTCAAGCTGGCTGCCTGTGGTTGTGGGAAGTCCCTCACTCCTCTGTCCTCAGTTTTGTCATCTCTGAATGGAGGAAGGGAGGTTAGATCAGGCTTCCAAGAGTCCTTGAAGTTCCTGAAATTATATATAAAATGTGAATGTGTGTCAGGCATTTGTCAGGAGCTAAAAGGCCATTGCCTGTGATTCTCAGAGGTCCCTGAACCAAAGGCTAAGGGCCACCAAGTGAGATGCTCCCCAAGGATCCATCTTCCTCTTCCCGATTATGATTTTAGAACTTCCAAACCTAACGTGTGTTGTCAGCTCAGACAAACTCAGCATTCAGGTTGTAGAGACAGATGATGGATACTCGGTCAGAAATGCCCTATAAATTAGCTGCTTTAAAAGTATTGACCAAGTAGCCTTCCAGGAAAGTTCCCCAGATATGGTGGTTCTGGTGTTCCCACCTCATCTGCAACAGCCCTGGGAAGCCTGGCTCCTTGCCTCCAGGTTTTCCTCGATGTAAGGCCCTCCACCCCAGGACACTGTAGCAATCCTGGGGCTAACCCTGAAGACCATTTCCACTATTGGGCAGCCTTGGTGGTTTCCTTGTCGTAGAGAACTAACCCAGTTTCCCCAGACTGGCTACCTTCTCATCATCTCACCATCTCTAGCTTTCACTCAGATAGAATGATCTCAGAGCAATCGGCAGCATTTCTCATTTGGAATTTTACTAACAAATTAATAATAATGACTTTGACTATGGGGATGCTTAAGAAAATCTCCCAGTCCTTGGAGGTATCCTGGGAGAAGATAGAAACAACTCTGAGAATCAGAACATCTGGGAGGATTCTGCAGATGGATCCCAGGGACAGCCCAACAATCAGAGGGCCCTCCTTCAAAGCAAGTGCTGCCTCCAGCCTGGGGCAGACCCATCCCTCTCTGTGTCATTTGTTTTCCCAAACATTCCCTTCTTAAACTGGGGTTCATGAAGTCTATAGATGGAATTCCAGAGGGTTTATGAACTTGGAGAATAACTGGATCTTTATTATCACAGGCTTCTAGCCGAAATTTCTCACGGTATTCCTTCGCAAGTATAGACAACACACCACAATAGCATTAGCAGTTTCTGTTACTTTGTCCACCATTAGAAACCATGGATATTTTCTTATCACGTTAAGATGGTTGCAAATATCTCAAAAATATTGTTTGCTTTCAATACTACTTCAAAATTCTGGTAATCCACTAGATTTTGTTATTTAACATATTATCAAAGAAGCATGCATATTTGTGTATTACAAAATTGTCTTTAAATATTTTTGATATCTATATTTCAACATAACTGGCTTTATTTGCAATCCTTTATTTCCATTTAAGAACATTATTCTGAGAAGGACCTACAGCCATCATGAGAACCACCAAAGGCAGCCACAGCACAAGAAGCTTACAGACTTCTCTAAATTGGCAATTCACATTTCAATCCTGTGCTGCTTGTGTCTGAATCATATCATAGGGGGAGCTCTGAGCTTATGTGAACATCGAGGCTGTGAGAGACAGAAAGGAGAGATGTAGGAGCCAACCTTGTGTGTGCTGAGATTCGAAACCAGTCATATATCCCATAAGCAAATGTTCCTGAACTGGCAAATCCCAGAATGTATTTTGCCCTGGGCACCCTTTACCTCCTCATTAAATAAGAAAATAACCCATGAGTATTTGAAAGGAACTTGCATCGATGTGGAACTGACTGACTTAGAATAGAGCTCATCCGAGATCTTGAGATGGGCTTATTGACACAACCGCCTTTCAGCTGTTCTTGAGAGTCCCACAGGATGGGGAAAGCCTTGGTATTAGTCACTGGGATCAGAGCTGGGAAGCTGCTTAGCTCTGGGCTCAGCAGGCTGGACCAAGGCCACTTGTAGGTAAGAGAGGCAGTGTTCCCTAATGCACTCTAGATCAGCTGGAACTAGTTTGTAATCCTGGATTCAAGTCCCAGCACTATCATTAATGAACTGTGTGATCCAGGCAAGTGGTTTATCAGCCTTCTCTTCCATAAAATGGGGTGCTGTGCTGTGTAGGTGTGCCTGGCTTGTAAGCACTAAACGAGTGTAGCTATTACTATGATCATATGCAAGCAGCACCTGTAGCATTTGGAAGGCTCAGGAAAAGAAGGGTGGGTGGGAGCAAAGGCAAACAAGAGCAGTGGAGACTAAAGCGGGTTGTCTCGTGGCGATGCTTAACCTAGGGGCCTGGAATTTCCCCCTTTGCCTGGTCTTACTGTCATTGGAATAATCGTAACCACTCCTGGGTGGTAAGAGATCAGCAACATAGCTGTAGTTCGTTGGGTGGCAGGAATGTGCCCTTTGTCCTTGGTTTCTAAGTAATGATGTCTTCATGTCCGGTTGAGCGAGGGGTCAGCTTCAACCCTACGATAAACCAGTGGAGTTATAAATGGAAAGCCTGAATTCCCAGACAGAGGAGGCGATCCAATGAGACAGCAGAGTAAGTAGGGAATTTTCACTGCCTCGTCTGCAATGATAATGTGAATAGCAATAATAATCATCCTAAGAAAGGATTTTGTCTCAGAGCCAAGGCAAGGAAAAGAGCCTTTTCCCATGCCTTGCTGGGGAGAGCTGAACACTCAAACCACGTCAAAATAGAAGGAACCAAAAATACAGTGAAGTACCCTTTGCCCCAGTGAGAAGCCAGTGCAAGACAACGCCCTGCAGAATGGGCCAGAGGGCAGAAGAAGAGGCCAGGGCCCAGTCCTGAATTTGTCTGTTGGTTCTCACTTCCTCCTTTAATCATTTCAGAAGAGCTGTTAATGAGCAGGAAATCTAATTGATTAGCATTTCATCCTGGCTTCCCTTTCTGCCAAAGGTGCTAATGAGCAGGGAAATCACAGATCCTCCGGGTGCAAGGTACTTGAGAGGTTGTGAATGCATTTGCCACCCCTACATGGAGAACCTCATCTGAACCTCAGCAAACTGATAAGGACCACTCTGATTTTTAAAACCCTCCAGACAAGCTGCCTTCCTTCTGTGGATCACACACCACCCAGGTTAGCAGCAGTGCCACCAGAAACACTGTTGCACTCAAGTTTTCTCGCAGGTGACTCATCTGCATGCTCCTTGGCGGAGAATCGCGGGTTACTGTACTGTCTTTGTGTAAGAGTTCTTCATATTCTCGAAGATGTTTGTTACATCTTGTTTCTACTGTCTTTCCTCCAGGTTACACATTGTGCGTCTTTCACCCTTTCTGTGCAAGTTGTTCTTTCTGACCCTAATCACCTTATGTTGTTGGATCTTACTCCAAGTTCATCTACTTTGGTCGTGGATTCGGAACTGAGCCTAGAGTCCATGAAGGACTCTAGCAAGAATGAGCACAATTAGAGGTCTCCTGGCACCCTGTTGTTGTCTCCTTTTTTTCTTTCTAACAAAAGCCCATGGTCAGTCTCTCCAGTTCATGACTCTTTTTCAACCCCAGCCTCCCTTTCTCCGTTTGTGTACATGCCCTATTTTTCTTTTCCTGGTAGACAACCCTGCACTTTTCCTTCTCTGAGCAGCAACAGTGAAAGGGAAGGGAGGTGGAGGGAGAGTAAGCCACATGGGCAACCTGCAACCTGGGTCTCCAGCCTCTTGCAGTCTTGGTCCTCACCGTGGCATAGTATAGTACCAGTAGAGGCACTGCAGGGACAGATGAACTCCATAGCAAGGCATTGCAAGAGGCCTTTGGAGAAATTCCTTTGCAATTTGAGCAAAGCCCACTCCTTGGCTTAGCAAATCTTTTTACTTTTTGGTCTGCTAGAATTTACTGCATGCGTAGTTATCCAGAAGGTACGTCTCTGTCCCATTCGGCTTTATTAGACGCCATCTGGAAAGGGGCTGGGAGTGGTCAGCCTCAGGGAGGGGAGCCAACTGACCGTGAAAGGAGGGAGATGAGAGCGAAGTAAGCATAGTGCTCGCTCCCCAAGGATTGAAACTGCCTGCCCCGAGCTGAAGACTTACAAAGACGTAGTCCAGATTCCCAGAGAAAATGAGGCTTTATACCCATAACAAGTTGTAATTTGAGTCACCGGGGAAGTTAAGAAAGTGAAAACATGAGCAAATGCCAGTGTGATGGAATCAGAGTCTCCATGCTGGAAGAGACTTCAGAGGGATCTGCTTGAGCTCCCTGGCTTTATAGACAGGAAGACCGGCCCCCTCAGATGCACACAGCCAGGTACTGCACGGCCGGGCCAGAGGCTTTTCTGATGCCTGCCTCCCTCTCCCGGCAACGGAACCTCATCACCTAGTTCTGATAGGAAAAAAAAAAAATGAGGTGATCAGAAAACAACTTCCTCAACTTTCTCAGTCTCCACCAGCAACTAAAATTGTTCCTGTATCCCCCTCACCTTATCCACTTAGCACCCCTACACCCAAGGGCAGCTAGGACCCGCTGCTGTCTCTCCATGACCTCCCTCCCTCTGTAGCCTTAGGTAGGCCCCTGGCAGCTTTTGCCTGGAAATTTGCAACAGTCTCTTGACGGGTCCCCCTGCCTCCCTCCATTCTTAGTTCACCTGTCACTCTGTGGCTGCCTCACCCATCTAAGAAGCAAACCTGGTAAAATTGCTTCTGTTTAAAAGTCTTGAAATCCTGCAATGGCCTCAGTGGCCCCTAGGATAACTATAAACTCCTTAACATGGGCTACAAATAGGTGGTTTTCACCCCTGGGTGTATATTAGAATCACCTGGGATCTTTTTAAAATTACCCGTGCCTGGGTCTCACCCGTAGTGACTCCATAGAGTGGGCCTGGGTGGGGCCAGTGGTGTCCTACAGCTGGAACCAGCCCCAGCGACTCAGGAGAGGCCATCGCTTCCAGGAATCTTATGAGTGGGTTGTTAAATGACCATTATTAAAAATTATACAAACTTGTAAGTAAGTACATTATGTTAAAAACAAAGGTAATACATACTCAAAAGTCAGGTTTGCCTGATGCCTTTACTACCTTTCGAGGTAATTTCTATTGATTGTATCTGCTGGGTGGAAATACTATATAATGGTGTGCTACTACACATCTCCTCCCAACTCTGCAGTCAGTGACATCCCATTGGTAGCTTGAAATTGACCATGGCATGAGTATTTACATCATAGAAATTGGCAAATGCTACAAATCAGCCCCTGCCCCCCAACAAGTCATTAAACACTGATATCACTGGCTGCGGCTCAGGTATTTACATGATTTTTTTAAAGCTCCTCCGGTTGATTCTGATGAGCAGCAGAGTTGAGAAGCACCAGCCAGGATCTGACTCTTTCTGCCTCTTGAGCAAGCCTCATCTCTTAGAAAAACTCTCCTCTTCCCCCCAACTTTCTTCAGTCCTGCCACACACAACCAACTGCAGTGGCCCAAACACGAGTGCCATGTTATTTCTCATTCTGTGTTTTTACTCCTAGACACACTGATTCTTCTGCCTGGAATGCCTGTCACTTCCTTGTCTGCCTGGCAAGCACCTGTTCATCTTCCAAAACTCAGCTCAGTACTTTGTCCTGTGTGAGCTCTTCCTATACCTCCTCCCCACACAGGTTCACCACTCTGCCTCTGTGACCTGTATGTCTTCTCATTAAAGGGCTTTTAGAATTTTATGGTGCTTTCTGATTATGTGTCTCTATCTCCACCCCCATTAGACACTAAGCACCCGAGGGCAAGGGCGTGCCCTGTTTCTCTGCATCCCAGCAGGGAGTGCAGCACCAGCATAGTAGATGCTCAGTCCGTGTTTACTGGATGGATAAATGAGCTAAACCAGGTTTCCTGACTCCTGGGGCAGCCTTCTTGCCACCCCAGTCCTCCACCTGACCCAGCCTTTCTAAAGGCAGGAAGAGTAAATTACTGCCATTCCTGTGATGGACCACATTCTGAGCTTGCTGCTGCTAGACGTGGTGTGAAGATGGTTCTCACAGCTCTTTTAACAATAAGACTTTTTAAACTGACTTTAGTTATTCCAGGTTTAGAATTCTGTCCATTCATTATTCATTCAATAACATGCCAACATTATTCCAGGCCTAGAGATGCAGTGGTGTGCAAGGCAGGGGAGGGCACTTTCTTCAGAGCACTTTCAGTTAGGAGGTGACTCAGATGATTAAAGAAGCAATGACTGGCCGGGTGCAGTGGCTCATGCCTGTAATCTCAGCACTTTAGGAGGCCAAGGTGGGTGCATCATTTGAGGTCAGGAGTTCGAGACCAGCCTGGCCAACTTGCTGAAATCTCGGCTCTACTGAAAATACAAAAATTAGTCAGGCGTGGTGGCAGGCGCCTGTAATCCCAGCCATCCAGGAGGCTGACACAGGAGAATCGCTTGAAACCGGGAGGCAGGGGTTGCAGTGAGCCGAGATTGCACCACGGCACTCCAGCCTGGGCGACAGATCAAGACTCCATCTCAAAAAGAAAGAAAGAAAGAAAGAAAGCAATGACTAATAAGTGAACTAAGAGCGAAAGAAAGAAAGAAAGAAAGAAAGCAATGACTAATAATGAACTAAGAGCTATAGCATAGAAAATGCTAGGTTCCATCCAGGGTTAGCTCCTAGTCTGTGGGGTTTCATGAAGGCTCCCCAGAGTAGGTGGAGCCAAGGGCTGACACCTGAGGCAAAGAGGAAGGTGGAAAGCTGTTCCCTGCAACTGGAAGATCCTGTGAAAGGGCTCCAGGGCCAGAGAGAGCTCAGCAGCTGCAAGGAACAGAAAGAAGTTGCCACAAAGCCTGTGAGGAGTGACAGCAGAGGGGCGAGGGCAGGAGGGGCTTTGGAAGCCATTTTCAGGAGTCTGGATTCTATCCTAGGAGCAGTGAAACCCCACTGAGGCATAAAACCAGGGAGCCCCCTTACCAGATCTGTACTAAGAGAACTTGCCCAGATCAGTGGCCCAGGAGAGATGAAACTAGAGAGCAGGAGACCAAGCCTTGAGTAGGGAAGAGGCTGCTGCAATGGATAGAAGGGAGGGGTTTCAGAAGCAGAATCATGTCTCACTTATATGTGGAATCTAAAGAAATGAAACTCATAGAAGCAGAGAGTAGAAAGGTAGTTGCCAGGGGCTGGGGGGCTGGGGAAAATGGATTTGGGTCAAAGTATACAGAGTTTCTGTTGTAAAATGAGTAAGTTCTAGAAAACAAATGTGCAGCATGGTAACTATAATTAATAAAAATATACACTTGAAATTTGCTCAGGAAGTAGGTCTTATGTGTTCCCACCACATACACACACAATTTGCTATGTGTGGTGGGCACATGTAAGACTATGGTGACTATGAGGTGATGGATTAGTTGATCACCTTGGTTGTGGTAAGCACTTCATAGTGTATACCAATGTCAATCTTACATCTCAATAATATGCAGTTGTTATTTGTCAATTATACCTTAATAAAGCTGGGGAAAAATAAGAGCAGAATCATGGAACATCATGACTGGATTTGATGATGGAGGTGAGGGAAGTATGAAGAATCTGAGAGAGGTAGGGAGAGCTGATCAGTTCATGGTTCATGTTGGGTTTGTGGAGTTTGCAGTGCCTATGACGTATCCAAGTGTAGTTGATCAGTTCATGGTCCATGTTGGGTTTGTGGAGTTGGCAGTGTCTGTGACATGTCTAAGTGCAGTTGATCAGTTCGTGGTTCATCTTTGGGTTTGTGGAGTTGACAGTGCCTATGACATATCCAAGTGCAGTTGACCAGTTCATGGTTCATCTTTGGGCTTGTGGAGTTGGCAGTGTCTGTGGCACATCCAAGTGCAGTTGATCAGTTCATGGTCCATGTTGGGTTTGTGGAGTTGGCAGTGTCTATGACATATCCGAGTGCAGTTGTCTAGGAGTCACTTAGAAATTCAGTTCTGGAAATTTGAGGAGAGATGTGGGAGAGAAATGTAGATTGGGGTCATCAGTGTATGATAACTGAAACTATAGGAGCAAGGGTCATTCATTGTCTAGGAAGAATGACTAGGGTAGGAGGAGAATAGGACATCACATTTAATCAATGACCAGCGTAGACAGAGCTAGTAGCAGCAATGAGATGAGTGACTAGAGAGGTAGAGAGAAAACCAGGAAAGTGTGGAGTCATGGAAGCTAAGGAAGATGGTGTTGGGAATAGAGGTGGTGAACAGAGTCCCCTGTTCTTGCTGATAGGAGAGGTCAAATGAGATAAGGACAGAGGCGTGGCCTTTGGATTCCGAGATGTGTTGATCACCGGTGCACTTGGCAAGCATGCCAGAGGAGTGCTGAGGCAGAGGTCAGAGCACACTGTGCCAAGCAGTGGGAGGCAAGTGATGGAGACAAGCGTCTGAACTCTAGGACACTGTGCTGGGAAGGAGAGGGGTGAAAGAGGACAGTTTTGGGATCAAGGGATATCTTCTATTTTTGTTGTCATTTGTTTTGAAGTAGGAGAGGCAAGCTGGCTAAACTTTAAGTAAAAGGGAAGATTGTGATCCTGTCCTCTGTGAGTGAAAGAGAGCATCCTTTTAATGTGATCAGTGCCAGATGTCATCTTACAAGCCCTGTGTCTAACCTGATAGGCATTTAGAGTGGCCAAGGCTTCCTGGACTGGCCTCATTTCATTGATGACTGCTTTTGCAGAGACTCCATTGCCTCCTAATTGTCTACACTTGGGGCCTCCATTTTTCTCTTCCTTGGCAGAATTTTAGAAGAAGCCTCCTGTCACCAGCCTTTCGGAGTCCCCACTGATACTGGTGTGTGTGCTCCTGCTGTGGTGCTGCCCACCCACCCTCGTTCTTCCAACCCTCCGGCACCGAATCCCTCCTTTCACTCCCTCTGTCCCCTGGGCAAGTTCCAGCTGGTTACAGTGAATTCCCGTATTTCCCTCCTCTCTTACTTCTCATTTGTCAGAGTGCACAGGAGGCTGCCTGGAATGCCCTCTACTCCCAGGCTGAGGAAATTAAAGTAGCTAAATTTTTATTATAGCATCTCTCAAGAATATTTCTAGAAATCATAGAGTCGTTGCACCTTACTACTGAATAGAAGTTGAGGGGTTATTTGACCCATTCCCTTTAATTCTAGGCAGCTTGATTTCCAAACTCTTTGTAGGTACGTCTTCTTTAAGATTTCTATATAAAAGGTCCCCCAAGCCCAGCCCTTATGACTAGGGCGACCATGTAATTTTGCATTCAAACAGAGATGCCAAAGGGGGCCCTGACCAAACAGGACTTGGGAACCCAGGTATGATCTTTGGGAACACCAGAACAACAACCAGTGTAAATGAGGACTGTCCTGGGCTAGCCAGGACATGCAGTCATCCTGCCTGTGATGAGTAATGGGGGACAGAACCCGAGAGACTCTTTTTTGGCTAGTGCTTAACATTACGGGACAGTCACTGAGCATTTACTATGGATTAGGCATTGTTCCAGACACTAGAACCGACAACAAGATATAATCCTTGCCTTAAAAAACTGTTGGGGAAGAAAGACACAAATAAAATTTGCCATAATTCTGTGTGATAAGTTTTGATTTCAGTTTTGGTAAGTAATAGCTTTATGGACGAAGTGCTTTGGGAAAAAAGCAGAAGAGGGATGAGTTTGGAGGGGTTCGAGAATCAGAGGAGGTGACAGGAGAGCTGGGCTTTGAAGATGATCAGGATTTCTTGGGGAATAGGGCTGCAGGAGAGGGAATGTGTGCCAAGAGTGTGGAACGAAGGCACGGTGGGTAAAAGAGAGAGCAAGAGCTAAAGCTGAGAACTGGACAGGGCCCTGACAGGACCCATTCACCTTCTGGAGGCATCATTCATTCTGTGCATTTGTGATCTCTTTTTGCGTGAGTGCAAGGTCTGAAGTGGCCTGTGGCATGCTGGAGCTTAGTAGACACATCTGGTGAAGGTGTGGAGAAGGCCAGAGTAGGAAACCACTAGAAGTGGAGAGGTCACCTCAGAGACTCTCCACACAGCAGTGGTGGTGTGTTGCTTCTGAACCAAGGCAGGGTCAGAGAGGACAGAGGAAGAGGCAACCCTAAGAGAGCATTTGGCAGCTGAGACGATAGGACGCAGTGACTGACGTGGAAGGTGAGGAACGCAAAAATGCCAAGATCACACAAGCCTGCTTCAGAAGACCAAGAAGATGGGGTTTCCCTTCATTGAGACAGGGAGCAGGAGAGCAGCTAAGTCTGACGTCACCAAAGGCCATTTGGGGCATGTTTGGGTGTTTGTGGTGCATCCACACGGACACGTCCATTAGGAGTTTGTATCTATGGGTCTGGGGCTCGAGGGACAGATTCATGTCAGAAATACTGACTCCTCGGTGCACTGATAGAAGATGTGATTGTAGATGAGATGACTCAGAGAGCAAGTGTGGAGCGAGAGGACTTGGGAACCCAGGGTTGATTTTTGGGCAACGTCTAACCCCAAAGAAAGGGCAACCACGAAAGGCTGTTCAGAAGCAGCAGTCAGCAGGGTGGGAGGGAACCAAGAACAGGACTGTCAGGGAAGCCCGGAAGGAAGCAGGGTCAAGCTGGGAATGCTGGATGAGCAGTTTTCTTGAAGTTACGGGCAGGAGCCATGACAGTGGGCGGGAGGCAGAGAGGAGGAAACAAGGTGTAGCCTACTCCTTCTGAGTGCTTGAAGTGGGGCAAAGACAAGGTGTGAAGATGGAGGGTGAGCTGGGGTTTAATTGAAAGTATTTCTTTTCAGGTTAATGGAGTTTTAAGGAAGTCCCTTTTTACAGTGACTTCTGAAAGAACACCCACTCTGTTTGCCCTCTAGACCTGGGCTATCGAATCCACTAGCCACTAACCAAGTGTGGCTATTTAAATTTAAATTAATTAAAATAAATAAAATGTAAAGTTCAGTTCCTCAGTGGCACTGGCTGTGTATCAGGTGCTCAGCTGCCACGTGGCTGGTGGCCACCATGCTGCACAGCACCGGCACAGAGCGTTCCCGTGTTTGCCAGGAGTTCCGCTGGACAGCCTTGTTTTAAACTCTGCGTTTCACCATCTTCCTAATTCTGCCTTTTGGAACTTAGTAGAGTATATAAGCCCAATCTGCTTATCTAGTTTCCAAACCTAGTTCTGAGGTGAAGAAAACCAGATGGTATTTTTATCATATAAGCTGAAGAATTCTTACAATTTTCAAGTCAGCATTTTTTCCAGGCATTGACCGATAATAAATTGCTCCATGTTGTTAAACATAAGAGAGAGAAATGTAAACGTGAGAATTATTTCTACTGAGCCATCTATTTAGTCTTTCCACTGCTACCATCATAACCACTTCCATCTGATCATTAGCTTTTGTGCATCTACAGTAACTTCATTTTTCTATTTTTTTGAAAGTTATGAGCTCGTTAGGGAAATTTAGCACCATAGCCCCTTCCTTCCAGGAAGCTGCAGAGGCCCTGCTATAGCTTTCACCTGTCTGGGCACCTAAGCAGACCTTGTCAGCTGCTGGGAAGAAAAAGCATCTGATTTGCCAGCCCCTCGCATGCATCCATCAGCCGGGGGTGGGTTTCTGAGAAACCGTTGTGTCTGGGCCCAAGCTCAAAGCACACTTTTCATTCCTCCCTGAGCTATTTTCCTTATTATTCTTTAGAGGGGATTTGTCATGGGGTGATTTGGTGTCTCCAAGATACCTGGGTTTAAAAAGGTCCTTTGCATTATTCTGCATACAGCGGGACCTGAACTTGGGCTGGAGGAATGTTGCTGATGCCCAGGTGGGAGGCAGAGGATTGTACCTGAGAACTTTTCCTGTGGCCTTTACCTGGGGGAGGAGAGCATGTTGGCAGAATGTTCTCAGGGCTGGCCCCATCGCACATGGATGTGTTCATGGATGAGTTCAGCAGAAGTATGGCAGCTAGGGAGCTTTTCTTTATGTCCATCTGGGCTTTGCTATTTGGCTGAAATTCCTGGACCAATCCTTGTGTCCGTAAGAACCCTGTGTCCTTACCTTGTGTAGACTGTTGACTACTGTTAACCCTCTAGTATTAGCACAGCAAAGTACTGTCGTGCACTTCAAGCCCCTGTACAAACACATGCCCCTCAGCCAGACCTCACCCTGGGAGCTGCTCCGGAGTCAACAGCCCTTGAAAGTGCACTGTCCTGCCTCGTAGCTGGAAGCTAAGGCTGCAGCTTCATCTCCCATGGAAACCTGGGCTCACTAGGAGGGGCAAGGCCTCCAGACCACTGTCTTACCATAGAAGCCGCCTAGCAAACTGCAAACCAAGCAGAAAATGCAGGCTGGGCTGAGGAGGCCTCTAACTGATCACCAGCCAAGCAGAGAAGGGGTGAGTGGCATGTGAATGACTGCTAGCTCTAGGCCTGGACCATGGATTCAAACCCTGCTGGCTGGCCCTCCACCATCTCCTGCTCCAGTGAAGACTGTGGCATCCATTAGTGAGGCTAGAGTACACGCTTCTGACTGTGGAATCCTTCTCATTTTCTGGCTCTGCCATCCACTAGCTGTGTAACTTTGGGCAAGTGTGGCCTGACAGCCGAAAGCTTACCCCCACTCCTTGCTAGCTATATAGCTGAGGGCAAGCCATAGAACTTCTCCGAGCCTCTGTTTCTAGTCTGCAAAAGAGGATAAAAATACTTACTGTGCAGGTTGTTGCAGAGATGAAATGATGTTTATCAAATGCCTAACACAAAGGTTCTGTAGATGCTGCTTCTCTATTCTCTCTGGTTTAAATCCTTGGCAGGTACTCGTTTTCTTACTAAGAAGGTTATAAGATCAAAATTTCTTATTTTAGGGAAGTAAAACTCAGGAAAGGGTTTACATCTCTGAATTAGGCTGAAAAGGGACACTGGGGATTGGTCGTGGAGGCTCACTCCTGTAATTCCAGCACTTTGGGAGGCTAAGGTGGGAGGATCATGGGAGGCTAGGAGTTCAAGACCAGCCCGGGCAACATAGCCAGATCCCATCTCTACATGTCTACAAAAATTAATATAAAAATTACCTGTGTCATGGGCCTGTAGTCCCAGCTACAGGCTAAAGCAGGAGGATCTCTTGAGCCTAGGAGGTCGAGGCTGCAGTGAGCTATGATTGTGCCACTGCACTGCAGCCTGGGCAACAGAGCAAGACCCTGTCTCTAAACAAAAAAAAAAAAAAAAGGAAAAGGAGGGACACTGGAGAAGAAGCTCCACAATTTTCCAAGGTGCCAGGGTGAACCAGCACGGGCCAGGCGGAGGCCTGTCGTCTGCACTCCCACATGGCCCTCCTCCTACTCCTGATGTGGCTTCTCTCTGGTATGGACGCAGGAGCTGGTCCCTGGCCCACAGGAGAAACTTGGACACAGCCATGATAAACGCAGGCTTTATAATCCAAGAGCTTGAAAAGATAAGAGTGACTAATAAATAAAAATTTCTCCATTTCTTCATGCTTGATTTTCAAGGGAAGATGTAGAATAAATTTGAGCCACCTTCCCCTGCAAGTATACCTTTAAATATTAAATATTTTACTTAATTATAAAATCCCCTGCTGTCTGGAGAGAATGGCCACCTTCTCTCCTTAGTGGAAACGATGTCATCGCATTTACTGAGTTTGTGAATGTAAAGTGTTTTCAGACTGTAAAACCCTGGATGGGGTTCTGGAAGGCCTCCTCTCTGGGCCCATCCAAAGGGGTCTTCAGAAGTGCATTGGTGACAAGAATGGCATCAAGTAGGAAGGGCCCCAGGTGTAGAGGGATGGGCAGTGGACACCTCTGTCAGGAAGAGTCTTCCTTATCCAGGGCTATCAGGATCAGGAGCTAGAGCCCACGTTTGGAGAAAACACAAGAAGTAGTACCAACCCAGTGAGTCTCGGGTAAGAAATTGGAGTGGTTTGGTTTCCCATCTCTAACTTGGCCAGATGTACCATAAGCTGTATCTGCAAAGCCAGTGTAAGGCTAGACTTAAGTTCAATTAGGATCCAAATTCTTCACTGTCAACTTGTCTAAGTTTTTGTTTATTTCACTTAGTTTCCTAGTGAAATTTTCATTTGAAAATTCCCAGCCTTATTTATTTATTTATTTACTTATTTTAATAGAGACAGGATCTCACTCTGTTGCCCAGGCTGGAGTGTAGTAGCACAGTCATAGCTCACTGCAGCCTCGACCTCCCAGGCTCAAATGATTTCCTGCCTCAGCCTCCAGAGTAGCTGGGACTACAGGCAGGAAGCACTGTGCCTGCACTCCAGCCTTCTTTTCTTTTCTCTAGCTTTTTTTTTTTTTTTTTTTAAATATTTGAGACAGAGTCTTGCTTTGTTGCCCAGGCTGAAGTGCAATGACATGATCTCAGCTCATTGCAACCTCCGCCTTCTTGGTTGAAGAGATTCCCCTGCCTCAGCCTCCCAAGTAGCTGGAAACACAGGTGTGCACCACCATGCTCAGCTAATTCTTGTATTTTTAGTAAAGATGGGGTTTTGCCATGTTGACCAGGCTGGTCTCGAACTCCTGGCCTCATGTGATCCATCCACCTTGGCCTCTCAAAGTGACCAGCCTTATTTTAACTGAATAAAGGGAAAGGGGCTTTTTTTTTCATGACCCTGAAGACAGAGGGACTCAGTGCGCCCCCAGTGGCCAGAGGCTGTAGTTACAGGGAAAGCAAGTCGGGTCCCTCTGAGCCTCTGGAAGAGCCAAGTGGCTGGCTGCTGGAACCATCCAGGAGAAACCAGATTTTCCAGGCTAGAGCTGTTTCCTTTTTCCAGTCTGAGGCTTCCCATGTATTCCTTTCAACGCAGCACCTCTATGTGCATCCCTGAACCCTATGATCTGAGAAAAGGTAGCCGAACCCCCGACTTTCTCTTTTGCATTGACATTAGCACAGATCTGAGCCACATGAGTAGTTGCTCATACCATTATCTGCCTTTGGTTGAGAAATTAGAAGGTGCTAGGCACAAACACACGTCATCTTATTTAATCTTTACAAGCCAGGATCCGGTACTAGGGTCCCCAGTGTTCAGAGGGATTAATTTGTCAAGATCTCACAGTGAGTAGATTCCAGTCTACCTCACTGGAGCCTGGTGCCCGTCCCCATGGTCTGCACTCCTGGTGTTGAACCTCAGCAGGGGCTGTCCCTGGCCTGCTGAAACAGTTCAGCTGACCAGGAAGTGTGTGTGCGTGGTGTCTTTTGTACAGTCTCAGCCCCTGGGTCTGACACTCTGATGGTCTTTTAGGGTGCTGGGTTATTTCCTGGGGTTCTATCTGTGCCAAGTTGTGTATCTTTCAGTGACACACATCTGTTCAAGCCTTCTGAGTTGGGGAGCAACAGAAAGAGGTGAAGAGAGAAAGCACTCTGGGAAACATGGAAATATTTTTGCAGCCTGATTGTCTCTGCATGCAACACTAGCAAAGCTGTTTCTGCTCCCTTTCGGTGTCCGAGTCAAGGGGACGAAGAGGCCTGCCCAAGAAGAAGAGGGATGATTTTTCTCTTTCTGTGGTTGGGGGCAGAAAGGCGATCCGGCTGCCCAAGTGGTTCAGGTCAGGCTTAACTCGGTCTGTGGCCTCTGGCCTGGGGAATGTGCTGAGCTTTGATTCAGCTAAGCAGTGGCTTGTTGCCCAGGCCTGTGGTCCTCCAAAACACCAGCTGAGGATCCCAAAACTTAGGGCCCTTGTGAACAGGGTGAGTTGTTGTCACCAGGACTTGCCTTGTCACCACCTATTACATTTTCTGGGGACCCAGCAGCCCCTGGCCTATGGCCACACAGCAGGCGCCTCTTGGCCAAGAGCTCTGGCATGAAGCTAGGCCTCTCCAACTATTTAATGTTTCATTAGCGGTTTTCTAAAGGCATGGGGCCAAGCCTGGCCGAGCCACACCATTCAGAAGTACGTGAACACTTCATAAAACCAAACTGTTGAAGGATCCCAAACCCAGGAATCTGGTCACTTGGAGTCCAGGCTGGAGGCCCAGGGCAGGCTGCTGCACTGTCTCAGCTCTTTCTTGGTCTGGATACTTCTGGGCCACACATCTGTCTCTCAAACTGTTTAGCCTGTTAGTAGTTCTAAACTAACTTCTAAATAGTTTATATTTGGGGTTCACCAACCTGTTTTCATATCTGATGAAAGCTTTGGACTTGCCCCAGAAAGAGACATCCATGCACATATGTACAACATTGTGCTTAGAATTGCAAGGTATTCACAAGCCACACTCTAAAGATCATCAGTGGATCCAAGTGGAGAACCCCTGTGCTAAACCACACTTGCTTCCACACTTAAACTCTGGGGACTGTGGAGTGTTATCCATCAAGAAGAGTAAACAGGTATTGGGTTTTGTTTTGTTTGGCTTTTTGCTTGTGTCTTGGATTTTGAATCGAAGTCCTTGAGTGGTAGAATGGGGGCTAGATCATTAGAATCACTCCAGACTTCACAGGTAAGAGTGGGAGCTCAGTTGAGTGACAGGCCCATCCCAGACACAAAGTCACTCCAGGGCAATTATTCAGAGCCCCCAGGAGCTTTCACGCTCTAGGAGCAAGTCAGGTAAGCAGCAGCAACACACGTGCCGCGGAGGCGGCACCTACATTCAGACTCTCATTGCTCTTGATTGACTGGGTGGCCCTGGACCAGTCCAGAGTCCACGGCTCTGGAAATGGTAATCAGGCTTGTGGTTGCAGGGGAATTTATGTGTACCAAGTGACTGGCACAAAACAGAGGCCCAATACACTCAATGCTGGCAGATGATAGACACAGTGGAGCAGCAAAGCTGGTGAGGATGGAAACACCCCATCACCTGTGAGTGGGATTAGAGCGTCTGCAGAGGGCATCCTGCTGGCTTCCCAAGCCATGAGCCTTCTGATAAATCTTACTGCTCTGTCAGAGCCTCTGATTTAGGGGTAGGGAGGGGCAGTCAGGAGAAAGCATAGTTAGCTCTCGGGCAGCTAGCTGTGGCAGACAGCGTGCTTTGTCCCTCAGATGAGTCACAACAAGCGCCCTTGGCAGGCAGGAAGGACTTTGAAGTGTGGTGCCCCAAAGGGCTGGTCCAGGAGGCCCCTGCCTAGCCCCTGGGCCTGTCACTCCTGAATCTCCATCACTGGCCCGAGGGCAGGCCCAGGCTTGAAATAAACTCAGGCCAAGCTGGAGGCGCAATTAGAAGGAAGAGAGCCATTTGGCTTTTTCCAAAAGGTAAGAAGGAGGACTTCTCATTTTTGTGCTTTAAATATCAATGCACTCTTTTGATGCCATTATTTGCATTTTCTGAGTTCCACTGTTCTTGGGCAAAATCCAATAGCCCAGCTCTGAAGGCCTCTTCCACATACGTGCCCCTCCCCTGGAGAATCCCTCACACCTTCTTTGAGCTACCAGGCCAAGAAAATTGTATTGAGCTTTACCTCGTGAAGTTTGCATTTTAAAAGCAAGATGTGTTTTTTCATCTCTAAATATAAAGTTTTCACATTGAATAAGCTTTTCCAAACTATATGCCCTTCATCTGGATACTCTGTGGAAGCAAAGGGCAGCATGGCTGGGTGGTGCTGAGTCGGGCAGAGCTCTGGTCTGTGCATCGGGAGACTGGCCACTCACCAGATGACTTCTGGGAGCCACCATTCCTTATCTGAAAGCTGGACAGCTGGGGGCCTCCATACCTTACATCCTGCCCACCTTCCACAGAGTTGTCATCATTGACTGAGTTATGTCTAGAGAAGCACTTTGAAATGCTTCTCCAGCATTCCAGGTCAGAACAGGGTGGCCTACCCCACCCAAAGCTGCAGAAAGAGAGGGGAGCGTGGGTCCAGGGGAGAGGATGTGTGGGGTCTAAAGATGCCCAAGACAGTTCCTGGTGAGACAGCCCAAAGGAGGCAGCAGGCTAGAAACTTGCAGAGGAACAAGGAAGCTGTGACACCTTCTTACCTGGGGACCTCAGGACAGGAAGAAATCATGAAACATTCTTACTGGGAAAGCCAGAGGAGCTTTCCTAGTATTTTTGTTATTGGTAACAGCTGTGAGGTGCCCCCTCAGTGCCCTGGCAACTGTCATTGTCACAGACCCCAGGAACATGGGGCTTTGGGTACAGTTTGACCCTCTCCCTGAGATGGAAGATCTCCCTTAACACCTCCCCCCGGGGACTTGAGACAGGGGTGGCTCCTTTGCTCGGCTGCTGCACTCTAACCCTTTGTGGGAAGGGGAGCATGCAGGTGAGTGGGTGCAGGAGGCAGGGCAAGTGCTCTTGGGCTTTGGCAGGAATGAACCCCATACCTGCCCACAACAATGTCTAGTGGTTGCCTGTGACCTCTAGAGCCTCAGAGGGTGTGAGTTACAAACAGTGCTCCTTTAGTATTTTCCATCCGTGGATGACTAAATGTTAAACCAGGTCAGTGGAGGATCAGGGCGACAGCCTTTTACCCCCTGTCCTCTTGGTGCCTGGGTTCTTGTCCGGGATCTAGGAAGAATCAGGTCACACAGATGTGAAGGATGGTGAATGCAAAGATTTTATTGAGTGGTGGAAATAGCTCTCAGTAGGATGGGGAGCTTGAAAGGGGATGGAGTGGGAAGATAATCTTCCTCTGGAGTTCAGCCATCCTCAGCCAAATTCCTGTCCAACCATCCCCGGCTGAACTCCTCTCTGACCATAGTCTCTGATGTCCAGCTGCCTCTTCTCCTCTCAATGTTCAGACACCTCTTCTCTTCTCTCCTTCTCTGCCACGCTGCTCTGCTCCTCTGCCAGCGGAGCTTGGGGTTTTCATGGGAGCATGGTGAGCCAAAAGGCAACATTTGGGCAGGAAAACAGGGATGTGAAGTTTTCATTTAGGGCCATGGGTCCAGGCTTGGGGGTGGAACCCTTGCCAGGGACCCCACTCTTTTCTTCCCTGCCTCCTGGCCATATCATCCCCATGGGTTTACTGCATCTTATTAAAGAACTACTCACAATGACCTCAGATCATTAATAACTCAGCATCTGAACTCTGACTTCCTGTCTCCTGCTTTTTGGATATATTAATGCCAATGTGTCTGCCTGTATGCACCAGGGGTTTGATTCCCCCTTGCAAGGTTTTTAGGAGATTTAGACAGTGAGTCTTACAACAGCTGTGCCCAGTTTTTAAAGATCTCGCCTCCTGGAGGTGAAAGCAAGGGGGGTGTATTCCTAAAACTATATCACCAACAGTGTGAAGGGCCTGGTACTTTGCATTATCTCATTTATTCCTCACTACACCACCATGGTGTGGATAATATTAAATCCATTTTACACAGCTAAGAACTGAGGCTCGGGAAAGTTAAATAACATGGATCACTGGTGGACCAGGACTCAACTCCAGCCTGTGGAGCTCTAGAAACCAGGTCATTCCTTCGTGCCCTATTGCCTCTCTCTGAATGCAAAGGCTAAAGCAGAGTGAGGAACTCAGCAATGAGTAATGGCTCATTGTGAAGTGGACTCCAGGTGGTGCCTACGGGGCAGGGGCTTATGTGCCCATAACTGACTCCATCTACCTACCAAGTTCTCATTAGGGTCAAAGCATGCGATCAGAGTCAGAGGCTGGGTTTGAGAACCTGCTCCTTTTACCGAATAATTTCATCCCCATGCTGTACGAGCAAACTTGACTTTGCTGACCTTATCTGTAGCATGAAAACCCACACAGGGCTGCTACGAATACAGAACGAGATAATGCAAATAACGTGCTTAGCATGGCATCTTCTCTGAACACCTCAGGTTGGCTTAGGGTCTCCCATTCTGTGCCCCCACAGCACTCTCTGCCTCCCTTGAAGCATTCTTCCCTCTTATTTATCCATCTGCTTCCAAGCTACCTAATCTCAGGGGCCCCATCTGGCCTGCTCACCACTGAGTGCACGGCCCTGACAGTGCCTGACACCTGGGCAGAGATGTACACCTCTAATGCTGATCTGCTGACTGGTGACCACGGAAGGAGGCACAGCAGCTACAGCTATTGTTACTGCTTCCTTCCTCCCCCAAATATACTTGATGCTTCAGTGGCATCTCCCTCCTGCCCTCCCCATGCCAGGCACCTCCATCCTCATCCTCTGAGCCTTTTCTCCCAAGTCCCCTTCTCCCAAGTCCCCTTCTCCCCACTGCCCTCAGACCCCCTCCCCATCTCGGCCTAGAAGCCCCCCAAGGCTTGGTCCTCCCTTCAGTCTCTCCCAGCTCCTGCCCACAGCCTTCTCAGAATAACTGGATGGCTCTTAGTGACACCTCAGGGTCTGGAAGAGGCCAGAATTATTCTGATACTACTGCATGTATGTTTTTGAGTCTCCAGTCCTTGTTGGTGTGCTGGGCCTCTGTGGCAGGGGTGGGAACCTGTGTCCCCTGCCCCCTGCCCAGGCCCAGTGCCAGGCTGCGCACAGAGGAGGCTTCAGGATGAGTCTGTTGGGCAGCAGCCAGGGTGCCCACAGTTAAGTTTCAAGGGAGGACTTCAGCTGCACCTTTAAAGAAAAAAATTATTATGCTCACATTCATTTCACACCCTTGTGACAAAGGACACATTTCCACGACCTCATCTGATCATCATCAACCAACCTATGAGGTCAGCAGGTAGGACAGGTCTCCCCTTTGAACAGATGGGGAAACTTAGTCACAGAGTATAACATTATAGAGCTAGCAGACAGGAGAGCAACCACAGATCTGGGTGGGGCATCCATGATGGTCAAGAACAAACCCGAGAGCCAGACTGGCTGGTGTGATTCCCAGCTCTTCCACTTATAGCTTTGTTTCCTTGGCAAATTACTTAACCTCCCTATGCCTCAGTTTTCCCTTCTTTAAAATGGACATAATACTTAGTTCATAGGCTCATTATGAGGAATAAGTGAGTTATGATCTTCAAAGCAAGTATTAACTGATTACGTGCCTGGCAGCTAGTAAGCACTGAATGTTGTAAAATAATGCAACCTAGACATGCATATGGAGTTCTTTACACTATGTCCTCTCCTTTTGTACACTTCTGAACACATCCACAATGAGAAGGAAGGGAGTAAAGTGTCACCTATTTTTCTGTTACTTAAGGAAGGCTCTAGATATGGCATGAGCCTCTGACAATGGGATGAGGACCTCATTCTTTAAAACTTTCGTTAAACATGGTGAATTTCCTTTATACATGAACATTGTAGGTTCATGCCTCTTGGCAGAGAAGATGAATACAAGCTGAATTACAGTATCTCAATAAGATGGCAGTGTTTATTGCAAATGCTGCAACATCCTGCTTGAGAAAACTTTGATTTGTAGTCTGGTTCTATGACTCCACCAAAGCTAGACAATTATCCAAGCAGCACCTGACCTTTTTGACTGTTTATCTTATTGGCTGGCAGTGGTCCAGGCCTTTAATATTATGCTTCTCCTCTTGTTCCTGGAGCTTTGAGAAAGATAATGAAATGAGTTGAGCGCCACGTGCAACGTGGCTGGCTAGGAGACTCTGCTGGATAGTGCAATTGGAAGGGACACCTCCGTGTGCTTCCAGGGGCCTGGGCCAGACCTGACTGGGAGCTCTAGAGAACAGAAGCCCACCAGCTGGAAGAGGCAGGCAGGAGGTGGCACTGCAGGCGGTGTGAATGTGAACAGCAAAGGGTTTGCTGTCCCAGGCCTCACTCTGCCACTTGCTGCTGTGTGACCCTAAGCAAAGCCTTTAACCTCTCTGAGTCTCAGTAGTCCTATCTGTGAAATGAGAATTTTAATGCTGGCTCTGACGACTTCACATGTGAAACTGACCTATAAATCTTCAAGTGCACACTGATGTTGTTGTAATCTGGAGATAAGCAGCAATCTACTAGCAATAGCCTTGCATCGCCATTCAGCTTTCATCCTCCGAACCAGACTTGTAGGCCCCCAGTGCCAGTGGGAGCCCTGGTGGTCTGGTCTCACGGTCAACAGGAAGGTCTGCTGTGCCACCGCCACCACCACTAGAACATCGCTCCCTTCAAGGATTTATTCCTTAGGTTATGATTTAAGCCATATCAATTATAATACCTTAGGAATAATAGGTCCATTAATTTTTTTCCTACCTATTTGACCCTCTGCTATGAGCAAGGTTATTTGCTTTGTTTTGCTTTTGTTTTTGGGTAGGGATGCGAGCTGAAAGAGATAGACAGATCATGAGGATCTTCAAGTTAGGGGCATTAGAATAGCACTGTGGGGCAGGGCAGAGGGACTTGTGTGTGTAGGCAGCAGCACACA
Organism: Homo sapiens; assembly: GCF_000001405.40. NCBI lineage: Eukaryota > Metazoa > Chordata > Mammalia > Primates > Hominidae > Homo > Homo sapiens. The sequence continues at coordinate 751,212 of NW_018654718.1, forward strand.
GATACGGGGCTAGGACGTAGGCCTGGAGTGATGAGGGTCAACCACAGTCTTCCCAACATTTCCTGGAGGTCAACCTGCTTTTAACAGCCTTCATTCTTTTCCAACTAGTGTCTCGCTGCCCTGCCCCAAAATCAAGGTGAAGCAGATACTACTCCAGGCCAAAGACACATCTCCTATGACTGACCTTCTGGTCTTGGCCACACAGCTGACTAGCTGCTTGTGTCATTGGACGAGTGACTTCCCCTCTTGTGTCAAGGTGCGCTGCAGAGGGATGGCGTTGGAGGCAGGAGTGAGCGCGGAGCTGTGAGGACCCAGGGAGGAGGGTTTAGAAGTCAAGGAGGAAGCTGCAGGCACGTGACTCCTGCACTGGCCTCACCTCTCACCAGCTCTGCAAGGCCCGGAGCTGCCATCCCAAGGCTGCTTTTCCTTTCCTTTCTTTTTTTAAAATTCTTTAATTAAACTTTTTTGATTAAGTGACAGCTTTTACCACTCCTGGCAGCTGCTGCGAGACAAGATAATTTATAGATGCATTGACACTATATGATTAGGAAAGTACAGTAAATAACAGATGAGAAGATGACTCGTGCAACCTGCAGGGCCCCTCCTCCATCTCTCCAGTCCAGCCCCCACCATCTCCCAGTGAGCCCCAGGTAGACGTCTGCCACATCACTCAGGGGCTGCGTGGAGCACTCGGTGCCTTTCCCACCACAAGATGACGAAGATGTGGTGTTGACAGACTGCTGGTGTCCGTGGACCACAGCTCTGCTCTGGGGCCCCAGGGACTTTCTCAGAGATGCCTGTTTCCACCTAGAGGAAAGACTTAATGATTCTCACCCTTGAAAGTGTGTACAGAAATCCTCTAGTCAGAATGTCCTTGCTGTGTACCAGGGCACACTGTGGGCTCCGTCCAGCCAGGCAGGGCCTGGACTCAGGATCCCCTAGGCTGGTCACCTCTGGTTGTGGGCGCTTCATCCATTTCCCTGTGGATGCCATAAAAGCACTGTCCCTTTCTCTGTGTGCCACACTATGGAAAAGGTTGAGAATCACCGCTAGTCCACTCCGGGGCCTGTAGCAAGGAGAGTAATTGAAGTGCCCCGGGAAACTCGAGCCGTGTCCTTAGCTCTTCAGCACTGCCGGAGCCCCATGCTCCTCAGGAATGAGCCCCTGGCCTTTTCCTCACAGTAACTAAGAGCGCTCATGGGGGCAGCCTAGCCTGTCTTTCTGGGTGAAGCACATCTCCTCCTGTCCTCTTGTCTACCCTAACATTCCACGTGTTCCTTTCTCAGGGTAAAGGCCACCCTCTTCTTAGGAGCCCCGCACCCAAGCCAGGCATTTTGCATGGGAAGCAGTGCCCTGTGTACTTACAATCAGTATTGTCTAGGCAAGATTAAATCAGTGACATTCAACCGTATACAATCCTGCATGATCAGACGATTTGTTGGAAGGCAGGATTCGAGTTCCTCTCAGAAGCTGGCTTGCTGTGCACGCCTCTCCTAACATGGACTCTCCTCAAGTGCCCAGGCAGAAAGCGGCCAGCTCCCAGCCAGATGCATGGGGGGCCCTGGGTTCCAGAAGATCAAGTGGCCAAGCACATGAAGACAAATAGTTTGTCTCGTCAGCTTCTGGGGGTCACTTGTTCACATGGGAAGAAACCAAGCAGTGGAGGTTACCATAGAAAGATTACACAGCCAAAGTTTGTGGCTGGATTTTTTTTGTGGCTTTTCTTTGTGAAGAGTTAAGCATGAAGGACCGAGGGTATCCAGGAAGAAGAGTAGCTTTGGGATTATCAGGAAGGATCCACGTACATGTTTCTGACTTCTTCTCAAATTGCCTGGAGCAGTGCACAGGACATAGTAGATCTTTCCATAAACACTGCTAAACTGCACAAGGAACTTATTCTGTTAAGGGAGCTCCCTACCTCTGTTTCCCCACCTGACAGGCATGCTAGTTTAGACTCCTTCGAGGATAACTCGGCTACTCCCTGTGGGATATCTGGAAAGAATACGGACGGGATATAGATACATTCTACTGATCCAAGTCACTTTAAATTTTTTAAAAATTTTAAATAATTATAGGTTCATAGGAAGTTTCAAAGGTAGCACAGAGGCAGTGCCCTTCACCCAGTTTCCCCCAATAGTCACACCATATGTACATAACGATGGCACAGTATCAAAACCAGGAAACTGACTTTGGAACAACGTGCATGTATAGTTCTGTGTTGTTTTATCATATGTAGGTTCATGTGACCACTGCCGCAGATGCAGAACAGTTCCTTCGCTATGGAGATCTTCCCCGTGTGCACATTTAGACACACCCACCCTTCCTCCTCATCATCCCTAACCCCTGGCAACTACTTATTTGTTCTCCATCTCTATAATTTTGTCATTTCAAGAATGTTATATAAATGGCTTTTCTTGCGTTTCTGTGGATTCGTTGAACATTTTTTAGAACTCCATTTTTATCTACCTCTAGTGTTTTTGAGTATATCTCTTCGTGTAGCTGTTTTGTGGTTGCTCTAAGTATTACATTATATATACATAATTTATCAGTCTACTGGTACTACTTTTTTCCAGCCCAAATGAAGTGTGTCTGTCTCACTTTTATCCTCACCCATTTATGATAGAATTGCCTTAGGTATTTCCTCCACACACATGAGAAATGCATGTGTTACGATTTTTGCTTCAACTGTCAAAATTTAGAAAACTCTAGAGGAGACAGAAAGTGTATTCATTTGCCCATATTCTTGCTCTTTCTGTTCTTCCTTACTTCCTGATAACCCAAGATTCCTTAAAAAAATCATTTCCTTTCTGCTTAGAGAACTTCCTTTTGCCATTCTTTTAGTGTAGGTCTGTTGGTGACCAAGTCTATTAGTTTTCTTTCATCTGTGAAAATACCTTTATTTCCCCTTCATTTGTGAAGAATATTTGCACTGGATATATAATTTGGTTGACACTTTCCTTCATTAGGCACTTGCAAAATGGTATGCTACCTCTTTCTAATACTCCTGGTTTCTGATGAGAAATATGCTGTCATTTGAATTATTTTCCCCCCTGGGCAAGGTGACATTTCCCTTGCACTACTCTCAAGATATTTTCTTTGACTTTGGTTTTCAAGGGTTTGACTGTGATATATCTTGGTGTGGATTTCTTTGGGCTTATCCTATTTTGGCTTCACTGAGCTTCTTGAATCTGTAGGTTTATGTCTTTTGCTAAGAAATTTTCAGCCATTATTTCTTTGAGTACTTTTTCAGCCCCATCCTCCTCTTTCTCTCCTTCTGGAACTCTGATGACATGGATGTTAGAGCATTTGTTATAATCCCACAGGCCACCCAACTCTGCTCACTTTTTAAAGATTATTTTCTCTCCATTCCTTATATTAGGTAATTTCTATTATTCTACCTTCAAGTTCATTGATTCCTTCCTTCGTTGTCTATAATCTACTATTGAGCCCATTCATTGAGTTTTGAAATTTCATTTATTGTTCTTTTTACTTTTAAAATGTTCATTTAGCCTTCTTTATGTCTTCCATTTTTTTACTGAGGCTCTGTTTCTTTGCTGAGACTTTCTGCATTTCCACGGTTTCAAGCCTGCTTGTAATTGCTTGTTGCAGCATTTTACAGTAGCCACCTAAACATTTTTGTCAGATAATTCTAACATCTGGGTTATCTCAGTGCTAGTGTCATCCAAGTGCCTTTTCTCATTCAAGTTGGTGCTTTCCTGTTCTTGGTATGAGGAATGATTTCCAATTGGAACCTGGATGTTCTGGGTATTATGCAGCTCCGGATGTTATCTGAAGCCTTCCCTTACAGCTGCTTTCCTTTGCCACTGACCCAGCAGGGAGGAGGGATGCCACCATCTTGCTATTCCAGTAAGGGTGGAAGTCAGGTTCCCACTCGGCCCCCATCAGCACTCAGTGAGGCAGGGCCTCCTCATTACTGCTGGCGTGGCTCAGGCTCACTGCCAGACCTCTGCTGATACCACCCTGGCTGGAGGCAGAGGGGAGCCTCGTTACTGCCTCACCGACACCGCAGCGAGGGAGAGGCCTCATTACCACATGGTGAATGTCCTGGCGCTCCCTTAGACCTCCTCTGACACCACTTCGGCAGGGAAAGGGGGGCACACCTCATTACTGCCTAGTTGGGGTGGAAGTTCAGTTTTCTCACATCGTCTCCACCGACACCATGTGGGTACTGGGGAGCCTCATCATGACCCAGTGGGAAGGAACGTCCTTTTGATAATAGCCGTCCTGATAAGTGTGCAGTGGACATCGTCTCCACCGACACCATGTGGGTACTGGGGAGCTTCATCATGACCCAGTGGGAAGGAACGTCCTTTTGATAATAGCCGTCCTGATAAGTGTGCAGTGGACATCGTCTCCACCGACACCATGTGGGTACTGGGGAGCCTCATCATGACCCAGTGGGAAGGAACGTCCTTTTGATAATAGCCGTCCTGATAAGTGTGCAGTGGACATCGTCTCCACCGACACCATGTGGGTACTGGGGAGCCTCATCATGACCCAGTGGGAAGGAACGTCCTTTTGATAATAGCCGTCCTGATAAGTGTGCGGTGGACATCGTCTCCACTGACACCATGTGGGTACTGGGGAGCCTCATCATGACCCAGTGGGAAGGAATGTCCTTTTGATAATAGCCGTCCTGATAAGTGTGCAGTGGTATTGATTTGCATTTCCCTAATGACTAGTGATGTCGAGCATCTTTTCATGTGCATATTGGCCATTTGTAGATCTTTAGAGAAATGTCTATTCAAATCCTTTGCTTATTTTTATATTAAGACAGAAAATGTTAGACAATAACTATTCTCCTCCAGCCAAACACCACAAGAAACACTGCGGCTTCACCCACTCTTCCCCCAGCAAAGGCCAAGTGGGGAACCTCAACGTCCATCCTCATCAGGCTGTAACAAGGCACCCCAACTCTTTTGCCGGGGTGGCATCAAGACAGGTGGGGAACCAGGAATTTCCAACACACGCTACAACATGGGTGAACCTTGAAAACATTATGCTAAGTAAAATAAGCCAGACACAAAAGAACAAATATTACATGGTTCCACTTACGTGAGGTACCCAGACTAGGCAAATTCACAGAGACAAAGAGTAGAATTGTAGTTTCCAGGGATTGGAGGGAAGGGATCATGGGGATTTATTATTTATTAAATACAGAGTTTCAGTTTGGGAGGATGAAAAAGCTCAGGAGATGGGTGGTGATAATTGCACAACAATGTAAATGTGCTTAATGCCACTGAATGCTACACTTAAAAATGGCTAACGCAGTAAATTTTATGTTATGTATATTTTACCACAGTTTTACAAAGTCTGGGTCTTGCTAGACTTCCCCTTTCCTGGGCTTTTGGCTAACGAGAGGAGGCTCTAATTGGGGCTTTTTTTTTTTTTTGGTCTGTACCTTTTGATGTTTCTGGGTTCCCCAGGAATCCAGAGAACTCTGCTATGTTATTCCTCAGGTCCTGGGGTTCCCTTCTGGTCTACTGCTTCTCTCCTCTTTTAGAGTCTTTTTATGTTTCTTTTACATATAACGTACAGGGATTTTGGTTGCACTTAGTAGGGAAAGATGTGTCTACTCCATCTTTCTGGAAGCAGAAGTCTCCAGGCCACTTTATGTGAAGAGTTTTGTCCACATTTCATTTCTTTTTGCTCACTAGTGAAGTCTTATTCATTTCAATTTAGTATATAAAACTTATAGCTGAAAAATATATTTCATTTTCATGGAAAAGGACTCCTACTTCTGAAACCTTGCATTGATATTTCTAGACATTTCCAGGGCACCAGTCATAACATCAAGTAAGAAGCCTATTGCCATCCTCCGTGACATCCCCTTCCTCAATATCTCTTTTGCCCAATGTTGCAATAATACTAATCCCAGGTGTGTTGACTAGTGCCACTCATAATCACATTAGTTTATCCTACTTATGCTGATCCTTGTCTTCTTGTCCTGTTAGTGTCTTCAGCTCGTGGCTCTGTTCCTTTTACACTCTTGTTAGCACATGTGATCATACACACTTACATTGGACTTGTCCTTTTGTCCTCATGATAACTGCTGACTGTTAAAACACTTCTTGGATGAAGCACCCTGATGTAGCACCCTGGTAAAAGCAATGGGCTTTGAATTGGGATGTTTGGGTTCCGACCTAGTTTTGCCACTAATCAGCTGATCGTCTCCTTCCCCTAGATGTTTAGCCTCAGACCCCTCACCACTAAAGTGACAGGTGTAGAACTAGATCATCCCTAGGGACCCATCCTCTGGGAAGTATCTTCAGGTTCAGGCTAGTCAGCTCTGATAAAGTCAAGAGCACCGTCAGACCAGGAGGTTGAGAATGGAGGTATCACCGTAGGTGTGCCCTCCTTGATGAGTTTTTGCTGATGGATATATTAACCAGCAGTGGACGGTCACTACAGGTAGAATCTTCAACGAGACTCCTATTTTAGGTTTCTCACCATAATTTCTTAATTTTTGTTGGCAATTGTGCTTGAAGCAAAAACCAAATTAGAAATGATGTTTGTCTGTTGTTCCCCTTGAAGTTAGGTGCCTTGATTGCGGGTCCTCTTTCTGTCTGCCACTTCCTCGCAGTCCCCCCCAAACCCCTTATAGTCCTCCCTGAAGCTGCAGTGTTCACCCTAGCAAGGCAAGTACCTGTGCTCCCTTGGTGCCTCCCATGGCACTTGTGCCAAATGCAAGAAAGAGGAGCCAACGCAGGGCCCGCTGCCCAGCAGGGGAGGTGGAGGCAACGCAGGTGTGATGTACACAGTCCCTCTCAGGTCAGGGAGGAGAGGGAAGTAGGGCTAGGAGGAAAATGGGGCAGGAGAGGAAGGGAGAGCACAAGGGAGAACTAGTGGAAGGGAGAGGTGGATGAGCAGGACAGCTCGGAGAGACAGGAACGCAAACAGAGGAGAATTTTCGCTCGGGGTGGGAATGAATCATCCTCACCTGCCAGCCGCGGGCCTCAGCAAGCTGGCAGCTTCGTCCTCTCAGACTGTGGGTTGCTTTTAGCTGTCAGCCTTGGATGGTGGGCTCATGCATTCTGTTCCCACTCCAATCTGCCAGAGGGACAGGGTCCTTCCCCGCAGCACTGAGGCTTGGCCAGTCGTGATGCCTATGGCGACCGCAGAATCGACCTCAACGAGCTCGTCGCCGGGCACCGTTTTAGCAGCCCCACCACCCATTTTTGGAAACACAACCCTGGCCTCCCATTCACAGCAGAAAAGGGCACAAGGCCCTTCGTGTCCCACCACCTCCCTTCTCTCTGGAATCACTGTGGCTCTGGTTGTGGAAGTTTGTCATGAGTGGACCCCAGCAAGGAATTGGTGCATGATATAGTTTTCGTTTTCAAAGGACCATGATTTCCATGGATTACTTTGTGCAAAGGATGCCAAAACCAAATATTTAAAGTAAATGAGGAAAAAATATGCTTGGAGTAAAAAGCATCTGGACCCTGTGCATGTGCGTGTGCATGCGTGTGTGTGTTCCAGGAGCTGACTCTAGCTGTGAGGATGGCTCGCCTGTGTGTGTGTGTGTGTGCATGCGTGTGTGTGTTCCAGGAGCTGACTCTAGCTGTGAGGATGGCTCGCCTGTGTGTGTGTGTGTGCGTGCACGCATGTGTGTGTGTGCATGCGTGTGTGTATTCCAGGAGCTGACTCTAGTTGTCAGGATGGCTCCCCTGTGTGTGTATATGTGTGTGTGTGCGTGTGCATGTGCGTGTGTGTGTTTCAGGAGCTGACCCTGGCTGTGAGGATGGCCTTCCTATCCTTCCCTTCTCCTGGCTGCCCTATCCTTCCCTTCTCCTGGCTGCCTCCCATTGTGACATGGATTTTTCTCTCATCTTTCTCTCCCTACTCCCCTTGCAGCATGAGAGGCCCAGTACCTGTAAGACTACCAGGCTCCATCACTCTCCAGAGAGGCCAGTTCTGCCTCTTAGGAAGGGCCTAGATCAGCGCAAATCTCACCATCATGATGTCCCCAACTGCTCCGCCCGTGTATGTGTTGGGTATTTCCAACTGTCCCCAGCAAAGCCTGCCTCCTCCCCACCTCCTGAGCCCTGTGGGGTATCAGGAGCCTCACCACTCGAGCGGGGAAGAAGGACAGAGCAGCAGCCTCAGCCCACAGCAGCCCTGCGGTGGAGAGCTGCAATGAAGGCAGGCCTTATATAGACAGGAAAAGCAGGGTGACTGGAAGTACTCAGTCACGGGCAGAGTCAGAGCCCTAGGACCTTTAGGGACAAGGCAGGTGAAAGACCTGTTAGAATTAGGGAGTGAGGGGCTGGAGGTGGGGGGTACACTGGAATGTTACGGTTCTATTTTTCGCTGAGTGAAAACCACTAACAACAACTACAGAAGCCCTGCTCCTTCTGTGGGCTAAAATGGCACTGCTGGCTGTGTGTTCAGAGCAGCTAAGAACCAGGAGGAACAGAGCCCTTGCCTCTGTTCCTAGTCCCCGGGCCCTGGCCTTGCCGGAGTCACCGGAGGCAACCAAGAGCCCCTCGTTCAGAAAGCAGCCATGAGGTAGCCTGGCCACCCTTTCACCTTTTACACCAGGGAGCCCAGAGGTTTCCAGGGCTTGCTGAAGGGAATCCAATAAGAAGAAGATTTCAGATCCTCAGGTGTGTGCAGGGGATTAGCCCAGCGCTGCTGTCTGTCCACCCTGAGGCTCCTCCCCCATCCTCAGGATTGCTGGGCTGGAGGCAGAAAGCTGCACCATCCTTCTGAAGCTCTGCCCCAAAGGAATTGCAGATGTCTGCTTCCTTTCATTTGGGGAGAGAAGTCGGAGGCACAGGGGCCATGAAAGGGGAAGGCGTTTGACTTAGATAGCCTCTCCCTCCTGGCTGTCCCTCTGAGCTGTCCTGTGGAGCCAGGAAGAGGCTTTCTGGGCCCCAGAGCTGTCTTCTTGCTCGAGCTAGGCCCTGGCTCCCCACGCCCAAGACCCCGGCTCCCCACGCCCAAGCCCCCCCCATGCCCACCTGCCACTCCACTGCCCTTAGCTCGTTACCCCTGTGGCTGTGGAGGTCCCTCAGGAAAAGCAGCTCCCCAGGCAGGGGTCCCTTCCTTCCCTCACCACAGCCCCAGCCCCACTGCAGGACGCCCAGGATACCACAAAGGCCCCCCACAATCCCTGCTGGCAAGGCCGTCCTTCCACAGCACACACCGGAGAGGCCTTCTCTATGTGCCTCGATAACCTCAGACCTGGCTTCTTAGAGAAACGGGTCAGGCAGTGACGTTTGTGGCTTTGTACTCCATTAAGTGCTCTTCAGGCCCTCCCTGGATCTTTTGAGATCATGGGGATAAGGGGCGGTGCCCAGCAGACCTGGCTGCTTAAACCATGGTCTCCAGGAGATAAGAGATGCATAAGCTCCAGGAGCCCAGCAGTGAGACAGGCGCCCCCGCGGCCAGAGGCTCACACTGTATGCTTTGCTTTAGGGCTCGGGAGAAAGCACATTGAGCTGCGAGTGAGTAAGTTTGCCCTATCTCTGTCATTAATTCAATTTAATTCAGTCACCTCCGCTTCATAGTAAGTGCTCAGTAAATCATCTCACTTTTTTTTGAACCAGAGAATAAATATATTGATCAATATGTAAATAAATAGATATTTAAGAGATGCCTATACAATGGATTTGCTGAGTTTTCAAACTATTGAAATCAGGAGGAAGGGGCTATGCTGGAGGAATAAACGTGTCTGAATGTAGGTTTGTCTCATGTTGAGTACGTAGCAGAGAACCTATTCTACGGGATAGAATTGTGGAATAAATGACATGAGGGCACACTGAGAAAAGACTCTGAAAAGCATGCAACTCTGTCCAAGCCTAACAATTCAAAATGTAAGTAAAATTTATGATATAAGTGAATTGGCTGCTAGAAAGATACTCTCATAAAATAAGCTGGTTCTTGGGCCGACCCAATGCTTTTTTGTTTTCTTGAGAAGGAGTCTCGCTCTGTCGCCCAGGCTGGAGTGCAGTGGCGTGATCTCGGCTCACTGCAACCTCCGCCTCCTGGGTTCAAGTGATTCTCCTGCCTAAACTTCCCACGTACCTGGGACTACAGGTGTGTACCACCACGCCCAGCTAATTTTTGTATTTTTACTAAAGACGTGTTTCACCATGTTGACCAGGCTGGTCTTGAACTCCTGACCTCAGGTGATCCACCCGCCTCAGCCTCCCAAAATGGTGGGATTACAGGCGTGAGCCACCACACCCAGCCTACCCAATGCTTTTTGAATGACTGCATGAACAAATGAAAGCAATTTGATAAAGCGTGAATGACTCTACCATCTATCCTATCCCCATAGGCCCCCTCCCCCAACACTCTTCCCCTCCTCAGTTTGAATTGCCATGTGAATTTATTGCTCCTGCCAAATGAAGTCAGCTGAGATGGAAATGTTAATTTATTGGACCAGACATGTGTCAACAGAGCTCTGATAAAATGCAGCGACATGCTGTTCCAAAGCCCGCTATCCCGAAACCTCCTACCATCCTGCTGCAAAACTGCTGTGTTTGAGGTTTCACAGCCCCTCTGGCTGGGTCTGGCCGCCGTCCTACCATCTCACTCAAGTCCCGCCGTCCCTCCATAACCTCATGTGAGACACACGGGTCCCCAAAGCCAACCTGACCTTTCCCACCTGCATCTTTGCTCACCATGGTCCTTCCACGGAGAAGGCCCTCCACTGCCATTTAGGCCATTGGAACTCTTCTGTCCTTTAAGGCCCAGCTCAAATGCCTCCCGTTCCTGAGCTAGAGGTGAGCTTCCCTTCCTCTTCCCCAGGCACTTCTTTGTTAGGGAACAGGAGTTTTCCTCTCCTGCTAGACTATAAGCTCCTTAAAAGCTGAGACCATCTGATGAGTTTTTAAATAACCCCCCACCCAAGGCTGCCCCCAAAACTCAAATCAGTGCCTTGCATAGCAGGGATGCAACATTAGGCAGTGCAGAGAGAGTGGGATTCAGAGTAAGACTGGCCCAAGTCCTATCCCGTCTCCGTTATTTGCTGGCCGTGGGACCCGGGATAAGTGGCGTAATCTCTGAGTTTTAGTTGCCTTATCTGTAAGATGGGGATGACACTAGTCACCCGTGTTCCAAGTGTCACTTGATTTACTGTCTGCACATGGCACTCACTCAGGACATAGCTGCCTGTCTCTGTATTCTCCTCACTCCACTAGAGCCCATCATTTTCAATATTTCTTTTAAAAGGACTAGCACTTAAGCAACACAAACTTCCCATTCCTTTTGTGGCTCAGAATTTGGGAATGGGAATTTTACTGAGATCATCAAAGGTGAAGTCGTACATAAGCCATGAGGCAGACACCAGCTTCCCGTGGATGGCCGGATTTTGATTGCCTGTGCTTAGTGGGAACAGAAGGGAAGGGAAGGACCTGGGAGGCCTGGATAGGAACTAAGTTCAGCTGGTGTCTTTATGCCTGCGTCAGGCTTCCCACCTACCAGTGTCAAAGGAAGGGCAGCGTCCTTTGAGATGTCAACAGCTATTCTGAGATTTTTAAAAAATGAAAGGGTTCTGTGTTCCGGGTGTCAGCTGACTGCAGCCTCTACCTCTGATTGAGTGTCACAGGGCATACGAGCTCATTAAAGGCTCTGAGAAGTCCTGTAGCAAAGAAACCTTTGGACTTTGCTTAACCCAGTGTTTCCCAAGTTTTTTGTACCCCTTACTGAATGTGGGCAGCCCTGAGCTGGAGATGTCACTTCTAGCCAGAGGGCAGTCAGGTGTCTGCCGGGGAGACCCTGGCTTCAGTTGGACAGGGGTGCTGGGATCACGGGCTTTCTTTCTCCCAAGAACTGGCCCAAAGGCCAGTTCTTTTCCCAGGGGACCCAAAACAGGGCTTACCGCCTCCTGGAGTCAGGTATGAGTCATGCCCACCGGGCTCTCTTCCCCAAGGCACCCGACACGGTCTGTGTGTGCCATGGGCTCCTGTTCCATAGGCACGCACACCCTCTTCTGCTGGGCAGATACCTCTGTGGCATGCGAGTGTGGGACCTGAACCCAGGTTCTGTCAGGGTGGCGAGGGGGCTCACGCAGAGGATCCACTTTTCTGTCTTGCTCTTGTATGTTTTCTCTTCCTATTTGCCTTTTTATTCTCCTTTGTATTTTTAAATGTTCCTCTCTAGTAATTTTTGCTAGTCTTTTTTATCTCTCACCTTGTTTCTTCCACTGTGAGTAGGCTCAACCATTCGCCTGTTGTCCTATGAGCCACATCCACGCTTTTCTACCTACGTTTCCAAACTTGAGCCTGGCCGGTACACTGACTTCCAAGCCTCCCGTGGAGGCCGCGCAGCGCCCCTGTAGTGCCCCATGGCAGCAAGCTGGTGACCTGAGCTGTGATCATGAAAAGGAAATATTCAGCTTTTCTTCCAAGTGGAAATACTTTATGTATTTTCTCCAAGGCCACAGAAAATGAAAATAAAAAACAGTACTGGCAGCAGGAATAACACCACCGTCCCAAGAAGAAGAAATGAAAACAGTGACACACTCTGTGGCTGCCGCTCTCCTCTGAGTTGGTCAAGCAGAGGCCCTGGGGAGGCAGAGGTCGGACAGTGGTGACCGTCAGTGGCAGTTACAGCCCTGTGTGTTCGGGGCCTTCCTGCTTGATGTGACCAGAGCTGAGCTTGGCGGCTCTCATTGAGCAGCTAATGCAGGAGTCCCCGCCATGGTGGCCTCGTCCCCCAGCCCCTCTCTGTCTTTGCTTCTCTCTTTGCCTACCTTTCTCTCCTCCAAGTGTGGTCAACCTGCCCTTTCCCTGGCCAGCTCTTATCAGGCACCCCTTCCCCGCATTTCCCGGCCACCCTTCTCTTATGCGCTGGGTGACTCTCAGTGCTGACTGCAGGCTTCTCTTCCTGCTCCTTCCTCTCCCCTTCCCTTTCTGTCCTCTCAGAGGAGCCCAGGTTTCAGGCTTTGCTGAGGTGAGGGTGTGGGGGCGGGACCTCTTCACGTGTATCCTCAAGCTGGTCCCTTCTTGTCCTGCGGGTCCCAGCTCCAGTGCCTCCTTCTCAGAGAGGCCTCTCTCAGCCCTGGTTGTTTTCCTTTGACAGCTCATCGCTATTTTAGAAAGGTCTTATTTGTTCACTCATTTACCGTCCTTCCCACCTGCGTGCACCTCCGTGACAGCACCCTTCCTTTATGGCTCGCTTTCTCTTTCTTCTCTTGTTCCCCACTCTATTTCGTGGGCCTGGAAAGTATCAGGCACATTGGAGATGCTCTATCGGAAAGGAAAAGGAATGAAAGAATGGAAGGAGTGGTGGAAGAAAAGGAAGGAGGGAAGGAAGGAGGGAGGAAAAGAGAGGGGAAGGGAGGAAGAAAAAAGAGAAGGAAGGAAGGAGTGGGGGACGATTGTAATATTTATAAGTTTTAACCCAATAGGGTAGCTGCTACCGTCTCCATTTTATAGAGGGGAAACTAAGGCACAGTGCTTAAGGAATTTGTCCCAGGTCAAACCACTAGTAAGTGGCAGCACCTGGCTCCAGAACCAGTCTGTCTCCAGACTCTGGGCTCAACCACCACGCTCTGAGCCTGCAGTAAGATGTACAAGGCAGAAGTCCTGTGGGTGACAATTGGGACTCCACCCACCATGCCAGGGAACGTCTCCATCAGAAGTGGGAGAAGAGGAGTTAATTTTTACTTGACACTGACTGTGGAAGTCATTATCTCAGACACAATTTCACTTCGTTTTCATCACAACCCTCTGAAAAGGACCCTTTACAAACGAGGACTCTAAGAATCAGAGAGGCTAAGGGACTGGCCAGAGTTCACACAACTAGCAAGAAGCAGAGGCCGGATTCGAACCCAGCTCTTCTAGCTCCACATCCGGAGTGTTCACATTCCTCATGCTACTTGGCTTTTCATCACAGACAGTCCTTTAGATGTTAGTGACTGCCTCTCCCTGTTGTGGAAAGTCTTGTTCCGTACACACCTCTCTTAAACATGCTTGCAGTGGATCAAGTGTGCTGTTGCAGTCACTTCTATACAATGTGGAGCAGCCAGTCCTCTGGCAAGGATGTCGCTTTGGTCCAATGGTGAAATCAGACCTAGCTCATGTCATGCTGATGTAGAAGGCCTTCTCCTAAAAGTGGCCGTTTCCATGCGTGGGGAGACTCCTTGTAGCTAGCCCATACTCTGCGATGCGGGTTGTATCTGTGGCTCCCGCCCGGTGATGTCCTGTCATGATCAGCTTCCAGCAGTTGTGACCCACTTGCAGTCATTCACCTTCACCTCATGGGCCTGCACGGTAGTGGCTACAGACACCCACAACAGGTTCAGTGGATCTCAACTCTGGCTGACAGTGCTTGTGGGTGCTTTTAAAAACGCTAATGCCTGGGGCCCTTCCCTGGCCGCTGTTTACCTTGTCTCTGGGGATAGGGCCCAGGCAGTTTGTTAAAAATTCCCAGGAGGTACGCGCCAAGGACCTCTTTCTGGCCTGTCGGATCAAGGGGCCCTGTGCGTGTGCTGCAGTCTGTTTGGTGGCATGTGACTGGCTGCAAGGTGGTCCAGGCGGATGACAAGGGAGAGGTAATGATGCTGTTAATCAGAAACATTAATCTGTGCTAATGTATCATCCCTCCCAGGTAGCAGAACGTTCTCATTCAGTTAAAAATCTCATCTCCTTGAAAAGGCCCTTGAGAAGTGAGTGATGTGAATGCTGACAGTTTTGGAAACCAGAGAGAGATTTTGGGCAGGAGACTTTTCACTGTGCTCCAATTCCCCCCTGCAGGTGGCTACCCCTCCCGCCTGTAGCAATAAAGATTGACACAGGAATGGCAAGGGGGGCCTCCCAGAGCAGACATTCTTCTAGCTGCATATTCAGCAAATACCTGTGCGGGGCCTCCCAGGTACAGGTGCTGGGCTCAGCAGGGACTTCAGTGGAGACCAAAACCAGGTGCAGTTCCTGCTGTTACTGGGCTTACATCAAGCAGAGGAAGTTGACCTTACTTAAGTGATTCTTTCCCACAGGATGAGGGAGCCGCTCCCTCTCTGCTTTTGGGTCCCTGTCTAACCTTCTGCCTCAGCTCGCTCAGCTGCATAGACAGATAGGCAGAACCCTAGCATTACGGCAGGCATCTCCCAGGCTGGCTTCTCCTGGGCTGCGGGTGGCCTTTGATTTTGGAGCCTCTGCTGCCCCACAGTGCTCCCCACCTCCCACCTCTTTTGCCTTTGGATGGGGTCTTCCACATTTCAGATGGCTATAAATACAACAGGTGCAAGTTCAGACGCTCCAAGGAGAGCAACCACTGCCATTGGGTTGTGCAGTAAGGTGTGAATGACTAACATCGAATCTGTCCTGAGAGTAGGTTTTAGTAGAGAGAGAGAACCTGGCAGAGTTGCGGGCCTGACGAGGGCAGGGGAAGAGCCTGTAAAACAAGCCCTGCCCACAGCAGACTGTTGCTCAGTTAGGCCAGAGCCCTGTGGAGGAGATGAGTGTTTGAGTGAGGAGAGAGAGGAGGAGGAGGGCAGGAAGAGGAGGAAAAGGCTCTTGTGTTATGTTCCAGTTATGCACCACAAGGACTGCATCATCCCGGGAAGGGCCCAGGATCCCTCCTCCAGCAAGTAAAATGAGTTTCAAAGAGCACTTGGGCAATCCTGATCAGTGGGACTCACCTTTGCCTGCAGGGAGCTGACACCCCTGGACAACTGGCCAGTGGAGCCTCTAGGGAGGTGGGGTCCTACAACCTGACACGAGCCAGGTTTAGCCTCAGATGCAGCCCATGCTGACCCCCAGTGGGAGCATGCTGACCCCCAGCTCCACTGCTTGTAGAGGGGATTGGGAGCTGAGGGGTTCTTTACCTCCTGGAGTCACAGAGCCCCTTATGGTCTGTTGGAAGTTACAGACCCCTATGGAAACATACAAACAAATGTGTACATGCAGCACTATATGTGATTTTACATTATAAAATAAGCACTAGGAGGGAGCAAAAGGATGGGGTGTTCATTTTACAGATTAGAAAACTGAGGCCCTCCGGGGCATAACGCCTTCCTGCAACCCTAGGCCTCTCTGCCTGTATTAGGCCATTGTTGCGTTGCTGTAGAGAAATACCTGAGGCTGGGTAATTTATAAGAAAAGAGGTTTCGTTGGCTCACAGTTCTGCAGGTTGTAAAGGAAACTCAGCACCAGCGTCAGCTTCTGATGAGGCCTCAGGAAGCTTCCAATCATGGCAGAAGGTGAAGGGGGAGCAGGAAATGTCACATGGCAAGATTGGGAGCAAGAGAGAGGGAGGGAGGAGGTGTCACACACTTTTAAACAACCAGATCTCATGAGAACTCCCTATCCCAAGGACAGCACCAAGACATGAGGGATCCACCGCCACGGCCTGAACACCCCCACCAGGCCCACCTCCAGTCCTCCAGTGTTGGGGATGACATTTCAACATGAGATTTGAGGGACAGATATCTGAACTATAGCACCACCATGCCAGTTCCCTTTCTTTCTGTCATCCCAGATCTACCATGAATCATGTGTCACATCAAATTAGACTCGTTAGGGCATAAGCAGGGGCCCCGCAGTCCAGAATGTTCCAAATAAATTGAGACTTGTCCATCTGTGTGTCCTGATTTGGGGGTTCAAAGAATAGTCCCTCTAGACAGGGGCACAAACCCTTCCTTCACACACAGTAGGCCCTTGAGGAATAGTGGTTGCAGCAATAAAGAAGAGAAGAGAATTCTCAAGGGTGTATGTGGCCTCTCCCCCTAAGAGATTTTGACTCTGCAATCCAACCTCAACCACACGGGAGAGAGGGCAGCCAGTGCTGAGGCTGGATGGGGGCTTCATACCTGTGTCATCATGGGTGCCGGGGCCCAGCCTGCCCTGTGCTAGGGTCACTTCCACACCATCTCTGTACCCGCCACCAGTCTCCAATTTGGCCCACATTGCACTTTCAGCCTTGCTCTGGCCCTGCCAAGCTTTTCGTAATGGGGTCACTTTGGCCATGGCCTCACCCCTCTGGATGTCAGGACAACGCAGCCAGACAGGGTAATCAGACTTAGGCAAAATGGTGTGTGTGTGTGTGTGTGTGTGTGTGTGTGTGTGTGTGTGTGTGTAGGGGGAGGGAGCATTCAACAGGGAGAGAATACCAGATAATAAAGAGCTACAGAGCCAACAGGGACATGGAGCCACTCCCACTAACTGAACCTCCCTCCTCTTTCCCTCCATCCTTGGAAGTTGCGTTCCAGCCAGCTGCCACTGTTAATTCATATGAGAGATTGGACCAGGGAGATGCCACCAGGCTTTCACCCCCGCTGTGATGCTGAGGCTGTGGGAGGGATGGTGTGGTTGACTGGGGCCACCTTCATTAGACAGAGCTGCCATCCTGATAAAGGAAAGGCTTCTTGTCTCAGAGCTGTGTCCTCCCACTGGCTTTTCTCCCTGCATGCTGTAACTGGTCATCTCAGTCCTGAAGCAGGTATGTGTGTTGGGCCAAGGTGGAAGGAGAGTGACACTGTTATTAAATTAACCCAGTCCCTTTCATTGCATCCTCCAAGTGAAGAACAAAAGGGATTTTGCATTTGCCCACAGTGTCTCTCTAAGCAAGGTCTCTGGAACATCTGTAGGAACTCAGAGACGTTTGGAATGGGCCAATAAAACATGGTGAGCATCCAGCAGCAGCCTGGGGTGCTGGGCAGAGCCGGGACCTGGGTAGGAATCACAGCAGGATTCCAGCCCTGGCTCTGCGCCTTGCATTGCTCTCACCTGGCTTCCATATCTGGAGGAACATACCTATTTCTCACGATCACTGTGAAGATGGAATGGGGTTTTGTATTTGAAGCTCTGTGTGCAGTTCTGGAGCCCCGAATGTCCTTGGGGGTGCTCTGAAACCTTAGTGCCTTTATCTCTTCTAATGGTAGGAAATGCACCCTTATTTTAGTCAGATCCTGTGAATTAAATTTTAAAATGGCCATAATAGCTAAGAAGGTAAACTATTAGTGACTAACTAAGTTGAAGTCTCCATCAGTGTCAAGAAGACAGTTTCATTTGCTGTTACATAAAGTTTTCAGATTGTTTTTCTCATACTTCCAACCCAAACGTGCAGAATATTTAAAGCTTAGCAAAAAAAATTATAGGGAACTTAGAAATATATAAAACATGTGATGATTGTAATTTTCTTGTGTTAACTGGGTTTGCAACTATTTTGCTAGGATAATCTGCCCAATTAACCTCTCATATAACTTCTGAAACTTGTTTCATAGAACACGTAAGGGCAAAGGAAAAGCAAGACTCAGTCAATGTCTGAAGCAAACTGGAGTCAATGAGGCAATGCCTGCTTAGAACTTTGCACGCTTGAAGTTTCATACTGTTAATTAAATCTGCCTCAATTCTTTTTTGAGGGACAAATGGGATTCACCATGGGAAAGAGAGTTATCTGAGAGGAACATCCCAGATTGGAGAAGGAAGAGGTCAACTCAGCCCAACTAGAGTAGTCCAACAGTTTAATTCTATCTCACTACAACATAAGCGTTCTGTCAGGTGAGCCTGCTAAGTTCCTTTCCTCTCTTCTCTTGGGTCTGTAAGAGTATCGCAATTCTGGCCGGACACAGTGGCTCACACCTGTAATCCCAGCGTTTTGGGAGGCCGAGGTGGGTAGATCATGAGGTTAGGAGATCCAGACCATCCTGTCCAATATGGTGAAACCCTGTCTCTACCAAAATACAAAAAATTAGCTGGGTGTGGTGGTGTGCACCTGTAGTCCCAGCTACTTGGGAGTCTGTGGCAGGGGAATCGCTTGAACCTGGGAGGCAGAGGTTGCAGTGAGCCAAGATCATGCCACTGCACTCCAGCATGGTGACAGAGCAAGACTCTGTCTCAACAAAAAAAAAAAAGCATCGCAATTCTCTGTCTCTTGTCATGGCCATGCTAGGACATGGGCAACCTGGTAGTGAACAAAATACCTTTCTCTGTTCCTCCACTCAGGGAAATCTACTAATACTTGGTTAGACTTTAATTTTTCAATTTTGCAATCTAGAAACAGAAAATACCCATAAATATCCCAAAATAGAAACAAAATGCGGCCCATTCAGTTTCCAAAAAGTAAACAAAGTGATTCTTCCTCCATGAGATGCCTGAATACATTCATAGTTGGCTAATTAAACTACCATAGAAACAATTATTCAATATAGGAGGAGAAAGAGAGGAGGAGGAAGGAGCGGGAGCATTAGCAGACATACATGGCTTTTGGCTAGGAAGATAGCTGTTACAGGCCAGTGGAATGGAGGGAAAATAACCCACGGAGGGCAGAATCATTTCTGCAGACAAGTCTATGAACCAAGCTGAGCCTTCGTCCTTTTTTACCAATAGAGTTTCCCTTCTTTCCCCTTGGTGCCTCCCCAGCCATCTGTAGGAAGAGGATCCCAACAAGCCTTCCTTCAAGTCAGTTTCAGAGCATTTCTGCCCTACAAGGACCTGGGTATATCTTGGATGCCTTGGGAGGCTCATTGAAGTACCATAGGATGGCCATGTTTTCCAGGTCATCTGAGATAACCCCAGCATAATCACCTGTGTCCCCCACAAAATTATTAATAGTTGCCCTCTTTAGCTCTCTAAAGTGCCCTTGTTTGAGTGCTAACTCGTGTGGCCAGTCCACATACCCTGCAGGGAGGGTAAAGGGCACCACCTTATGTGTCAGCGCTGACTGGCAGCAGCTGCTGGAGTGCTGTGTTGAGGAGGGTTCTGCAGTCGTGTTGTGGCTCAGCAAGCAAAGCCCTGGCAATGGGTTAACTGCAGCGGCCCGTGGGGCAAGTGAGGGAGAGGCAGCACTCCCTGCCGGCACAGAACAAACGCTGGCCAGGTCAGGGTGTGGGTTTCAGGCCAGCTCTGCTCCTAGCTTCCTGTCATCTGAGTGGGATCGTTTCCCTTCTCTGATGTTGGACCAAGATACCTGAAGTTTTCTTTCAATTCCATAATTCGAATCTCGTCCTCCATCGAGGATTAGCTTGGAAGGGAGCTCCGATGTCATCTAGCATGATTTCCCACTCCCTCCATCTAGTGGGGGATTGTGCAAGATAACATCCGAGCTCCCTTCCAACCCTAGAATCGTGTGATCCTATGGTAACTTTGTGAGAGGGCCCTCTCTGCTCCAGAGTGAAGCTGCACTTTGGGACGGATGTCAGCTAGTATCTAGTATTCTCATGGTGCGTTTTATAGTTGACAGAGCACTTGCATGTATCTGACCACAGTCACATGACTCTGGCTTTATTTTCATCATCTTCATTTTATAGGTGAAGAAATTAAAGCTAAGTAAAGGCCAAGTAAAGGGGACTCTGGGCTCAAACTGCCTGGGTTCAAGCACTTGCCGTAGCTCTCACAATATGTGTGGTTTGGGCAAGTTAATCTCTCAGTGTCTCAGTACCTTCATCGGTAGGATGGGGTAATATACTTACATCATAATGATGTTTCGAGGATTAAATGAAACGATTCATGCAAGCTGCTTGGGACACTGGTTGGAATATAGAACACATGTAATAAAATGAGTTGATAGAGTGAGTGGTAGAGGTGGTGGAGGTAGCAATTAACAGCAGTGGTAGTAGTATAGTAGTTACACCCAGCAAGTAAATGGCATAACTGGGACTCTTCTCAGAAACTGACCCCACAGTCTGTATGTGACCCCAGTGACCCCAGAATTTACTGCGCTGTGTCTACCTTAGGATTTATATCCACAGGTCAGAAGCAGCAGGCAAGGTAATGAGAAAAATAAAGATGATGTTTAAAGAGATGTTTTCCCCATCTAGCCCTGAGAGAGTATTGGCTGGGGAGCTGAAATTCTCCCCTCCTCAACCTCCGATAATCTGGTAAGGTCAGTGGCAGGTGCAGGGTGCTTGTTATGCCATTGCTGTACTATGGGCTCATGGCAGGTGGCTGAATGGACAAGCTCGTGCTCCCTCCCGCTCCCCCTCCCCTCCTCTTGGGAGAGACTGCCTGCGATGTCAGTGTTTCTTCAGTAACCCGCGCACATTATGTGGTTCCATATGGATCAGTAAATTTCCCCCAATCTCTGTATTACAAGGTCTGGTGCCTCATTAATGGCGTCTTCAGCGCCACAAGCTGAGGCTAACAGCTCTGTGTTTTTCCATCTTCAGTGGGTCTGCACACATTTTCAGCAATTTGCAGGAAAGACCTCAATTAGCCAAATTCCTACGTGACTCAGTGAAGGCATTCAGAATGCACTCAGCTGTCCATCCTCAGGTGGAGAGGGGTGATCTGAGAGGTCCAGAGAAGAGGCAGAAAGAAAAAGCAAGCGGGGAGAGGAAAAGTCAAGGGGGAGGGAGGGAAAACGGGGAGAAGGTGAGAGAAACCACAGCAGATGTGGAGGAGCGTGTGTGAGGACATGGTTATTTTCACCCAGCATGAGACAGATTCACTTCTTTCTTGGATGTTTGGTGTCTTGGCTAAAAATATGTCAACTGAATGTTGTCTCAGGGACAGGGAGATGGAGAGCATTAGGACACTTTGCAGAAAGCTCAGGCCTGGAACGGGGCTTTCTTTCACATGTGGGTAGGGGGTGAGTGCTTGGGCTATGCTGAGAGTGGGGCCCAGAGCATCGACAGTGCAGAAACTCACTTCTCCAAGAGCTTCAGCAGCTCCAGGACCCTTCTGCCTGCCTCCCTCTCCCAATTCCATTGTGAAGTGGCAAAGTCTGTTCCAGGTACTGTGTCCTGTGGGAGGGTGAGGAGGAAGTTGAGGAAACCTCTCTCCCAGAGACTGAGCTGGCAGAGGCCATGGGCATGGGCGCTGATAAGGGCCAGGAAGCGGGGAGGGTCCTAACACCATGACAAGGCCAGGTCCTTGTCTGCAGTGTCACAGGGCTGTGGTCCTCTATTGGCCAACAGTAGCTCCTCTGCACCTGGAGGAGGACGTGGGGCCCACTGGACTCACCTGGGCGACTGTCTGCACTGTGGGAGGGAAGGAGAGTCCAGAGGTCTGGTCAGGGACTGAAGCATGGCATGAGGCAGCCCTGGGGCTAATGCAGGCCCTGGCTGTCACATTCCCCAGGGAGGGATAGGCCCGGAATCATTGCTAGGTAGCATAGAAACCTAACACACCAAAAGCAGAGAATTGGGTAAATAAATTATAGTACAGCTATTCCTGCTACTAGAATGCTATAAGGTTATTGGAAATGATATTGTAGACAAAATTTGACAGTGTATTAAATGTTTAAAAGCTGTTGTTAAGCAAAAATAGGGAATATAAAATGATACGAACAGTATAATCGCAATTTTGGAAAAATACACACAAAGGAAGTAGATTAATCATATAAGCGAAAATGTCAGCAACAGTAGCTTCAAGGAAGTGGAATACTGCTCCTTTTCCTTTTCCTGTTTTTTGGGTGGGTGTCTCAGAGTTTTCTTAAATTTATAACATAGAATTTGTTATTTGGCTATTAGAAAATAAAATTATCGAGATTATAAGAAATAATTGGGACAACAGCAAGTCACATTTTGCTGACTTCTTATTGGCCATTTGAGAAAACTGAACCAAAGGATTAAACCATGAGAGCAGGGAACCCTGGTCCTTACCTTTACAATATAACCTTTTGCAGCCAGTCTTTAGAGGTGTGGCTTTAAATGCACTTACCTCATTTCCAGCCTGGGCTTCATGCTCTCCTCATTTGCAATGCTAAGCTTTTTATCTATTTTCCCCTCAAAGCTTTGTAGTTCACTTTAAAGACTTTACTGAAGGTGGAAAAGCATGGGAAGCCTGGATTATCCAATCCCAATGCCTGGGACAAATGAAAGGTCACAAGAATGAGAAGAAAAAGTTTCCAGAGGGTTTTTAGAAAGCCCCAAGAGACTTGGGAAGTCAAGTAATAATTTGGCAGGAGGGGTCTTCCTTGCTTTGGTTTGGGTGTGCCTCTTTGGATTTCGTGGTATTCTTGTTGGGGGAACAGATGACTATGTTCCTCATATTCTCGAAGGCATTTGTGGTGGGACTGAGAAATTAGCCCAGTCCTCATGGAAGAGAATGAGAGAGTAGGATACAGCTCAGAGCTGGGGGCAGGGAACACTGGTGAGAACTAACCCAGCACAGTTATTTTCATATACCCACTGAATTTCCAAATCTTATCAATCAATGAGCAGTACATACGCCCACCCTGTGCAAAATACTGGGTTAAAAACTGGGGGGTCTAAATATGATACATGCCTTTGCCGTGAAGGACTGGCAATCTAATTGAGAAGGTAATAAACCCATCTGAAGTTAATATTATCAGAAATAATTGACAACAGTGTGTGAGAGATGCCACAAGGTGAGTAGTACATGATTAAGTGCCAAGAGAGTGGCATAGACAGTGAGTGCTGGGTCTGTAAGAATGGGTAAAATCTGAGGATACATGCAGTAGATACTTCAGGTCTGGGGGAAATAATACAGGTAAATTCTTACAGATAGGAAAGCCCAAGCTGTATTTGAAAGGCAGTAGAAGGGTTTAGGATGCCCATGAAAATTGTGGTCAGAAAGGTGATATATCAGTTAGCTTGTGCTGCGTAACAAACTACCCGGATACTTAGTGGCTTTAAACAACCACCATTTATTAACTTACATTTCTGCAGGTTGGTAATCTGGATTGGCTCAGTTGAGCAGTTCTTCTGGACCTAGCAGGGCTCCACTGATCTTGGTTTGGTGTTCAAGTGTCTGCTGTCAGCTGGTGGTTTGCTAGAGATAGGCAGTTCATAGTGGCATTGGCTGATATGGCTGGGATGGCTGGGATGTCCTCTTTCCACATGGCCTCTCATTCTTTAGCAGGCTTTCTTGGCTTGTTTGTGTGATGGAAGAAAAGTTCTCAGTGTGAGAGGAGAAGCTGCAAGGCTTCACGTGGCCTACGCTTAGCTGTTGCACATTATTCCACCATATTCTTTTGGTCAAAGCAAGTGACAAAGTCAGCTCAGATTGAAGAGATGAGGAAATAGACTCTGATTCTGGAAAAGAAGAGCTGCAAAATATCGTGGCCATTTTTGCCATCTTCCACAGATGGGTTGGTTGGATTGGGTGCCAGACCAAAGAACCCTTTAGTAGGAAGGACATAGAAAGGATGTAATGAGCTAGAGAGTGGGAAGGACCTGTGCTTCCCAGTGCCAGTCTGCCGACCTGTGCCAATCTGCAATGAAGGTTTATCAGCCTGCAGTTAGAGGAGAAAAACAGGAAGGGTGCATTGTGTACATGCCAGGGACGGGGATGGGGATGGTAGTGGGGTTTTCAGCTGTTCTTTATTCTAGTATTGCTTCTCCTTCCTTTCATGAAATGAAAAGGATAACAAATGATCATTGTTATTTTTAATATATTATTGGCAGAATAAAAAGTTGGCAACCCTGTGTCCATTCCTAACATTTCTTTTGCTTTTGTACTGATCAATAAAATCTTGACTAGAGCCTGGGTGTCACTGGATAGCCTATGAAGATCAAGAATTCCCAGAAGGAAGAAATGGCTCGCTACCGACCCACACATCAAGGAGGCCTTCCCAGCAGAGGTGGGATCTCAGCTGGGCCGAGAATGGCTAGCAATTGTCAGGCATATTTTATTTTACTTTATTTTTATTTTTTTATTTTTTGAGATGGAGTTTCACGCTTGTCACCCAGGCTGCAGTGTAATGGTGTGATCTCAGCTCACTGCAACCTCCGCCTCCCGGGTTGAAGTGATTCTCCTGCCTCAGCCTCCCAAGTAGCTGGAATTACACACATGTACACCATGCCCACCTAATTTTGTATTTTTAGTAGAGACGGAGTTTTACCATGATGGCCAGGCTGGTCTTGAACTCCTTACCTCAAGTGATCTGCCCATCTCGGCCTCCCAAAGTGCTGGGATTACAGGCGTGAGCCACCGCGCCTGGCCATGAGGCATATTTTAAAAAGTAAAATACCATTGATTTTGGAATGTTTATACTGTATTAGTGGCTCCTTATCAGATCAAACACTCGGCCTGTCGCTTTAGAGCTTTCAAACTGAGAAACACTTTCAAAGGAAAGACTGTCTCTTATTACTTGCTTGTAAATGGAAAACCTGTTTTAATTACACCTGAAAACTACTTTCATAAGATTGACTTATGTACTGTCTGTTCAAAACTTACAGAAGCAAGCCCCAATTTTTTTCACTGACATTTGAAGCCTTCCCTGAAGGGACCCCCAGCACATCCCCACCCTCTGTGCCATCCCTACCCTGCAAACCCCTGCTTTAACCAGGTCTAATGGGCACTGTGCTTGAATGGGCTTGTCTCCTGCTGGCCTTGGGTCCTCCCCTGCCTTTCAGCTTTCTCTTCTGCCCTCTCTTTGGTGGGAAGTTCCTACACTGCCTTCTCCAGGAAGCCCTCACTCCTGGATCCAGCCAGCTGTGGTGTTGGCTTTGCATGTCACTCACCTGGTATTTAGTTCTATTTGGGGGGCTATTAATCCTGCCTGCCTAGACTGCCACCTTCCTGAGGCACAGATCTTGTCTTCCCAGTCCCTGAGTGCCCCGTGTGTGTGGCATCTCAAAGGCGGGGAGCTTTGCTCACTCTGAAAGGAGCCAACACAGTAGGAGCCCCAGACTGTGGGGCCAGGCATGTATCTCCCTGCTACCTACTTATCTGTGCTGTGACACTCATGGTCCCACTGAACTTGCAACCCAATGAGATGTCCTCCTGGTTGGCTGGACATTTCCTTAAAGACATGAGAGAAGAAAGAGAGCTCATTAAAGTCAGAGGTGCTCTCTGCTTGCCCTGGGCAGTGACTTTGCAGCGGGAAACCAAGAGGCTGATGCTGATGTTTAGCCTGTGTCCAAGCCTTGTCACGCTGATTCTGTGCAAAGAGGAGAAGCTGGGAGCATCTTAGGTGATGTCCTTGTGTTAGTTACTTAAGGTTGCTGTCACAAAGTACCATGAACAGAGTGGCTTAAGACAACAAAAATGTATACTTTTGTATCCTGGAGGCCAGAAGTCTGAAATCAAGGAGTTGGCGGGGCCATTCTCTAGGGAGAATCTGTTCCATGCCTTTCTTTTCGCTTTTGGTGTTGCCAACAGCCTTGGCATTCCTTGGTTTGTAGATGCATTAATCACTCAGCTTTGCCTCGGTGGTCACATGGCTTCCCTCTTTGTGTGTGTCTGTTTTCCCTTCTTATAAGGACATCAACATATTGGATTAGGGGCCCACAAACTCCAGGATGACCTCATCTTAACTAATTAAATTGGCAGTGACCCTATTTCCAAATAAGGTCACATCCTGAGGTCTGGAAAAGACATGTATTTGGGGAAGGGAGGATGCTGTTCAACCCAGTGCCAGCCTGGATTCTGTAACAAACTGACTGGGAAGGAGTCTGCGCTCTCCTCGGCTAACAGAGAGAATTCTGGGACCTAACATCTATTCAGCAGGCACACACCAAGTTGATGTGGGGGAAAAGCACTGGGGTTGGAGTCAGAAAACTTAGGTATAAGCCCAGTCTCCACCGTAGTCCAGTGGGGTAAACCTTGCTTTCCTTGTCTTTCCCATGGGGATGATAATACCCTTTCCTCCCTCCCAGGGTTCAGGTTAAGAAAATCCACTCACACAAAAGCTCTTCGTAGCCTGCAGGCAGTATGCACATGGTGGATGGTACCATGCTTCTTTTTGTCCAGGAGATGGCTTTGTAAGTTAAGTTCAGAAATTTGCAAGGGGTGCTTGGAGCTATTTGATAGATACCAGTCCCTCTGCTCACTCCCAAGTACTTCGTGATATTCTATGGGCCAAAACACCAGCCGTGCCCAGCTCCACCCATCTTAGGTGATGAGGAAGAGTAGTTTCCACAAGCTCATGAGTTCAGGCCAATTGTGGTGAGGAGTAGGAGAGGAGGCTGTGCATACAAAGACCAGAGATTTGAGCAGCGCCTTAGTCAGTTCAGGCTGCTGTAACAAAATACTGTAAACTGGGGTATTTCCTGGGGACTTATAAACCACAGAAATGTATTTCTTATGGTTCTGGAGGTTGGGAAGTCCAAGATCAAGGTGCTGGCAGACTTGGTGTCTGGTGAGGGCTCATTCGTGGATGGCTGTATTTTTGGTGTGTCCTCACATGGTGGAAGGGGTGAGCTAGCTCTCCTGGGTCTCTGGTATAACAGTCCTAATTTCATACATGAGGCCTTCTGCCCTCATGACCTAATCACCTCCCAAAGGCCCCACCTCCTAATACCTTGGGGGTTAGGATTTCAACATAGGAATTTGGGGGAGGGAATCACAAACATTCGGACCATAACAAGCAGTGATCTTAACTTTCCACAGATCTGCTGTGCTATGTTTCATTCCATGAACTGGCAGGACAGGTGTTCTTATTTCTAACTAGAATCCAGAGACACTCAATGTGTTGCCTGAGGATCTGCAATTAGTTCATGGCAAAGTGACCCAGATACCTTGATTCATGGTCCAGTATATTCTTTTAACTAGTTCCCAGGACTGTTTACAGAAAACTGTAGACCCATCCACCCTCACACTTGCCTTGAGTTTGCTCTCCCCACCTGCCCACCCCTGACTCAGTCTGGGAGGTGGTGGGGGGGTCCGAGCATGTATGAGACCCAATGCTGGCACAGAGTATGTGCTCCGTAAACACTTCCTTTCCCCTTTCCCCTGTAAACCCAAGCACCCTGGTCTCTGTTCTTCAGATGCCGCTTACTGGTATACTCCTTCCTGGCATTGTAGGATCTGGATGTGGAGGTCTCCTTCCCCCAGGTGTATAGGAGGCCCTTCCTTTGTGTTCCCTGCAGTCCTCAACATGAAGCTGGGCCCATGGAGCCCAATCCCCACAGGCTGATGGCATTGAGCACCCTGGCCTCACTCTGTTTCTCCTCTGTTCCTGAGCCTCCCACCCAGGAAACACACCCACTGCTGACTCCATGTCCCAGTACCCCAGCCACACATGGCTTCTCTGTGGGCGGCTTCAGGCAAAGCTTCTGTCTCTCCTCACCCGCTCTGCACTTCCTGCCCTGCAGGCAGAGGGAGCTCCCTTCATTGACGGGTGGCCATGGGCAGGGTGATATGTTTGAGAAGCAGTGAATCCTGTAGCTGAAAGGAACCATGGGGCCACTTAGGTCAGTAGTTCCCAGGCCCTGGTGCTTTTCAGAAGTGGGGACCTTGTTAGAAGTCAAGATCCCCAGGTCCTCCCCAGGATCTTCTGACCTAGCAGGTCTGGAGTGGGGGCCAGGAGGCTGCATTTTTAACCAGTACCCCAAAATATCTGTAGGTAGTTGTAGGAGAACCGAAGTTTGGGATCCACTCATATACTCCAACGTCTTCATTATGTGGATGAGAAAAATCAGACTCACAGAGGCTGTGTCACCTACCCAAGGTCACCCAGCTTGATAATGATGAAACTAAAATTAGAACCCAAGATTCCTGGCTTCCAAGATGATGCTCTTACTGCCACAGCTTGCTCCTTGCCCTTGCTATGTTTCCAGAGGGAGAAAAAACATAAGAGGCAATATGGAATCCAGTAATCCAAATGTGCTCTGTGCTGAGAGGTCGGTAGAACATGATAGTTAAGACGCCAGCCTGGTACCAGGCAGACCTTGGTTCCAACCCTGTAAAATGAGAATAATGATGATACCCACCTCCCAGGGTTGTTGTGAGATCATCTACATAAAACATTAAACACAGGACCTGGCATGCAGCAAGAACTAGGGGTCAAGGGTTTGGCCTGTATGAGAGGGATTCAGGCCCAGTTACTTCATTCCCCTGATGTTATGGCAATGGAGGAGTCCCCCAAGCAGGTGGAGGTACAGCTGCCATTGCATTGCTCTGCAGTAAAGAGTCTTCAATGTAGGGACCTCCTGGGCACTGTGAGCCCTGGTGTTCCAAACCCCAAGATTCCCATTCCCTCACCTACCACAAAATTCATATTCATCTGGGAGAACCAACTCAAGGCTCAGCCCAACCCTGCCAAGGTCACCAGAGGATAAGGCCGTGAATCACTTTTCCCACAACTTCCCTTTTAAGGGCAGGTCCCCAGCTTTTATTGTACTCTGTTTTATATCATTATAATTGTGCTGATCAGCAAGGAGAACAGACCCATTTTTACAAGGGAAAGGAGACACCCACAAAAAAAAGCCAAAATTATGACAGTTTAAAGCTTGCAGCAAACACTTTTTAAATTAGATCTGCCTTCAGTATGGGTGTCAGACAGTTTCAGAGCAGAGCCTGATTTGGAGGAGAGGCGAGTTAGCCCTTTTAGGGGGCATGTGGTCGGCAAAGAGGCCAGGAGCAGTTATTGGGAATGAAAGTCACTTACTTACAAGAAAGGAAGTGGATGGAGGGTGACGTTCTTCGCATTGCTGGTGCCCTGGTGCTCACCATGATGCCAGGTGGGCTTTCAATGCCTGGAGAGGGGAGATGACCATCCTGATCATCAGCCTCAAAGACCTACCTCTGACTGACCTGGGGAAAGGGACTTGATTTTCTGGGGTTCAGCTTCTTTTTCTCTGGGAGTCTGACCCTCTCCTCCCACCTGCCCCACTCTCTTGCTACCTTGGGGATTAGTGGCCGGGGCTAAGGGAGTTGGAGCAAGGCCAGGCCTGGGAGACACAGGTGCAAGTCCAGATAATGGTGCAATCATCTGTTCTGGATGATGGATCAGAAAAGGCATAAGTGCAATCTTCTTTTTAAAAAATGGAGTGTGTAAATAAGCATCATTACCACATTACTGATAGTATTTGGTTCTGTGGCCTTGAGCAGGTCCTTCCCCCTCTTTGTGCTATACTGTCTTCATCTGAACAACTAAAGCCCTGGACCAGATGAACTTCCATATCCCTTCCAGCTAGAATGCTTGCTGTGCACCACAAAGCCTGTTAGTCTTCTGCTGCCTTCCAGGTGAACCACCAGGAAGGAATTGGAGACTGAAGAGGGCAAACAAAGCAGACACTGAGGCTGTGATGAGGGGAAGTCTTCCTTTAGAGACTAACCCTGTGCCACTTAGGCAGCGACAGTCCCCTTCCACAGCAACCCATGCCAGAGGAGCCTCGCTGCTGGAATGAGGTTCCTGTTCCACGCGTTTGACGTGTGTGCTGATGACTCTGCACCATATGGTAAGGGTGTCCAGGCTGCTGCTGGTGGGTATTTTATTTCCTTGCCTGTTGGTTTTAAGGAGGCTGTATAGATGCTGCCCTGTGCCCATCTCAGCACAGGAAGCAGAGCTGAGCAGCAGAGATGAAAGGCATACAGAGGCCAAGGAGGCATCCATCCTGGTGTAGCTGATGTGCTTGGGGCCACAGGTGGTCCTACTCAGGGGCAGTCCCTCTTGTGGGGCCGCAGACCTGGAGCAGTCTTAGCCTGGGTAAGCCCAGGTGCAGGAGAGAGGAGGGAGGTTTGGCTAAGACAATAGAAGCCCTGCAGTGCCCTGGACCCATGCCTGCTTTGATAAATAGCCCTTCTCTGCCTCCATTCATCTATCCACCCATCCATTCATCCACCCATTCACTCACGCATTCATTCATTCATCCATTCACCCACCCATTTATCCATGTACTTCTTTGCTTTCTTCTCACTCATGAATGTGAGGATACCTCATGGCATCAAGTGCTGTTGGTCATCAAAAGGACCTTGGAGGAGATGTGCTCTAACTCTCTGAGGCTCAGTCCCTCCATTGCCTACAGACAGCCCTTCCTTCTTGGGAAACTCCAAGTCTGGAAGTTCTTTCTTGAGACAAGATCGGCCTCCGTCTCGTTCCCACTGCTTAGTCCTGCCGACTTCCTTCTCCTTTCCAGAGCCACATGGACCAAGCCTGATCATTTCAAGGGACAGCCGTTGAGCCCAGTGTTTCTCCAAGTGTGGAATGGGCCCTTCGCATGGCTGGGGAGACAATTTGGGGCAGTACATGGACATTTTAAATAGTTATTTTTACTGTTACCCTTATCATAGCAAGCAATAATAGTGGTGATTTTTAAAAAAAGTTCCCTTTCCAGATTTTTATGTAAGAAAAAAGTGAGTTGATTTAATGAAAAAATGAGGAAAAACGCTATGCATACATGGACATGGCAAGGGCTCCAATGGTCCCGGGGGATGCTGCACTGGGGAGTCTCACCTGCGCTCCCTTCCTGCACCCGCTCCCTCTGTTCCCCTCACTTCACACTGTTCTTTGATTGTGGATATCACATAACTATCTGTATAGGTTGTTTGTCAAGCCCACCTGTCAGGCCTGACCCCCCGTCTGTAATCCCCACATACATCTCCACGGGGAGGCCATCACATCTCTTCATCATGTCATATCTGAAGTGAGCTTCTCAGACACCCTGGAATTCTAGAACCACTAGGGGTTGGGGAAAGGGACATTTCTTAAGTATTTCCTATTTAATGTGTTCAGTTCACATCTTCCCTTTAGTCCTAAAAGAGTCTCTGCAACAAGATATTCTCTCCATTTTACAACCAAAGAAATGGAGACACAGGAAGGTTAAACCATCTGTCCAAGCTGCAATAGTTGTGGAAGAGCTAAAATTCTAAACTTGATTTGTCTCCTTCCAGCGCCGTGGACGTCCCACTACACTGGGATGCCTTCTAGCTGCATGCACGAAGGGGAGTGGGGATTATCCAGCCAAATTCACTTTTGTGGATAAAGAAACTGCGGTCTGGCAAGTTTGCATGGCATGTCCAAGTCCCCTGGGGTCACTGGCCAGCCCACACTTTGGACTCTGTTTTCTGTGAGCCTTTCATTCTTCCAGCCGTTCTGAATGAAGTCTGAAGGCCACGTTTGATAGTCCCCGTCAGGCCGTAACATTTTCTCACTCTGTCTTTTCTCTTCCTCTTCTCCCTCTCTTTGATTCAGACTGTCATTACCTCCTTCCTGGACCACGGCAGAGGTCTCCCCACTTCAGTCTAGTTCATCTAAAGATTGCTTTTCATATTTATTTCCTAAAACATAGCTTGGCACATATCACCCTTTGATCGTGAACCGTCGTCAGCCCAAGTCAACGTGGATGTTAGGTCCCAGATACAACATCCTGGGTAGGGAGTGTAGACTCTTCCTGCGATCCTGGAGGCTGGCTGGAGTTTAGACCTCACCTGCCTGGGCAGAGGCTTTCCCCCACCGTGCAGACACTCCAGCAAACAGGGGCTGCTGCTTGTTTCCCCTGAGGATCTTGTGTTTCTCATGTGGAGGTCACCGACCTTGACCAGGACCCCATTGTGCAGCTCCTCCCCTGCCACCTTCAGGCCTCGCTGCCACCACACATCCTGACCACCAGCCCCAGCAATCGCCTTTTCTCCAAATCCTTAAACTGCCGATTACCAGCAGGGCTCATGTGGCAGGTTGCACACACAATCTGTGTTGTAATTTGTCCATGGCATGTGTCCTTCCTGCCCACTTGCCTGGACTGTGCACCCCAAAGGCAGGGGAAGCATCTCCTGCCCTTTGTAACTGCAGTCCTTTGTCCCAGTGCTCTCAGGGTGGGCCCTCGGCACAGGCCGTCCGTGTTGAGGATACTAAGGTGTCCTGGTGGGTGCTGCTCATTTGAATTCACATGGTCCGGGCAGGGGGAAGGGTTGCCCGGGAAGAAGGGTGGCCTCTGCAGCACCCCTGGAGTTGCACCCCGAGTGCTGGGAGACAGGCAGCCTGAGAGGTGAAAGCATGTTGTCAACCATGACATGCTGCAGGCACTGGAGGGAGGCCGTGGCTGGGACATCGACCTTGATGGCATTCAGTGCCCTTCAACTTCTACTCTGGAGGACTCTGTGAGCCTCTAGTGCCCGGCACTATACAATGCACTGTGGATAGCACAGGAAAATCTGCCCTCAGAGTGCTCCTGCTCCTGAAGCAGGAGCGAGGTCTTGCACGCTTGCTGAATGGGACAGCCTGGAAAGCAGGCCGTCGTGCCATGTACCAACATCCCAAACGAGCAGTGGACAGACTGGCCAGGAGGCTGCAGAACCACAGGAAAAGGAGACCGAGAGGCTGGGCAAGCCAAAGCACCCTCCCAGGGGAGGAGAAGTCCAGCTGGCCTGGCTGTGAGAGCTTCCCAGGCAAGGGGCTGCAGGGGCAGTGATGGAGATGGGTGGTCAGGGAGGCAACTTCTCCACCGGAGCAGTGAGAGTTGGGAGAAGACAAGATATGGAGGTGGGGAAGGAAGGATTTAAGCAGAGAAGCTGGGTCCTGATGAACTACTAATTGGGAATCCTTATAAGTTCTTGAGTTAGGGAAGTGGCATGTTCAAAGTGAGACTCTGGAAAGTTCCTTGTCAGAAATTCACTGCTCAGAAATTCCTTCATCCCTTGAAGGTAGGAAGAAGCCACCACTAGGCGGGGAAATATTGGGTCTGCATCCCTGTGTCCTCCAGCTGTAGATCTGAGGCTGTTGAAGGGGCCTCTTCTCCGCCTCCTCACCCCGGCCTCTCTAAGAGCTGTAACGTTACTGCCTCCCTCCCACAGCCTCATCCTCTGCTCCATAGCTCTGTGCTGTAACAAGAGGCTAAGCACAGAATTACATGGGCTACCCTTGGCTGGGGGTTTGGGCTGATGGCTGTAGATCTAGTCTGAGACCATAATTTGAACTAAGCATCTCCCACACAGGCTGGGAGCTAACAGGGAGGCAGAGCAGCATTTGTCTTCCAGTGTCTGCACGCTACTGCCTTTTCCACCCAGGCAGGACTAAGTTGAGCTTTAATATGCCCAAATGGCTGATAAGGGGTGGAAGCACTGGGCACCGTTGCAGAGACATCAGATGAGCCCATCAATAGAGCTGCTTTCAGAAGCAAGTACTAGAAAACTCAACTCGGAATGACTTTCACAATAAGGAAATTTTATCTCACATACAGGAAGCCCCAAATTAAGGTGGCACTGAAGTTGGTTCAACTGCTTCCCCCAGGACCTCAGTTTTTCCCACCTTTTCTCTTTGCCCACCCTCAGCATGTTGCTCTTGTCATCAATTAGCTGTCCTCATGGTCCCCAGATGGCTGCCACAGTTCCAGACTTCACATATAGACATGGATGTTTCCCATTCAACGAGAGATCATAGTGCTTTTGTGCTGGTATGCCTCTCTGTCTTTCTGAATCAATGAGAAAATTTCCCTTCATGCCACACTGGCAGGGTTGGGTCTCAGGCCACTTCTGAAGCTAATGGATGGAGAAGAGAAAAGGAATAAAGTCAGCTTTAGCTGGGTTACACCAGTGGTGGGTTCATAGCCAGTGGTGCTCCTCATAAGGTGGTGACCAGGTCTGACAGGCAGTGGGAAGAAAGTGTGTGGTAGGGGAAGAGTGGGGAGGCCTGTGCAGCAGCCAGCACATGACTCAAAAATCAGGCATTCAGTGTAGCCCCAACAAAGCCCCAACACACTTCCCATTCTGACAATTGTGCCAGGTAAAGGGGGTTCTGAGGTGGCTGGGAGGTGAGCTGATGGAGTCCAGCTTTCCCTCTAATCACAAACAATGGGAAAAAAACATTAAACTCAACATTCTGGCTCTACCACCTACTAGCAGTAAGGCTTTGTGGAAGATTATCTAAGCCCTCTGATCTGTTTGCTCATCTCTATATTGGAGATAGTTTTTACCCATCATGCAGAGTTACTGTTAGGATTAGAACAGAAATGTCCAGGCTCCGACTGTTGCTAATGGCAGCTATGGTGGAGGTGATGATGGTGGAGATAGGGGAGGTGGAAATGGTGGTAATGGTGATGATGGGGGAGGTGGTGTTGGTGGTGGCAATGATGGTAATGGTAGAGGTAGTTTGGATGGTGGTAATGGGGATGGTGGTAATGGTGATAGTGGAGATGGTAGAGGTGGTGATGGTGGTGGTGGGGATGGTGATGATGGTGGTGGTGGTAATGGTGGTGGTAATGATGGTGGTGATGATGGTGGTGATGGTGGTGGTAATGGTGGTGGCGGTGGTGATGATGGTGATAGTAGAGGTAGTAGAGATGGTAGTGGTGGTGGCAGTGGAGTGGTGGTGGTGGTGATGGTTGGGATGGTGGTGATAATGATGGTGATGATGGTGGTGGTGGTGGTAATGGTAGCGGTATGATGGTAGTGGTGGTGAGGGTGGTGGTGGTAATGATGGTGGTGATGATGGTAGTGATGGTGGTAATGGTGGTGGCAGTGGTGATGATAGTGATAGTAGAGGTAGTAGTAGGGATGGTGGTAATGGTGATAGTGGGGATGGTAGTGGTGGTGGTGGTGGGGATGGTGGGATAATGACGGCGATGGTGATGGTGGTGGTGGTGGTGGTTGTGATGGTGGGGATGGTGATGATAATGATGGTGATGGTGGTGGTGGTAATGATAGTGGTAATGATGGTGGTGGTGGTGGTGGTGGTTGTGGTGATGGTGGGGATGGTGATGATAATGATGATGGTGGTGGTAATGATGGTGGTGGTGGTGATGGTGGTCATGGTAGTCATGGTGGTGGTGGTGATGGCGGAAGGAGGTGATGTTGGAGGTGGACATGGCAGGCAGATGGGGATTGAGAAGTCCAGAGCAGGGTGGCCACTGAGCTGCATCGTGGAGGAGTAGGAGTTCTTGGAAGTGGAGAAAGTGGCAGGGATGGGAAGGGCATGAAGAAGAAAGCTGCCGGAAACAGCCTGCCTGGTTTGGGTGTGGTGAGCCTTTGGTGTGGCTGGAGCACAGAATGTGGCTGGGGAACGGGGAGGGTCAGACTGTGACAGACCTTGAACCATGCTAAGGAGGCTAGATCCCATTTAAGGGCAGAAGGGAGCCATTGAAGGCTTTCGAGCAGTAAAACTCCCTAGGTGTCAATGAGCCTGGTTAGGAAGCTCTTTTAATATCCAAACAACCCATGATGGGGGCCTGAGTGGGGAGAGGCCATGGGGTGAGGCAGAAAGACAGGATCCTGTTCCCTGGGCCAGGTGTTGGTCTAACTCCTGAAAGAAGGTGGGCAGTTAGTAGAGAGTTTTAAGGCCACTGCTGCACTTTTTCCCCATTTGGGAAATTACATGCTAGCCCACAGGTCACTAAGCAAATGCCCATTGTCCCCAGGAGTAATTCAGCCCTGATTGGTAATATCTGTCACCCTCTCCACTCCATTGCCCCCAAAGAAGAGGTAATCACCATGAGCACAGTGAGCTCCTTGGAGAGTTTGGGGCTGTGGCCACGCTCTGACACACAGCTGCCCAATGACAGAACAAGTAGCCTTATGAGGACCTGACAGCCCTGGGATAGAGGAGGTCAGTGGAGAAGGGGCTTCTGCCCTGGGCAGGTGGCTGGCCTGGGTGGCATTTGGGCTTCCTCTCAACTCCAAGAGGGTGACACAGGCAGCATTGTGGCAAAGGTTGATCATGCCCTCTGTACTGTTCAAACGCTGGACACCAGGCAAATCAAATGCCCCATGCCTGCCCTGTAGGTTGCAGTTGGAAAAACGTGGGCCATAAGGAGGCCACTGGGGTGTGCAAATCTACCGCATTGGCTTCTCATCCCCAGACCTGCCTGTGAGAGGTCAGCACAGGCACATGTCTTGGCTGGGGCAGTGGAAGTGAAGAGCCCAAGAGGCGTGCACAGGGCTAGTGTCAGACAACGAGGCAGCTTTCAGCACCCTGGATCTGAGCACCCACACCCACGTGCTGGGGCAGGGAGGCAAGTCAGGCCCACACCCATGTGCTGGGGCAGGGAGGAAAGCATACTCGCAAGAAACTGATAGGCAACTAAGCCATTTCAACTTAACATCCTGGGCAACTACAGAGAAAGAGATAAGTTTGAGAAGGGTTTTTTTTTTTTTAATTGAGCTACTGTAAAAGCAATGAAACTAGCATACTTTTTAATTCACCCAGCCTCAATTGCTGCTTGCCCTCAATAAATAGGTGCATTGTTCTCTTCAAGGCTGCTTTGCTGTTAGGCTATTAGTGGTTTTCCCTGTCCTTCTGCTTTACAAGAATGTCCTGAGTGTAAGCCCAGACCGTTCGGAGCAGCAGGCACCTTCTAGCAGAGGCTGCTGCAGAAGACCCCCGGCAGGACCTGCCCTCAGGATTGTGAAATCACAGCATTGCCCCACCTCCCTGCCCAGCCCTTCTTCCCAGTCTAGGCTCACCCTGCGCATCTGTCCGCTGGCCCACTACAAAAGGCTGTGCTGTCAAACATTTAAGATCCAAAAGAATGCTTCTTTTTTTATTGTGGTAAAATATATATAACACAATTTACCATTCTAACCATTTTTAAGTGTGAAATTCAGTGGCATTAATCACACCCACAATGTTGTGCAACCATCACCACCATTTCCGAAGTTTTTCATCTCCACAAACAGGAACTCTGTACCTGTTAAGCAGTAATTCCCATTGCTCCTTCCCCCAGCCCCTCGTAACCCGTAATCTACTGTGTGTCTCTGTGAATTTGCCTACTCTAGATCTTTCATGTAAGTGGGATCATACGGTATTTGTCCTACTGTGTCTGGCTTCTTTTGCTTAGCACAGTGTTTTCACGGCTCGTCCATGCTGTAGCATGTGTGGGAATGTGTAGGCACCACATTTTGTTTATCCATTTCTGTCAGTGGAAGGAAGGCTTCTTCATGGCTGAATCTCAGGCATAGGTGGAGATCCCAGGAGGAGGAGGCCTTCAGTGTGGGAGGCCTGCTGCCCACCCCTCCAGCCATACCTGGCAAGCAGGCTTTTACCTGCCCAGCAGCTCCTGTTGGGCACAGTAACCCAGGGGTTTCAGACAGTCCATGGATAGAGACGGCCGTGCTTCAGCAGAAGGAATGTCAGACCAGCCATGGAGAAACTCTCATGCCCCTCACATAGGCAAGACATGTGTCCTTGAATCAGCCCCCTCACCTCCATATCCCAAGGAGTTTGGGATGGGTGTCCTGGTTTTTCTCCCAGCCTCTTACATTCTCCAACTCATCGATGCGCTGAGAGGGCAATGCGGCAAGTGGAGCAAAGTGCTGCAACTCTCAGGAAGTATTTGTGGCGTGCTGGATGAATACATGGGAGAAGAATGAGGTAGTGAGAGCTAAGAGGTTGTGCATCCTTCATCTCTCAGACAGAGAATAGGCAGGAAATGCATGTAGAGGTCGGGCTGATGAGTATTCAAGTTCTGAAACAACCTGAGATACAGCGTGCTGCTTGAGGTGTTATTATTGTGTTGATTGTCTTTTGCACCTTGTACTGAGATGGAATTGCATAACTGGGCTTCTCATCAATTCTGTTTGGTGGAGAATTCTTGCTGGCTTCCATAAGTACATTTACATAAATCTAGGTGGGCACACACAAGCTGTCTTGGTATGAGTTCTCACACCCTGGGTCTGTCACCTAGTGGATGTAGCCACACAGTGTTCAGCACAGGTGGGTGAGCATCCCCCAGCTCTACTGTGCACATGGGAGTAGACACTTCAGTCAGTCTCTCCAGACTGTCCTGGTCCCAAGAGATCTACCCTGGCATGGCTTCTGCTCACAAGGAGTCTGTGTTCCTCTAAAGCACAAATATTAATAATCTCATTAATGGAGGGTGTTTTGTTATAAAGTCTCTTTGTATTCATGGTGATCCTCAGAACAACAAGGAGAGGAAGTGAAGAAGAGGAGCTCTTTATTCCGTCCCATGTCCTAAAATCTCACTGTGCCTTTGGCAGAAATGCACACAAACCAGGGCCTGGCGGTCTCCCTCGCCATAGCATCTTGGAGGGACTTTGGAAGTTAGCTACCGCTTTGGAAGTGGTATTCAAAGTTCCAAGAAAAACGAAAAAAACACTGATCCCTCTTTTCAAATCTTATGCAGAACCTGGCACATAAAGCCAGTAAAATTCTTCCGGACTGGTCAGTAATAGGTAGCTGCTGCTGCTTTTTGTGTGTATTCTCTGTCCACACTCTGTCATATTGGCTCCCTGGACCCTCTTCAACTGTGTTAGGACCCTTCGACACTCAGCATGTGGGATTATGGCATTGCTCTGGTTCAAGAGGGGATGGGGAGTCAAAGCCTCCTTACTTAGCCTTCCTCTTGCCTGCACCTGTCCCGAAGCCCTCTGTGGAGGCCTAGAGCTCTTTGCAGCACTGTAATTTTCTTACGTCCTTTTGCACATGAGAAAATAGACCCAGAGAAGTAGAGTGACTTGTCCAAGGATGTGCAGCCAGTTGGTGCCAGAATCAAAATTATTACCATCATTCAAAGACTTCTCATCAGTAAAGACTCATCATTATTATTCTCATTCTTGAGTCTTTGTCCTCAAGAAGCTTATAATGTAGTTGAAAAGAGTGGTAATATATACGTGAGAAGATAAATTGGAAAACTAGGATAGCCTGTACACATCAGTGTCTAATTAGCTCCACAAGTGTTTAGAAGCCATCATGATTCCTGGAACTGGGGCTCTCTCTCCACTGACCTCTTCTAAATATTTCAGACATGAGTGTGGCCATGGACCCCCCAGTTGCCAGTAGGAGATCTAAGAAATGAACAGGGAGAGAAGGAAGAAAGGGAGAAGAAGATGGAAATAGGAAGCAATAAAGGAAAAATGGAATTGAAGAGAAAGTGGTAGAAAGGAAGAAGACAGGAGCTATCTGTGGGCAAGGTCATCAGCCTGCCTCAAGGCTGGCAGGGATCCACCCACTGTCAGAGGAGCAGGGTCCTCCAGGAGCACCGGGGAATCCCTTCCAGCCTGTATTGGGCCGTTGTTGCAGTGCTATAAAGAACTGCCTGAGACTGGGTAATGTATAAGAAAAGAGGTTTAATTGGCTCATGGTTCTGTGGGCTGTACAGGAAGCATAGTGCCATCTGCTTCTGGGGAGGCCTCAGGAGGCTTCCAATCATGGCAGAAGGCAAAGGGGGAGCAGGCACATCACATGATGAGAACAGAGCAAGAGAGAGAATGGAGCAGGGAGGTGCCACACATTTTTAAATGATCAGATCTTACAGGAATGCAGAGAGCTCACTTATCTCCAAGGGGATGGGCTAAGCCTTTCATGAGGGATCCATCCTCATCACCCAAACACCTCCAACCCTAGGGATTACAATTGAACATGAGATCTAGGTGAAGTTATGCTCAAACGATATTCTGCTCTTGCCTTCTCCCAAATCTCATGTCCTCATGTTGCAAAATACAATCATCCCTTCTCCATGGTCCCCCCAAAGTCTTAAGTCATTCAGCATTAACTCAAAAGTCCAAAGACTCATCTGAAGTAGCAGGGCTGGAGGGCCCGGTAGGAGCAAGATGGAAGGCAAATCCCTTCCACCTATGGGCCTGTAAAATCAAAAGCAAGTTAGTTACTTACAAGATACAATGGGAATATAGGCATTGGGTAAACTTTCCTGTTCCAAAAGGGAGAAATTGGTCAAAAGAAAGGGGTCACAGTCCCCAGGCAAGTTCAAAACCCAGTAGGGCAGTCATTAAAGAGCCAGAATGATCTGCTATGATTCCGTGTCCCACATCCAGGGCACACTGGTGTGAGGGGTGGGCTCCCAAGGCCTTGGGTATGGCCCATTTGCAGCTTTGAAAGTCTGGGTGTTTCCATGCTATTGGTCTGGGGTTCATTCTCTCTTCTGCAGTTGTTCGTACCTCCTCTACACTATCCAACCTTAACACTGAACAGTAGGAATGGGAGTCTTCATCTGTTCCACTTGGCTTCCAAAGCTTCCCGTTTCCCAAGATCACCAAAAGGGCCAGTTTGCATGCTGAATATTTGGTGCCTTCTCAATGAGCTCTGTGACCACCCAGGATTTAGGAGGGCACACAGGCCTCTGGCTTCAGAGTTCAGGCATGAAGAGGGCCACGGAACTGTATATTCAAGGAACCAGAGGCACGTGGGGCATCTATGAGAACAGTCTTTGACCAACTTTTTCTTTTCTTCACTCCATTCATACTCGCCCTTAGATGTTTCTATGACAGCACAACGTATGTTTTGAAGGAATTAACCAAGCTGTCTTGCTTGTTTTTGTTTTTTGTTGTTTTTTTTAAAGTAATTCTAGAAGGGCAGTCATGCCTCTAAGGTCAGAGTGAATAACACTGCTTCTTGCAACATTTAGTCAGCACACGCACACACACAGTGCACACAAATGCTACACAGTGACCGTGTCCCAGACGTTTCAACAATAGGCAGCTGTCTTTCTCTGGATTCCTGTTCAGACCCGCTCTTACTGGCTCTCTGGGCCCTTCCAGTTCTATCTCAGACCCTTAAACAATCAGGCATGAGGATTGTGAAACCAGCCATGTCTCTGGGGATAAGTGGTACCAGTGAACTGCGTTTCTCCAGTACCCCGGCAGGTGAGATGTGATGAACAGACCTTTGGCTTGAAGGTCAGAAAGTCTGGTTTCCTGTCCTCTGTGCATTTCTCCCTGGCTTGAGTATCTTGTCAGAATCCTAATTTTTCAGGTGAGGAGGTTAATTAGATAACCTTTAAGTTTCTTTCTCTCCCAGACTTCATGATTTTAAGAGAGGTCCTGTAACTTCTGCTGGAGATAAATTCGCATAAT
This sequence comes from Homo sapiens, assembly GCF_000001405.40. Lineage (NCBI taxonomy): Eukaryota > Metazoa > Chordata > Mammalia > Primates > Hominidae > Homo > Homo sapiens. The sequence continues at coordinate 792,518 of NW_018654718.1, forward strand.
GTGAAGGGACTTTCTTGGGGATGAGGTTTCTGATGGGATGCACATGCTAATGGGGGTTTGTAGTGGCTGTTCCGTACTGATTTGGAGCCCAGCCTCTGCCCTTTTCTCTTTAGTCTGCACACTCTCCTCGTTCAGCCGTCTCCTGCAAGATGAACTCTGCTCTGGGCCCCACCTCTGTAGGTCTGATCCCCAATATCTCCACTTCAGCAAGTTCATAACTGATGTCTCTACCTTCCTCCAAAACCCCTCTTCCTCTTCTTGAAGTCCCCTGCTGCAGTGAGAGGCATCACCATCCACACAGTCACCCAAATTAGAAACCTCAGGGAGGGGGCATTGCACATCTCTGCACTGCCTCTTCCCTCAACCCCTACGTACAACCAGAAAACAAAGCACATGCTTTCTCCTCTCAAATCCACCTACATCTCACCAATCCCACTATCTCTACTTTGGCTCCCGCCTCCATGATCTCTGCATGGGTCACTCCCCTGCCCTTAACCCTATCACTCATTCTCCAGCCAGTGCCAGATTGCAGGGCGTATCTCACCAGGTCATTCCCATTCTCCTCAGAATGGAATCCAAGCATCCAGGCATAGCCACAAAGTTCCTGGTCATCTTGCTCCTGCCGGGCCCTCCAGCCCTGCTACTTCAACACCCTCACTCCAGCCAAATCAAATGTTTGCATAGCAGAGCTGTCCATACTTCCCATCTTCTTAGTTCACTCTCCACCTGCAATGCCTGACCCCCTCCACATTCCCTACTCCCTACCCCCAGCACCTAACCTTCTTCACCTGGACAACTCTTCATCCTTCGAGATTCAGCTTGAAGATTCTTACTTTGGGAAGTCCATCCATAGCCAGCTGTGCTTGCCTCCGGAATGCCATGCCATGTCCTAATTGTATTGGAATCATCTGTCCATTTGCCCTGCATTGTACCAGTACATCCTTGAGGTCTGTTTCTGAGACTTTTTCCTCAAGTCTCCAGCACCCAACACTTACATAAACATGTTTGTGAATGCTTGAGTTAATGTTGGATTGAATGATCACTGTCAGGTGGGACAGGTCCCTCTGGGTCTCCACATGTTCTATGCCAGGATGCAGGACAAATGTTACATGGCATGGATCGCAGGATAGGCTTTTTTTGGGAAAATTTGCCAAGGCCAAAGGTCAACAAGAGAAGTCACATCCCCCAACCCTTCCATCTCAAAAAGAGATATGCCAGGTCCAGGATGCTGCTGGCCCTGCAGTAAACCTGTACCCAAGTGGAGGGCCCTCACCACACCCCGCGACCCATGGCTCTCTCTTTTTATAGGGCAATTAAGCAAGAGAAAGCAGCCTGTCAATGAGGAAATAAGCAGACTGCTTGGTACCAGGCAGTCTGGACTAGGGGTGCCAGCTGCTTATAGGAGTTGTCTGGGAATGCCAGTTTCCCAGCATATAGGGCCCTCAGAGCCTTCAGGATATTGCTGCTCTCTCTGCCAGAGGGAGGAGTGGTTCTGTGCTTGAGTGCTACCTCTTCTGGAGGGCTCATTATCTAGACAACCCAGAGGGAGATACAGGGTCACTTTTTGACAATGCAACTAGTTGTGCCACACTGATCATGAATGACTAAGGGGACAGATGGGTGGATGGATGGGTGGGTAAGTGGGTGGATGGTGGGTGAGTGGATGAGTAGATGGATGATCAGATAGAAGAATGAGTGAGTGGGTGAACGAATGAATGGGTAGATGGATAGATGGATGGATAAATGTATAGGTAGGTAGGTGGATGGATGGATGGATGGATATATGTAGGTGGGTGGGTGGATGGATGGATGGATGGATGGATGGATGGATGGGTAGGTGGGTGGATAGATGGATAGCTGAATAAATGGATAGGTGGGTGGATGGATGGATGGGTGAGTGGGTGGATGTATAGATGGGTGGTTGGATGGTGGGTGGGTATATATATGTATGTATGTGTGTGGGTGGGTGGATGGATGGATGGATGGATGGGTGGATGGATAGGTGGGTGGGTGGATGGATGAGTGGGTGGTTGGATGGATAGAAGAATGGGTGAGTGGGTGGGTGGGTGGGTGGACTGACGGATGGGTGCGTCAGTGGGTGGATGGATGGATGGATGGACAGGTAGGTGAATGGGTAGATGAATGGATGAGTGGGTGGTGCATAGGTGGGTGAATGGATGGATGGATGAATGGGTGGGTGGCTGGCTGGATAGGTGGTGAGTGGGTGGGTAGGTGGATAGATGAATGGATGGGTGATGGGTAGAAAGATAGATGAATGGATGGGTGAATGGGTGGATAGATGGATTGATGGGTGGATGGACAGGTGGGTGAATGGATGGATGAATGGATGAGTAGTGAGTGGGTGGGTGGGTGAATGGATGAATGGATGGGTGAGTGCATGAAAAGATGGATGAATAGATGGGTGAATGGGTACATGGATGGATGAATGGATGAATTGGTGGGTGGGTGGATGGATGGATGGGTGGGCAGGTGATGGTGAATGGAAGTGTGAAAGCAACTAGCACATATGAAAGCACCTGACACCTAATGGATACCCAACTTGTGTGTTTCCCTTTCCTGTGCTTTCTTTCCCATCTCAGCTTCACCTTTCTGGGAATATAGAAAGAGGTGACCCTGTCATCTAGTGGCAGACATGAAAGCTCTGAACCATCATGGGTTGGGGATAAGGAGATGGGCTAAGGGGCTGTGTGACAGCTCCACTATTCCCACTCCCACAAACATCCTCAGGTTCCCCTGTGCTGTGTTGTCTCATGTTTTCTTCTTCAACATTGCCCTGATGTACATTTTAACCCAACATCACCTGACTTTAAAAGATTGGAGCTTCCCACGTCCTGTGATTTGTTTGTGGTTCACAACCCCAAGGCAGCTGCCTCCCTAAACCAATTTTATGGCACAAAAATGGGCAGGAAGGGAAGGACGAATCTGCCTCTGAGATGCTGATGAAATCTGACCCCTGCACTCCTTTCCCACGCCGCGGCGTGATCTGGGCCTTCATCCACACGTGAGCTGGTGGTTCTTCCGGGTACCTCAGAAACACCTGGAAATTGTCTACGATGCACATTTCCAAGCTTCATAGCCAGATGATCTGTTTCAGTAGGTCTGGGTAGGGCCCAGAATTCTACAGTTTTTAATTTTGCATCCTCAAACTGCTTCACAGTGAGGCTGGCACTCCCTACATGCCCAGGGGATTGTGATGGAATGAATGGGAGCCCAGGGTACTGATATGGCCTGATGGCTCCCTGCAGAGCTTCCCATCTGGCCCTGCTCCCGATGGCCCTGCCTTGGAGGAACCTTCCAGCTGGCTAGGCAGGAGGAGGTGGGCCTTTGTGGGCAACATCCCTCCTCCAGAATGTGGGTGAGCCTGGAACACCCCCTCACCACTGCTCCCACATGCACACACCAGAGCTCCCTCTGACTCGCAGAGGAGGGGAAAATGGGTCTAGGGGTTCTGAGCCGAGTGCCCACTTGGGGCTGTGGACAGGCCCGCCGCACTCTGGAGGGCCTATGCCCGAATGCAATGTGGATGGGTGTTTCGTGGCTCCAGTGAGGGATGGCTGAGGCTTCTGCAGAGGCGAGCAGTGGAGCATGAAGGCATCCAGGCAGCCTTTGCCTGGTGGGGGCCATTAAGGCTCTGCACTTGGGATGGGGGTGTGGGAGAAAGCAATTAGTGGCGAGGGACGTGCATGAATCAGCACAGAGTCGGCTGGCTCTAATTGAGCCAACAAGTTTGTCCTGTTCGCTCTGGGCTCCCAGGGATGGGAGCTGCATCCTTAAATGCAAAGCCCTTCTTCAAGGTGGCAGGGGAGGAAGAAGATTGTCTTCTGCCCCTTGAGGAAAGAGAGGGGCTCTTTCCATTCTCCACTCCCACCCAGTGCCTGCCTCCATCCGCAAAGTGCTGATTTTCTCTGCTGAAATGTTCGACGTCTTTGGACAGAAGGTTTTATTTTCTCAAGAAAGAGATTTCACATTTCTGGATCGGTGTATGTGAGCAGGTTGCCTCTGTCTGGGCTGCTCTTAAGGGATCTTCACCGTCTCCATTTCTTTGTGGCTGCATTTTTGCTCTGTCTTTTGGAGGAACTCGGCTAGTACCCTCCCCAAGACCAAGTCTGCTGTCTTCAGGGCTTGTTCCTGCAGAATCGGAGCGCGGTTTTCCAGGAGCTGTGCTTTATCCCCTTCTCTTTTGGCCCTGACATTGTTTCCCTTTAGATGGAGACACTATGAATTCTCTTCTGGGAGAGCACAATAAAATGTCAACTGATTAACTAAATAAAATGTTTCAAAAAATATGAAATTTTTCCACTAGTCTAATATTTACATGTTCATGGGGGAACTTTGATGCAGAAAAAAAAAAATCCTGTAATCCCCAGTAGCTTGGTGCTGTCGCGGTAGAGCAGGTCGTGGAGTTGCTAATTTGGCCTGGGTGTCCCCACTTGGTTCCACCACAGAGGGGGCAGCATTATCTTCCACCTACTTGTGAGATCTACTGGTTCCAAACTTTCCAAATCCCCAAACCAATGACTTATTTTTCTCTCTTTTCTATTTCTGTTTCCTAGGAACGAGTGGAATATCTCTTTCTCATAATTTTTACGGTGGAAGCGTTTTTAAAAGTAATCGCCTATGGACTCCTCTTTCACCCCAATGCCTACCTCCGCAACGGCTGGAACCTACTAGATTTTATAATTGTGGTTGTGGGGTAAGTATCACTGTCTGTTTCTTTCCCTTTATCTTACCAGTGTTGCGGGACTTTTCCTTAAGTCAGCTGAAGACAGGGTCGTTGTCAGACGGCCACAAAGATTTAGGCTCGCAGATGATCTAGAGTGAGAAAAATGAGATTTATTTTGCTAAAAGGAACAGAAAGGGAAAGAGAGACTCAGCAAAGTGAGAGAGTGCGCTTCCTGCCCATGGGCTTCCCGCCTCGCAGGTTGAATCCAAGGTTCTACCCAGGAAAAGGAGGGGTCAGGCTTCTCCCTGCTGCAGTTGGTGGCGTGAACTTCCGTGGTTCCACCCTAGTGTGCACTCCTCCCAGTGCGCAGGCTGGCTGGAGTTTCTCTGGGGACCCCTCCCCACCTGGCTGTCTCACCAGTACATCCCTCTTCTTCCTTCTGTGTTATCTCTTTTCAATTTGGTCCTAACTATGCTGGGCTTCAGGCAAGAAGAAAGGATCTGTGAAAATCACTTTGAATTCAGACTTCCCCAGAGGGACAGGGGCTATGACCCAAGAGCACCCCTCTCCACCACTCCCACACAGCATGCACACACGGTTGGACCTGAGTGCTCCTGATGGAACCCAGGCTGCTCTGTGCTGCTGTAGGATATCCCCCTGCTTAAGGACTTTCGTTTCATCTCAGACCACATCTGGCCCCGCAGTTCCTCTGATAGTTTCCCTGCTGTATCACTGAGCACATTTGGGGCAGCTCGTCCGTGAGCATGCAGTCTGCAGGTGTGGGGTGAGGGTGGGGCGCACACAGGCTGTGCCTGTGCTCTGGACTTGTACAGAGGCCTCTTCCCCATTCTCACTCTACAGGGGGCCTGGTTCTGTGGCCCCAGAAAACCAGACTGCTCAAGACAGGTGGATGAGAAGGAAACAGGGAACTATGAAAGGCGAAGATGACAGGTAACCAAACCCCAATCAAATGCAGCTTCCCCCAGACACCCTGCTCCACTGTAGCATAAGATAAGGTAGAGTCAGTCTAGGCTTTCAAAACAGCAATGCAAAGAATCTTAAATAAAATGTAGAAGAGATCTCCTTATAAATAAGTTATTAACCTCACAAAAAGAATCTCCATAAAATATTTGTACCTAACAGGCCTACCTACACTGGTGAAGTGTAAGTTATTAAAATGCAGGTGAGGTCAGGCGCGGTGGCTCACACCTGTAATCCCAGCACTTTGGGAGGCCAAGGCGGGCGGATCACGAGGTCAGGAGATCGAGACCATCCTGGCTAACACGGTGAAACCCCGTCTCTACTAAAAATACAAAAACTTAGCCGGGCGAGGTGGCGGGCGCCTGTAGTCCCAGCTACTCGGGAGGCTGAGGCAGGAGAATGGCGTGAACCCGGGAGGCGGAGCTTACAGTGAGCCGAGATCATGCCACTGCACTCCAGCCTGGGCAACAGAGCGAGACTCCATCTCAAAAAAAAAAAAAAAAAAAAAAAAACGCAGGTGATGAAGTTCCATCAACACATCTGTCTTGTAATAGGAGGGAGCCCATTGCAGCAGATTTTACCTTGAGAAGAAGCCGGTTCCTTTGGGCTAATCCCTTGTTACTCTGAGCCCAGTGAGTGCTCAAGTGGCTGCCACCTTGGACTCTCCCTCTCTTGAAGTCCTGGCAGTCTGCAGAGTCAAGGTCAGAATGTCAGGAGCTCTTTATCCCAGAGGCCTATTTTTGGAGGATCCTTTTGTGCCATCCCGGAGGAGACACAGCCATTGTGGACGTCTCCAGAGCACCCGCCGTTCACCATCTTGTGAGAGTGCCTGGTCTTTACTGCAGGAAATGACGCAGGAGGACGTCGAGATCATTTGCAAGTTATTTCCTTGTCTCTGGCCATCTGGATGGCTCATAAGGTTGCTTGGAACCACGTTAGGGTTTTTGTTGTTGTTGTTGTTGCCTTATTTTGCCTGGCCAATGAATGACGCACTTTGGCCACATGAACCTCAGGAATATTTGGGTGATACGAGGTGCACTAAGGTTATTAGCATCATTAGCCAGGTCTAGCTCTGGCTCATAGCACTCGGGGTGTGCATGCAGCTATAGGAGAGATTTTGCTGCTTCTGCTCATGCCAGAATAAACAAAGAGTGGCTAAACGCATGCCTTGAATGACTCAGTAAACCATAGCAAAAGTCCTTAAGGTGGGTTGTTCCAAATGCCCCTAAATCCTTTTTAGAATTTGGCATCTTTCTCAAGGCCTCAGTCTCCTGGGAGTCTTTTGCACATGCATAGAAAAGAGCCTTGGGAATGATGAGAGCAGATGCTTCTGGGACCAGTGGAGGGATGAGGGTGACTTGCAGGGACGAATTTTGTTTAGGCAAAATTTTGGAATTTTGAAGTGAGTTGGAGTTGATTATATGTGCTTTGCCCCATATGTGGTCTTAATGAAATCATGAGTCGGGGGAGCAGAGACAAGAAATACAGGGTGAGTAGGCACCGAACAGGAGCCCTGGGAGGGAGGGGCCCTGCCTGGGTTGACAGGGAGGCAGTGCAGTGGTGCATCTCTGGCCCACACCTGGTGCCTCACCTGCGGTCTGTCTGGACCCGCTTCATCCCTTAGACTCCTCCACACAACCACAAGGGGCCAGGCTTTTTCTGGGGTCAGCCCAGATTCCAGTCACATCTCCCTAGGGCCTAGGCCATGAGGCTGGTGAAGAGAGGGAGGCATCCAGTTGTGTGCTCCTGTTTCTAAGCCACAGAGGTTAAGATGCCAGCAGTTGCCCAGCTCGTGGTTGGTCTTGCACTGGGACATATTTGGCACCTAGTCTCTCTTCTCCTAAGGGCTCTTCATCCTGTCTAAATCAGCCCATTCTTGTAACAATCCCCCATCGCTGCAGGGTGCAGCTTACCACCTCTCTTCAGCTCATCTCCTTTTTCTGCTTCCTTTGCAATATTAAATGGGTAGCCCTTTGCTTCCCTGTGTCTCTTGGAAAATATCTGCTATCCTTGGCCCCTCTTCTGTAGCTGTAGGGGAAGGTTTCTCCTGGCCTCCCACAAAGCTGGGGGAGCCTAACTCACCCTAGAGAAAGGTGGACCTGCCTGCCTACTGCCTGAGTGCCAGGCTGAGAGCCTCATCTCTGCATTGCTATTCTGGTGGCACAAGACACGTGGCATTTCTTTCCTTCCTAAAGCAGAGGCCTCTTGGTGGTGGGATTGCTGAATAAACACAGAGGGACTGTGGCGGCCTCAGATCCACGTGCCCCTACCGAGGGACCGTGGAATCCTCAGTGGATCCTCAGGAGGTTCCACGCCAGCCAGTGAGGCTTTGTTGCATCCCTACCTCCCTAGCAGGGTGGAGGCCCTGCCTTTCCCATTCTCTGGGCCTCACGATCATTCCACAGCCTCACGGTCCTTTTCTTCTAAAAGCTCCACTGCCGGACTACAGATCTGCCAGACACAGCTCCCAGAGCAGTCCTTCGGCCAGGCGTCCACACCAGAGCCCAACCCTCAGGGACCAGTGGGCACCAAGCAGTGGTTTTGCCTTTAGAATGTCTCATTGAGGAGAAATACACCAGCCACTCCTACACCCATGTTTGAATTTTCTACCCTTTCAGAATTAAAAGCGGATACTTAATAAAGAGTCTCAACTTGAGGCAGGAGTTAAAGGCAAGTTGTCTAATCTCCACTCCCTTCACCGAATAGTATTTTGTGAACCTCTTTTACTCCGATCAGCATATTACTTTCCTGCAGGAAATACTGGGAACAAAATCTGGTTTGCATTTGGAATGTTGTTTGACAAATTTGCAAACTGGTCTCCATTTCCTCAGGTTTCAGTGATCTAGGCTTCAGTGGAAAGAACATTTCCCTTGTGGAGAAAGAAGCCCACTCCCCCATCCTGGCAACTTCTGCCTGGGATTCAAGGCCTCACCAGCTAACATAGGAAGCCATCAAGTTGCCAGGCTGAGAGACACTGCAGATACGGCCTGGACAGGGTTCTCAAACTTCGTTCGGCTGCAGAACCCACTGTTGAGAGTCTCGCTCAGAGGTCCAAGACACAGACCAGATAGAAGGGAAGCTCCTCTGGACTAGAGGAGCCAGAACGCCAGTCACGCAGCCAGTCTGTGCCTGGGGGCCTCCATGGAGCGTTTCTAGACCAATCCCCTCATCGCTCAGCCCTGCCTGGCCCTGAACTTCTGCTAATGCATCTGGCTAATCCCCCAGCTGCAGCTTCCCATTTCTAGATCCAGATACCTGGGGCATAAGTCACTTAAGAGCTCAAGCCTATTGCTCCTGAATGAAAGCTGTCCTGGTTCATAGTTTAGATCTGATATGGAGACCCACTCCTAATACCTGGGCTCCCTCCTTGATCCCACGCCCCTCTGTTGAAGAAACACGACCCAGCGTGTAGTGCACTCTGTGGCAATGAATCTGTAGCATCCTCTCTGGGTATAAAGGACAGAAATCACCCTGCACGCCCTTTTCCCTATTTTTCTTGGTTGCCACGAAAAGCCCAAAATTATTGAGTCATCCCTCATCACCCGGACTCCTGTTCCCATGGGGCTTTGTGCATCCTCTGATCTAATCCCTCCTTTCTCACCACCCCGCTGCAGAAACCTTCCCACTGTGCCCTCCCATCCCCATAGTCCCTCGCCTGTTCAGGGTCAGCCAACTTTTCTGTAAGGGCCGGATGCTGGTTTTCATCTTTGCAAGCCATGCAGTCTCTGTTCCAGCTACTCCACCCTGCCCAGCAGCAGGACAAGAGTGGCATCTCCATGAGTGGGTGTAACTGAATTCCAACAAAACTTTGCAAAACAGGTGGCCCAGTTCTCAGCTTCCTTTCTGGTCACTTCCTGATTCTCCCTGAGGGTGCAGCTTTCTCTGCTGTCTCTCAGCAGGCAGCCACTTCCTCTCCCAGAAGCCTCCTTCCACTGCACCAGGTTGCCAGGTCTAAGGGGGCCCTGCCAGCTCCTGATTTCTGCTCCACTGCACCCCCACCTCCCTGGAGCCCTCCAGTTTTGACATTTGTGTCATCAGATCCTCTATGCCTTACTTCTCTTTACTGCAGCCTTCTGCAGACCTTTGAGTCACCCCTCCTTGTGCCTTGAGGACAAGGGCTCTTGGTTCGCTCTACTTCACTCCGACACTCACTTCTCCACCTTCCTGCAGTAGCTTCTTGGTTCTTGGATATCTGGCTTCTGGGGAACCTATCTCAGTAGTCCCAATCCCATGGCTATAGCCAATATCCCTGTCACCACTGATTAACACCTCCCCCATAATCCCAAATCTAACATCCTACCCTCTAACCAGCACCACCGTCTTTCCGGTCCCCTCCCTCTCTCACCCTGACTCCCACGATCCCTTCGTCCCACCGCACTCTTCATCCCTGCCACCATGTCCACCCTCCTTCCAGCCAGCTCAGACGCCATGTGCCACTGCTGCCCTCACTCACTTGCATTTATGCTCAGCATTCTTAGTCTTCTGTCTGTTTATCTTGCACACCTGGAAAAACACCAACCCTAATCAAGTCCAACCAGAGATCTGCTTGGTACCTGGAAAGGGTCAAGAAATCTGCAAAGTTGAGCAGACTCTCACTTTACACTCATGACCTCCAACCTCAAGGAGGCCCTCGGTGACACCTGAGGGCCCTCCTGCTTTGTCCGCACTCCATTCACCCTTCTGCTTTCTGAGCTAATTCTTTCAGCACCCGTGCCTCTCTCGTCACACTTCCCGTCTCCTTCCCCTTTCACGTTTTCAGCTGATGGCCTCGTTCCCCAGTTCCCTTAGAAAGATGCAATCAGAAGAAACTTTCATGTATTCCCACAACCACGCGTCTATGCTGACAATGCGCCTTCTCACTGAACCACGACCCACGGCGCTGCCCCTGCACAGGTGGACGCCCTTCGCATGCACCCATCCCCTTCTTGCCAGTGAAGGAGCTCCGTCCCACACGGCCCTGCCCCTGCACGGGTGGCACCCTTTCTGTGCACCCATCCCCTTCTTGCCAGTGAAGGAGCTCCGTCCTTCCAGCAATGGTTCCCTCTCGCTTCTATGTCATCACATTTTCTGCCTCTGTTAGATGATTCCCATCACATAGAAAACTGCTGTCATATCTCCCATTCAGAAACAAAACCCTCTTGACTCCACGCCCACTTCTAGTAACCCCCTTTTTTTCTCTGCTCATTTAGAGCAAAATTTCCCAAAAGACTTGTCTATACGGTAGCCACACGTGGCCATTCAGCACTTGAAATGTGGCTAATCTGCATTGCAATAATAATAATTATAAGTATAAAACATACAGCATATTTCAAAGATTTAGTACAAAACAAGGAATGACAAATGTCTCATGAATGATTTTTTATATTTATTACATGTTGAGATGATAATATTTTGGCTATGTCGGGTGAAATAAAATCTATGATCACTGTTAATTTCACCTGTTTTTACTTTTTAATGTGGCTCCTAGCAAAGGTAAATTACACATGCAGCCCACACTTGTGGCTTGCATCAGATTTCTGTTGGCCAGGGCTGTCTATCCTCACGGCCTCCCACTCCTCCCATGCTCTCTTGAACCTATGTCTGCTGGGTGTTTGTCCACATCACTCCACCAACACAGATGCCTTCAAGGTCTGGATGGTCTTGGTGTTGCTAAACCCAGCGGTCGGTGTCCAGCCATGTCTCTGCAGCACGTGACACCACCGCCTGTTCACTGACCGCTCTCTTCATGGGGCGCCGTTCTCTCCATGTCCCTGCTCTGCAAGCCATCCCTCATCAGTCTGTTTTGTTGCTTTCTCCTCTCTTGACCCCTCAATGTGGGAGCACTGCAGGGTTGAGTGCTTTCACATCCTCACCTTCTGCACTGGCCTCCTAGGTAGTCACATACAATTTGACTTTAAATATGAACTATACAACTGCTGCGCTTTTGTCTCCAGCTTGGACCTCCCCACTGACCTCCAGACACAGTAGAACCAACTCAAGACATGCATTCGATGTCCAAGCAACAACTCAAACTTCAAGAAGTTCTCAGCAGAACGCTTAATGTCCATTCCGCCATATCTCATCATTCCTGTTGCTCATGCCCAAACTGTTGGAATCTTCTCTGATTCCCCTCTCTTTCTCACACCTCACATCTAGTCCATCAGCCAGTCCCACTAACTTTATCTTAAGGTAAATCTGGTATCTAACTTTTCCTCACTACCTCTAACACCACCACTTGTTCTGAGCCACCCAGTGTCTCGCGCCTGGATGACTGCCGCAGCTGGTCTCTGGCCTCGCCCCCGACAGGGGAGTCTCCCACAACAGCAGAATGATTCTTTTAGACCTGTAGTTAGATCATGTCACTCTCCTGCTCAAAGTCCCCCAATGGCTTCTGTCTCAGAGAGGATACCAGCACCCGGTGGGGTTCCCTATTTCCTCTCCGACTTCCTCTCCCACAGTTCTCCCCTTTCCCTGCCCTGCTCCAGCCACACTGGTCGCTGCTGTTCCTCTAACGCACACCCTGCCCCTCCCTTGGGCCCCTGGCTTACCTGCTTCCTCTGCCTGGAACAGTCTCCAGATAGTGAAGTGGGTCCCGCCCTCACTTCCCATAGGCCTCTGCTCAAGTGTCACCTGCAGGGAGTTCTTTGTGCAGATTTCTCAGGTGGGAAGGAAGGCGGCCCTCACCCTGTCTCTGCAGAGCCCCTCCCCGCTCCTCCTCCTCAGCACTCATCACTCTAAGCTGCAGTGTCTGTTTACTGATTGCTCAGTTTATTGTCTGTCTCCCTGCTAGAATGCAAGTTCCATGAGGGGAAGGGCTTTGTCCATTTTGCTATAGCCCCAGTGTCTGGAACAGTGCCCGGCACACCGCAGGTGTTCTTGTTTGTTGGAGGAGTGAATATGCCAGCTCAGACCTAAAGTGGCAGGGCTGAAAGCCCTGTGTCTCAGTTACGTGCACGTGTGGTTCTACCCCACTTGAGACCTTCTTGTTTAACCACTCAACCATTCATTCATTTGCGCAGCACGCACCTCCTGAGCAGCCACCAAGGCCAGCACAAAGGAGATTTCCATGGGCCAGGAACAAGTCAAAGAGGGGGGGTATCTAGAAGGAAGGAGGTGGGGAAACAGAGCACATGGTTGCTGGCACACCTGGGAGGGGCGCTAGGATACCATGGAGAAGCCGGAGGGCTCCTCAAGGAGATAAGGACTGGCAACAGACTTCACCTGCTTCCCACGTTTGTCCAGCGCTTGTCCAGCTCCTGCCTTTATGACGGCAGAGGGCCTGCCCCTCAGCTCGCTCAGGCCTCCCTGGGCCATGGTGGCACCCTGGGCATGGCCACCACCCACACTGAGGGGATGTCAGCTTACAACCACCCACAGACTCCACGCACACCCACAACGCCCGCCCCTGGGCTGGAGACGCCTGCGCAATCTGCTTTTCCGGGCTGTATCCAGAGGTCAGAGCCCCAGCTGGGCAAAAGAAAACCCAGTCCTGACAGTCCTTCTCTCTTTCCTCTCTTCTAGGCTTTTTAGTGCAATTTTAGAACAAGCAACCAAAGCAGATGGGGCAAACGCTCTCGGAGGGAAAGGGGCCGGATTTGATGTGAAGGCGCTGAGGGCCTTCCGCGTGCTGCGCCCCCTGCGGCTGGTGTCCGGAGTCCCAAGTAAGTGAAGCCCGTTCTTGTGTACAGTGTTATCTCCTCACCACCTTCTGCTGTCCTTTGCTGAATTGCCAAGAACACTCTGCAAAGGGACCTGATTCCATATAAATGGAGGGGTTTTTGTTTTTGTTTTAAAATGAGTTCCTTTGATCTGAAGAGCCCAACTCGGATGTAAGTGCCTTAAAACACACTGTGGTCCCAGCGCCTGGAAACTCCTGGAGAAAGTTCACAGCAGTCACTCAGCCACATGAATCCTACATAAAGGAAGTGGCCATCTGAGCCACCCTGGAGGCCCTGGGATGGGGATTTAAATACATTTTGTAGCAGAAGAGCCAGGTGGCTAATCTCCGAGGCTCCAGAGCACTTTAGCCAATGAGATTATCTCTACTTTCTGTGTTTTTCCAAAGAACAATCAGGAAAGCATCAGTGGATGTTCTAAAAGTTCTGTTTTGACCTTTCTCCCAGCCCTCTCCTCCCTTCCTGTCAAATGGGGCAGCCCAGGCCTCAGGAGCCCTACTGGAAATACCACGCCTGTCATTGTGAGAACTTATTTTTCCCAAAGAGAGGAGGATATTCCGCTCTCTGAATCAGGGGAAGGGTTTGGAGAGGTATTGCCTATCCGGATGTCAGTCACATGGACAATGCCTCTTCTGCCACTTCTCCAGAAGCCTGGCCCATTATGGGTGCACCCCAGGTACTGAACACAGTGGCTTCAGGCCCCCTGGGAAGGCGCAAGCAAACCCCAGCCCAAGGTGCTCCTGGGAGCTCAGTCCACTTTAGAACTCCTTTCTACTCTTCCCTCTTCAGTTTGTGGTATCTGAGAACAATTCTGGACTCATTTGCTTAAATTTTGCTTTCAGTTCAGCTCCAGTAGATTTGGCCCATGACTCAAGACATAGGAGACCCCTCAGACTAGGCTAGGACCAGATGAGTTTGGAGATGGTGTAAGGGACAGGAAGACAGAGGACCTCCGAATGCACAGCCTCTCCTACCCATGGCATGCACTGAGCACTTGGTTACCGGTGTGCTGCTGGGTGGTATCATCTGGAGTCATGAAACCGTGGAAATGTGAGGGACTTTATATTAACCAGTTTACTTTTTGTTCATGCACGGAATAGTGAAAAGATCTTCCTGTGACTTTAATTAACTAGCAATAGAGCCAAGACTAGAATCATGTCTCCTGATTTCTAGACCAGCTCTTTCCTGCCATACAGCACTGCCTCTTTTAAAGAATTAAGTGGTATATCTCTCTTGATTGTCTTGGATTCTTTTTCTTTCTTTTTTTTTTTTTTTTTTTTGAGACAGAGTCACACTCTGTCCCCAGGCTGGAGTACAGTGGCACAATCTCAGCTCACTGCAACCTCCGCCTCCCAGGTTCAAGCGATTCTCCTGCCTCAGCCTCCTGAGTACCTGGGACTACAGGTGCTTGCCACCATGCCCAGCTAATTTTTGTTTTTTTGTGTGTGTTTTTTTTTTTTTTTTTTTGTATTTTTAGTAGAGACGGTGTTTCACCATGTTAGCTAGGATGGTTTCAATCTCCTGACCTCATGATCTGCCTGCCTTGGCCTCCCAAAGTGCTGAGATTACCGGCATGAGCCACTGCGCCCGGCCAATTGTCTTGGATTTTTACACATATATCCTGTCTCTTAAACTACACTATAAGCCCCTTGAAACCCAGAACTGTGCCTTCTATTGCCTCTGATTCCCACACAACATAAGCAAAGGGAACTTACTGAATAAGCAAAAGAAAGAGTTTGTTTTCTTTGCAGTGGGACTCCCTGGGCAAAGCTTGTGGCCTGTCTTAGGCTCAAAAGGCACGCAGAGCTGAGCACACAAGCACAATTAAAGCAGACTTTCTCTACTCGGCCTTAACTGTCTGGGGGTACTTAGGTATAGAAACTGCATATATCGTGGCCAGGACCCACTTCTTTTTGAAGCCTAAATTATTTGGGTTTTCCTGGTCAATCAGCCAGAACTCAATAGCCAAAATCAGGAAGTAGGAAGGGAGGATGACAGTGACTTTGAACATGACTTTAAGGAGCTTGTAATGGTACCGCCAGTGTGTCAGTGATAGCAACTGGGAGTTAATTCCAGATGCCAGCCAACCAAGCGAAATGGACACAATGACCCCGACCTGTTATCTATGTATTTATTAGGGGCCTGCAATTTTTATTAGGGGTATTAGGACGTATCATAAAGAACAAGCATGGTCCTTTCACTAGAGAAATTTGACAGTCTAAGAAAAGAGTATAACAGTCAGCTTTTGCTGTGGAAATAAACCATCTCAAACTCTGCATGGCTTACAACCAGCAACATTTACACCTGGCTCATGGCACCTGAGGGTGGTGGTCAGCTGCAGCTCTTCTGCACTCAGCTGGACTCTGGGCTTGACCACATTCTGCGTGCCATCCAATTCTGGAGCCCAGGTCGAAGGAGCCCTCACCTTCGGTGGTAGGCCTTGTGGTTGTCATGGCTGGGGGAGGTGCTCACAAAATGGGGCTTAGAGCCAAACCGCACTAGCAACTTAAGGCTTATGCTTAGATGTGGCTTCTGTCTTAGCTGTTCACATTCCACTGGCCAAAGCGAGTCACATGGCCACCCTCAAAGATAATGGGGCCAAGAAGTGTGCTGTACCTGCAGAGAAGCATGGGTGAACGATTGAGAACACATAGCAGCCTACCACAAAGAGACTGAGGAGATGATTGTTATCAACAGCTGTAGCTACAGTAATTGCTCTAGTACAGAGATTCTTAATTAGAGATGAATATGGTTGAGAGCCACTCATGCTACAGTGCATTAAAAGGAAGAATTAGATTAGATCGGGTCACTTGGTTTCCACTACAGAGGAAATTTCCCGAGGACGGAGCCCTGTCTCCATCTGCACTTAAGTAAGGTAGACGTGTCTTGTAGTGGTCAGGAAGCAGTAACACTCCTAGGAATTCTCTCAAGAGGATGCAGGCCTCAAATGCAAGGCCCTCATGTTACCTGCCGTGCAGTCCAGGAAAATATTTTCGCCATTAGAGATGATGACACTGAGATGGATTTGCTGTTGTGGGTGCCTTGTAGGTAGCTCCATGCTTATGCATAGGAGCAGCAACGGTGTCTGGTTTCCTTTGGGTCACCAGTAAAATGGTGGCTCTTCCTCAGCTCATCCAGCCTTCTGCCCTTTCTTGCTGGAATAGTGTCTGTGCAGCTTTTGAAACAGGGAACCATGCAGACCATGGTGGATCAGTGCACTGTACCAGTGTGGTTGGTGTCATCTACAAAGATGTCAGCAGTATCTCCCCTGACTACAAACCTAGACAAATGCCTCCGTCTTCTACTTCTCATAGCCATAGGTTATCTCTTTCTGTATTTCAGCAAAACTCCTCAAGAGTTGCCTCTACCTGTTGTCTGTGATTCTTGTCCTCCCATTCTCTCTTGAATCCACTCTGATGGGGCTTTCTTCCCCACTGCTGCACCAAAACATCTCCTGTCCAGACCATCAGTGATCACCGTTACCGCACCCAGTGCTCTGTCCTCCAGGGCCATGTTACATGATCTGTTGGCAGCTTTGGATACAGCTGATCGCTCCTTGTCTTTGAACCACCGTTGCCCTTGGCCCTTGGCACACTGCTCTTTCTTAGCTCTGCCCTTCATTCACTTGTTTCTTCTTCTTGGAATCCTTTGCTGACTTCTGTCTCATCTTCTCACCCTCTTAACATTGGGAAGCTCCAGGGGTAGATCCTGAGACCTCTCCTCTGTCTGTACTCACTCCCTAGTTATCACGTCCAGCCTCCTGGTGTTAAATATAATCTATGTATCTTCCAGTAACCAGCAGCTGTGTGTCACCAGCCCAGACCTTTTTTCCAAACCTCAGACTTGTATCCCTACCTGCCGACTCCGTTCCTCTCCTGTCTGAATAGATAATAAGTATCTTGCACTTAGCAAGACTCATGGCAGAACTCACAGTCTTCCCAGAGTCTTTCTCAGCTTGGTAAATGCTAGCCTCATCCTTCTAGCTTCTCAGGCCTTATTGGACTTATTTCTTTTTCTCACTCTTTGATTACAATCCATCAGAAAATCCTATGAGCTTTACCTTCCAAACATGTCAAGAATTTGTCTCTTACCACCTGCACACTCAGCTCAGCGCTGGCCGCCCTCGCCTCCGTCCTGGATGATGGCGACAGCCTCCTGCAGGAGTCTCTGCCTCAACCCCTATCATGGCCCGGACCTAACACGGCATTCAAACGGCCCTCTGAACAGCCAAGTCGGATCATGTTCCTGCCCTGCTCAGGACCCTCCACGGCTTCCCTGACTTGCCCAGAGTGAGCGCCAAAGTCCCATAGGCCCTGCGATCTCACGCCTCCTTCCTCCCTAAGCTCACCCCCTTCACCCTCCCCTCCTCTCCCTCCTCACCAGCCCTCCACAGTGACTCCCTTGCTATTCCTCCAACATTCCAAGCTCACCCCACTGTGGGGTGGTGGCCGGCACTTGCTCCTTCTGTCTGAACGCCCTCGGCTCAGCTCTCTGCACAGGCCTGCGCACCTCCTTGGCCCCCACCTCGGCTCAGCTCTCCATACAGGCCTGCACACTTCCTCGGCACCCCCTCGGCTCAGCTCTCATACAGGCCTGCGCACCTCCTCGGCCCGCCCCTTGGCTCAGCTCTCTGCACAGGCCTGCGTACCTCCTCGGCCCCCGCTGATGCCATCCCCTCACTCCCCGTTCATCCACCCTTCCCTGCTCCATTTCCCCACATCACCTCTCACCATCTGCCATTCTGTATGTGTATGTGTTCATTTGCTTATCACCCCTTACCTCATGAGAATGTAACCTACGTGAGGCTAACAATTTTTGTTAGTTGTGTTCACAGCTGTGTCCTCAGCACCGACAATAAAGGTGATAAATATCTGTAGAATGAGCAAACATGGTTACACGGACGCCCATGGCGGCTGGCATAGCTTCACATCACAGGCCCTAAGAGCCACCCCACCCACTAAAATGATGTGAGTGGTGCCAGCTTCCTGGACATGTGCCTTTGCTGGCTTTTCCAAAGGGTCTTTACTTCTTCTGTCTCATTTGATCTTCATGACAATTGGGTGATATTAAGAAATGTACATAGGCAATATATAGATATGTAGGGTTTTTCTTACAACAAATAGGTTCATTGGGCCATTTTTGACATCTGCAATTCTAGACCAATAGTGTTAGAGGCCCCAAAAGTTGCATTTTTTTTTTTTTTTTTTTTGAGACGGAGTCTTGCTCTGTCGCCCAGGCTGGAGTGCAGTGGTGTGATCTCGGCTCACTGTAAGCTCCGCCTCCTGGGTTCACGCCATTCTCCTGCTTCAGCCTCCCGAGTAGCTGGGACTATAGGCACCCGCCACCACGCCCGGCTAATTTTTGTATTTTTAGTAGAGACGGGTTTCACCGGTTAGCCAGGATGGTCTCGATCTCCTGACCTCGTGATCTGCCCGCCTCAGCCTCCCAAAGTGCTGGGATTACAGGCGTGAGCCACCGCACCCGGCCTAAAAGTTGCATTTTTTAAATGCACATATATGTACTAAATGTCATTGAAATCTTATGATCACAGGTTATGGAAATAGATGATTGCGAGGGTACAAGTCCATGAGTCATTTATCAATTTGTTCAACAAAATCGACTGAGTACTTACTTTATGTAAGATTTTGTTAGCCATTATAGCAGATACAGAAGTGAGTCAGATGCTAAGTGTGTTCTAGAGAGCTTGAAGTGTAGTAGAAGAAAAAATATTCATAAAAATGATTATATAAATAAAAATTGGAGCTGTCAAAAAGGAAAGTTTAGGTAAGATGTGCAATGTGATGAATTCTGTGACAAGCCATGCATTGGGGACACCATACTTTGGGGAGTGGTGATAGAGAATCAGGAGAGCCTTCTTGGAGAAGGTAGCATTTGGGATGGAACTTGAAGGATGAGTGAGGAGAGGCATTCCAGGAAATCACACAAAGGAAGGAGAGTGGCCGTGGCCCTGGAGATGCACACTGTGAGGCTGCAAGGCTAACGGCTTGATTACACTGCAGAGGTGAAAATCAGATTGGCTCTTCCAATGGGGTTCTGTGTAGTTGAAAGATTTGGCCATTTGGCTTCATAGAGACTCTTCTACAGTAACAGAATCAGTTCTCTCTGCTGTGAGCATCCACTCTCCCACTGCAGCCGTGCTGTGGAGCATGCGTATTACACCAAAGACTAAGCCATATGGAGGAATCAACGTTATACAGCCAGATGAACCATAGGGAGAGTTGTGGTTAAATATTTGCAATGTATATGCAAGGAGTACATTTGCTTGTGAAGCAGTAAGCAAGGGGTCGTTTCCTGCTTTCCATTTCATCTCATATGCCTTCTGGAGAAGAACTTTCAGGAGGGACTTGATAAAGGGAGAAGTCAAATGGAGATGAGAAAGATGTGTAGGGTCTTTGACGAAAACTCAGAGCAACCTAGACTTGATCTGATGATGAAAGGAACTGAAAAATCACCTTTCTGTAAGACCAGCACTAGCCTTGGAAGACACTCATCATGAATGTTTATTGAGCACTCTCTGTGAGCCAAGCACAAAGCTAGGTGCGGGGACAGAGGTAGATAGTGCACTCCCATCAGTCAAATCAGAACACCTGTCCAGTTTTCATAAGGACCATCCGGTTTTAGATCTGGACCTCCCAGTCCAGACTTGATAAGAGAACATCTTTCTAGAGCAGATAGTCAAAATCATGTAACTTAGTCCCTGAAACTGACATATTTTGGAGTTCAGAGAATATCTCCGAATCAGAGCAGAGGCTCAAGCCCACACTGCTTCACTCTTTATCCTTTGCTTTTTCCACTGCCTGTGTCCTCATCGTCCCAGACTTCCCTTTAATCCTGGTTAATGTGATTTTGATTTAGTCCTAATGGAATGCTTTAAGGACTTTTCGTGGGATACGTTTTTCCTAGTATGTGAGTCTTTACAAGATTAGATCTTTCAGGATGTCCCTTTTGTCAGTAAAATGTTATATCTGGAAGCACACAGAATAGAAAACAGCTCGCTATTAAACGGAAGTTTACTTTCATCCTGAGAGGTGAGAAGGAGCACTGAGGACCATGTGTGGATAGAGGTCAGAAGCTTCAATTTTTCCTTGCTCAGGTGAGGACTGTTTCCTGAAAGCAAATCAGCACCAGTTAGTAGACAAATATCTGTGGAGTGGATACCATATAGAAGGCAAGGAAAGCCTTACAACATGCTGGTTTTGAACATGAGTTCTTGAATCAGACTACTTACTGGCTTCTGCCACTTACTGACTCTGTACCCTTAGGGAAGTTGCTAAGCCTCTCTGTGCCTTAGTTTCCTCCTATGTAAAATGGGAATTGTAATCGAACGTATTACATATGCTGTTGGAAAGACTAAATGAGTTAAGGCACGCAAAGCACTTTAATGGTGTCCTGCTTATAGTAAGTGCTCAGTTAAGTGGTAGCTGTTACATTATATTATATTACATATGTAGACTGAAATAGAGGACAAGATCATTCTCAAGAGACAACAAATATACTTTAAAAGATAAGGAATATTCAAGAGTTAAATAGCAGTTTGAGACCAAAAATCACCAGAGAGGCATGTGTATGATTATTTGACTTGCATAGTGTAGATGATGAAATGGATTCAAGGGGAGAGTTTACCAGGGACTGTGGCAGTCTGAAAAGTTTTATGAAGGAGGACATACCGGAGATAAGCCCTGAGGTTTATGTGGAACAGGCAGGGATGGGGATGGAAGGACATCTGAGGGTGAAAACCTTGTTTGTTTAGGTCACCAATGTGGGCCAGTCTCGGCCAGCACATAGGTGTGGGGTGCCCAAACCCATTACCGAAAAGGAAGTATGGGTCGTGAGAGCCAGGAGACAAAAGTCCGCAGTGAGCAGACTGAGCTGGGTCTTGGATGGCACACCAAGAGGCAGTTTTCTAAACAGCCACTGCTGTTCACTCTCCATACAAAACGTTCAAAAAAACCGCACTGCAGAGACAGCTAAGTGTCTTGGAAATCTACAAAAGAAGGTCAGAACTGACCATGAATCTTGAATTCCAGGGAGGTTCACGAACCCACCCGGGCTGGTGGCAGAGCTGAGGTCAGAGCCATACCGAAGCTGTCACCGCTCTCTCCCACCCTGCATGACCTCCATCCCAGAGGCCAGGTCTGGGCCATCCTGCTCTGTCCTGAGCGCCCTGCCAGAAGATCCTATGCTGCTTGACACCAAACACTCTTTTTTAAAACATTCTTACTGATACGATGAATATTGACTTAAAAATTGCTGCTGCAGAAGTTGAAAACTCACCTGAGTGCCAAGTCCCCAGGTGAACCACACGCATCCCGAGATGTAGTTTTCCTCCCAGGATGGGTTCTCCCCTCCTGGGGATTAGTCACCGTGAAACTGGCCACACTGATTAGCAAGCGGTGCCAGTTAATCAGACCCACTGAGGGCACATTAGGGCTGCTAAAAGCGGCTTTTCTGAGTGTTTTCACACTTTGATGGTTTAAAGCCACTCATGCTGTCCTGTCTGAAATTTGCTGTTGGTAAATTGAGCCACAGCAGATTTGCAATCCCATCGTGGCTCCCAGGAAAGTGTTTTCTGGCCCAGTTGGTGCCGCATTGTGCAAGAGAGGAGGCTAGGCAGCAGGCATGGTCCCTGCAAACAGCTCCTGAACCTCGCTTGCAGTTAAGGACACCTCCCAGTCTGGACTGATAAGAGAACATCTTTCTGGAGCAGATATTCAAAATCCTGTAACTCAGCCCCTGAAACTGACATATCTTGGAGTCCCAGAGAAGATCCCAGAGTCAGGGAAGAGGCTCAAACCACAGTGCTTCACTCCCCATCCCTTGCTTTTTCCACTGCCTGTGTCCTCATGTTCCCAGACTTCCTTTAATTCTGGTTGATGTGATTTAACACTGAAGTACCCACAGGATGCTGCTGGTGCAGCTGAGCACAAGCCTGGGTAGGCAGAGGACCCAGCCTCCAGCCCTGCATTCACCCGGACAAGCCTGGAGACCTTGGGCAGGTCTGCCCTCCCTCTGGACTTTGTCCTGCATCTGGGGCTTGAAGGGCCTGGACTGGCTGGCCTCTGCATCCCCTTCCCTCTCCCACATGCTCATCCCCACCGCACCAGGCTGTACCCTCACTGCTTGCAGACCTTCAGCCTCTCCACCCCTGTTCTCACCCCCTCTCATGTCCTTGGACTTGGCCCTCATTCTCCCCTCACTTTCTATTTTGCTTCCTCTTGCTTTTTATCCCCTTTGTCTTATAGGGGTCTTACAGGCCACATACCCTTAAACAACATGAGGGGACACTTACAAAGCTACTTATGAGGACAGGGGCATGTGCAGGGGGCCACCCCTGAGGCCGTCCCTCATTCTCCTTCACACAGCGCTGGAGGCTGCCTGGTCCCCCTGCCCGCCCATCGGAGATGGTCCCTACAACATCTTCTAAGCCCTTTCCCTCCCACTTCTTTCACTGCCACAGGAAGTACTCAAACCTTGTCCGCTGTATGTGTCTCATGGCACTGTTCCTGAATCCGAATGTCTGGGTGGGAGGGGACTAGGCTAGTACAACTGAGCTTCCATTCTGCAGAGAGGAGCCCTGAGGCCAGAGGGCCACATGGCTTCCTTAAGGTCACAGAGTGACCTGGTGGCAGGTGGGCAGGACCCTTGCTTCCTGCACGGTCTGCAAGGGGACTCTGATGGCAATGGTGAGGGAACCCTCAGGGCTGCTGATCTTTGCTGCCCCCAGGTCTCCCAGCCTCCCCAGAAGGGAGGAAGCCCCAGGACCCGCTCCCCGCCTTCCCACCCAGGCAGCCTGGGGTTGTGCTCTGCAGATGGGGCAGAGCACCCTGGAGGGCAGCCAGAGACAGCAGGGGGTGGCGGGGGGCCCTTCACACTGCAGGAGGCTTGCCTCTAAGAAACAGAATTTAGAACAGGGTGGGTCCCACGCCCAGCCCCGCCCTGCCCCTTAGCACCTGCCAGGCCCACCCTCTCCCCCGGTGTCTCCTGATCTCCCAGTGTGGACGGTCTTTCCCCTTGACTGCTGCATCCCCAGTTAAGCAACTCTCTTCCCGGCATCCTCCCAGGTGCCCCTGAAAGACGCCTGGGCCAGCAGCTCAAGGCCCACTCAGAGTCCCGACCCTGCTGCGACTTCTCTGTTGCCCTGCCAGGTGCTTTGCCTCGGTTTCTCAATCTACAAAGAGTGAGTGATGGGGGTGCCATGGATAAGGAGGAGATTCTACCTGTGCAGCCCTGTGAGCTCCCAGCATCCGAGACCTCTTGGAGAGGGACCCTGTGGGTTGGCAGGAGCCACCGCACCAGATAGGAAGGGAAGAGGCCCGCCATGCGGCAAAGTGAGCTGATGGACACAGTAAGCACACTCACAGGTTCCCGCCTCTGCTATAGTGGAGTTTCACTGAGAGGTTACTGAGTATCAACAACAGTATGTGGCTGAACTGGGAACATCTCTATTATTTAGTGTTCTAGATACAGCAGGTAAAAAGTCCTCATGGCAAAGAATGCCTGCAGTCACACAGGAACGTCACATGTGTGCTAAGGCACACACACATTCCTCCAGTCACGAACTGGTCTCTTTTTGATTTGAGAACAAAATGTAGGAGGCAGTGATAAATGTTAGGGTTACCTCCAACTACAAGCAATATTCAGCATCCGTTCAAGGCCTTCAGACTCAAAGAGCTTGATTAGCTGATGAATCGGCCCAGTGGTCTAGAAACACAGGGACGTTATCCCTAATTTAGAGATAGGCAAATCCAGGCTATCTAGTTCAGACTGTTTTCCAGTCGGGATAACTCCCTCCAGGACTTGGTTTCTGTTGTTTGGAAGAGAACACAGCTTCCTGAGCCGAGGGGAATCACATTGCTTCTGGGCTGTAGGGCGCCCTGCCTGGCTCTAGAGATTGAGAGTAGTTCATAGTTTGCCTGTTGCCTTATTTATGTTTCAAGAGTTGTGAGCCCCTTGGGTGGCAGGACCTGATGGCAAATAGTATTGTTGTCACCTCAGGAATTGTGATGGGGTGGGAGGCACTCCGGCCTGCCGGTGAGGAGACCAGGGATCTAAGTCTGGCCAGCTGTGTGACCTTGTCATTTAACCTCTGACCCTCAGCCTCCTCACCTGCAAAATGGGAGGGTACAACTGTATTCGCCCTAGAGTATTAGCCTTTAGATGCCTGCCGTGCTCACCTTTCACCATGGCAGTTGCCCTCTGAATCATGCGTAATTTTCAGTCAGCTGACTTCTTGAGCACCCTCTTGCATGTTAGTTAGTTTAGTTTTGTTTTGTTTTGTTTTTTAATATTTGGCTTGGGAACGTTTCAGAGCCACCAAGGTTGTTGCCATTTCTGTTGGGGGTACCCCAGTAGACTATGTGGTGTATGACCCCAAGGATATACAGAATCACATCGGGAGGGGAAAAACTTGTTGGTATATATATACATATATACAAACATTAGCCAGGAGAAATGGTTCTGTGCCTCTCACAAAAAGCTCACAAAACACTGTGGTCTGTGGCAGCAGCAGATGATATTGATGATGATAGAAAAGTTCTGTCTTCACTCAGACATGCCATTGATCAAGAGCATTTATTCAGAGACTACTATCTGCCAGGCATCGAGCCACGCGACACGAGCCACCAGTCCGTTTCTTCATCTATGCCGCATTGTGTTGATACTGGCAAAGGACTGAAATAGGAAATACACTCATGTCATAGGAGGTGTCAAGCTGTTTGTCAGGGCAGAGAAGAGGAGAGTAACGTGGCACAAGTTGTAGACATCTTCCTTCTGAAGACATGGGTGATTGGAACAGCATGTCATCAGGTGAGTTTTCAGTGTTGCTTCCAGTTCTAAGCTGGGATAATTCTGAGTATTCTTAAAATGTACTGCTGTTGGAGGATAATGGAAAAGCGCTGAACTCAGAAAAAGCCTTGGGACTGTGAGCACCATCAACTGCATTGAGGAGACATCCAAAAGTATAATGCCTTCTTCAGGCTGTTTTTACTAGACCATATAGTCCTACTAATAAATACTTGTGCAAAACAGAAATACTTTTAAAAAAATAATATATTTATTCACTTAATTTTCCCAGAAATAATGCCTTGATCATATGTTTTCCCCAGAAATTGTTAGACTTACCTTCTATGGTCAACAAGAGCTTTCCTGAATTTCTTGAGATTTAGTGAAAGCAGGTAGATGTAAACTATATTAATTACATTGCATTTTCCAGAAATAAAAAAAAGCTTGAATACCCCTGAAATTCCTCTGAGTATTATCATCCTGTGCTTTGTTGATAGAGAATAGCAGTGACCTAATAATTTCTTTTTTAACCACTAATTCTAGACCTGAGGTGTCATGACAGAGTATGACCCTGGGCAAATGCCACTCTTTCAGCTCCCAATATAGTAAGCAATCACACAGCCCAGAGGTGGGAGAGTAGGTCCTAAAATAAGAGCAGGTATTTATTAAGCACTCATCTTGAGCCCAGGACTGTGGCAGGTGGTATAATCATCACAAGAGACAAGAGGGCTTCTTAAACTCAGGAAGCTCCATAATGGATTCCTTTTTGTGTCTGGAGACCTCCAAACATGAAATCACAGACAAGGTGATGACTGATTAAAAATAATGGCAATAATAAAGGCCACTTAGGCTTATAAGTGACCCAGGCTTTCTAAATGTTGGAAAGAAAAATGAGGGGGGAATGAAATGAAGATCCAGTGAGGCCAGCGTCCTGTGAAGTGATCAATACGCAGAACGTGAGCCCCATGTGCCTGTTATTATTGGTTGATTCTCTCGTGCTGATTCATGACACTTAGTGGTTAAAGACTCAGATGGTGGAATCCCACTACCTAGGTTCAAATTCCCAGAGCCACCATTTATTAGCTGTGTGCCTCGATTTCCTGATCTATAAAATGGGGGCTAAAATTACACCTGCCTGCTTCCTGGAGTTGTTGTGAGGATTAAATAAGTAAATGCTTTTAAAGCAATAGAATTGTGTGAAACACACAGGAAGCACTCAGCAAATACTAGCTACTAGTACTCTGTGGGTCCAACTCCCTATCTGTCTACCTCAGGCTCCAAGTTGGACTGATCAGAGAAGGGGACCTTCTATACTTGATCTTTTTTTTTTTTGAGACCGAGTCTCGATCTGTCTCCCAGGCTGCATTGTCAAGATCTCGGCTCACTGCAACCACCCCCTCCCGGGTTCAAATGATTCTCGTGCCTCATCTTCCAAGTAGCTGGGATTATAGGCATGTGCCACCACGCCTGGCTAATTTTTGTATTTTTTGGAAAGACAGGATTTCACCATGTTGGCCAGGCAGGTCTTGAATTCCTGACCTCAGGTTATCTGCTCTCCTCGGCCTTCCAAAATGCTAGGATTACAGTTGTGAGCCACTGTGCCTGACGTACACATCATTTTAAAAATAACTTTATTGAAGCGTAATTTATATTCAATAAAATTCACATATTTTAAGTGTACACTTAAGTGTAATAACCTTAAAATCATAGAATTTCACTTACCCAACCCCTTGTCCTGTGTGATTACTATATGTCTTCTATTTACACATACTTTATAAGTTCCACTCAACAATGTTTTTATTTTTACTTTAGTCAATTGTCTTTTAAGTAAATTATGGGAAAAAATAAAACATAGTATTTTATATTTACCTACTTATTTACTGTTTCTGATGCTTCTACTACACATTCTATAGATCCAAGTTCCCTTCTGGTATCATTTCCCCTTATCTTGAAGCAACCCAATGGCATTTCTATAATGTAGGTCTGCTGCTGGAGAATTAGCTAAGCTTTTGTTTATCTGAACATGTCTTTTGCCATCCTCTTTTGACGAATATTTTTGCTGGTATAGAGTTCTTGATTGACAGGTTTTTTTTTCTTTCAGAACTTTAAAGATGTTCCATTTTCTCCTGGTTTCCACTGTCTCTGATGAGAAGTCATTGATTTTTTTTTTTCTTTCTGAGACGGAGTCTCGCTCTGTCGCCCAGACTGGAGTGCAGTGGCACAATCTTGGCTCACTGTAACCTCCGCCTCCTGGGTTCAAGCAATTCTCTGCCTCAGCTCCCGAGTAGCTGGGATTACAGGCACCTGCTACCACACCTGGCTAATTTTTGTATTTTTAATAGAGACGGGGTTTCACCATCTTGGCCAGGCTGGCCTTGAACTCCTGACCTCGTGATCCACCTGCCTAGGCCTCCCAGAGTGCTGGGATTACAGGCGTGAGCCACCATGCCTGGCCTGATATTATTGTTATTATTTCCCTGCACATAATGTTTCTTCCTTTGCTGACTGCTTTTAAAATTTTCTCTCTCAGTTTTCAGCAGTTTGACTATGATGTGCATCATTATTATATTCATTATATTTGTTCTGCTTGGAGTTTTCTGAGCTTCTCAGATACACTCATAAATGAGAAGTTTTCAAGTTCGGGACTTTTGGGGCCATCATTTCTTCAAATATTTTTTTGTACTCCATTCTCACTCTTCTCTTGCTGGGACTCCTGTTATACATGGTGTTTGGCCATGTTATAGTATCTCATTGGTCCCCGGGGCTTTGTTCAGTTTTCTTCAGTCTTTTATTCTCTGTGTTCCACAGATCAGTTCATTTCTGTTGATTATTCTTTCAGTTGACTCATGTTTCCTCTAATGTCTCCATCTTCATTAAGCCTATTCATAATTTTTCATTTCAGTTACTTTTCAATTATGGAATTTCCATTCTGTTCCTTTTTATAGTTCCCATTTATTTGTGGAATTCTCTATATTTCTCCCTTTAAGATCATATACTCATTTATTTCCTTTAATCAGTTTTTCTTCCATCCTTTAAATATATGTATCTATATATGGATACATATGTAGCACTCTCTCTATATATATATATCTCTCTACACACCCACATATATATAGCTGTTTTCAAATCGTTGTCTGCCAAGTCCAACATCTGAACAATCTCATTTTTTGTTTCCTATTGACTGCTTTTTTCCTTGACTATCACATTTTATATTTCTTTATATGTCTAGTGATTTCTTTTTACCGAATATTAGAATCATGGATAATATGTTGTTGTGACTCTGGATCTTTTCATATTCCTAAGAGTATTGGTTCATCAGCAGACAGTTTACCATGAACGTGTGTAGGCTTGGTTTTATGCTTGTTGGTGCTGAGACATTGAAAGCCCAAACCCCTCAACCTCCACATTTAATTTTCCCCTCCTGATGTTGTCAGGGCAATGATTTTGGCTTTGCCAGGATGGATCTAGAGTGGGTCTCACTGTAGACAAAGGGCCTTACTCCCAGGAGGTGCCCTTGCAGTGTCAGAGTCATCTGTCCAGGGTGGTAATGAGATGTTAACTAGGTCTCTCCACAATTTCAGGGCCGTAAGTCCAACCTCCTGACACTGCTTTTTCCCCAGCACTGATTAACCTGTACCATCTCTTTTCTGCTGTCAACCCTAAACCAGCTGCTATCTGATATGCCTCATTGGTTTCACCTTGTACCTGTACAACCCAGCCCTAAGCCACAGACACACAGGCAACCCCTACACAAACTTCTAGGGCCCTGTATCTACCTCGCTGTCTCTTCTGGATGTCCCACCACAGCCACTTCAGCTTCCCACATTCCAACCTGATTTCTGCCTTCTCAATTCCATGGGGCTGCAGTGTTGTGCTTGAACTGTAGCTCTTTGTGCTGTCCTCGGGAAACTGTTCTTAATTATAGTATATTAGATAATATAATGTTATATGTTATATTTTACTTTATATGTCACACATTTACTGAGGACTTATTGTGTATAAGGCACAGTAGTAATTGGAAGAAGGAAAGGTACTAGAATCTTGCTTTATTTGGAAAATAACAACTTAGAAAATTTTAGAGCCAGATTGCATTTTCTCATCCAATGTCCACCTTTTAAAGATGTTGAAACCTGGACCCAAAAGGTGACATGACTTGTCAAGGTCACACAGTTATTGATAGCAGAAGAGGAAATAGCCTGGCATTTTCCCCCACTAAATCCCTCCAAAAATATATTTTAAAAGAAAATCTAAGCATGATGTTTAGAAATTTTTACCACTATAGAAAATTTGGTTAGTGCCAAAGTCCCTATTGATGCAATAGTGATTTGAGCCAGAATTAGAAAATAAGTAAGTATGTGACCCTAAGAGCATTTTGTTCGAGTTACATAGAAAGATTAGCTTATGGCGTAGAGTTACCGTAAGTTGGCAGCAATGAACAAATTTGGTTCTTTGTTACACTCCATCTCAAGAACATCCAGGGAAGAGAAAGCTGTTGCCTGGGTATAATGGTATTTGCCAGAAAAAAAATCATTAGAGAGGTATAATTAAGACTAGTTTAGTAACTCATTCAACTAGATAACTCTATAATGAGTACATCTCATTTACCACCAAAACCATAGAGATATTTTGAAGTTTTCCCCAAAAGTATACCTTTTTTACATTTCTAAAGGAAGGAGTGAGGATTTGCAGTGAGTGCAACCAAGCCACCTTTTCCTCCTGTTTGGCCTTATTATCAAGTATGTTGCTCAGCAAACAGCCAGTCCTCAGAAACTTCACTCCAAGAGGCTCTGTCAAGGGTTTGGCACAAAGAGAATGTCGCAAAGATTTTCCAGTGCTCTAGAATATATCCTTGTATTCAAAACCCAGTTGTCTGGTTCTGGGAGTGAGTGTGGCAGGAAAAGCTACAGGTGGATCCCGTAGGTAGTTTCTCCCATAAGAAGTACAGGCCAGGCCAGGCGCAGTAGCTCACGCCTATAATCCCAGCACTTTGGGAGGCCGAGGCAGGCAGATCACTTGAGGCCAGGAGTTTGAGACCAGCCTGGCCAACATGGCGAAACCCCGTCTCTACTAAAAATACAAAAACTTAGCCAGACATGGTGGCACACGCCGGTAATCCCAGTTGCTCGGGAGGCTGAGGCAAGAGAATCACTTGAACCTGGGAGGCGCAGGTTGCAGTGAGCTGAGATCACGCCATTGCGCTCCAGCCTGGGCAACAACAGCGAAACTCCATCTCAAAAAAAAAAAAAAAAGAAAGAAAGAAAAAGAAAAAAAGAAATGCAGGCCACTTTTTCTTTCAGAATTGGCAGTTGAGATGATTCAGATCAACTGTCCTGCCGAGGACAATTAGAAATGCTGGACAAAATATTCTAAATCTTCTTTCTGGAGCTTGGAAAAGATGCCTGATAGAAACAAATGTGAATCCTCTGTGGAGAAAGATAACATCATCAACATTTTCAAATTACTTTGAAAACCAATTGTGTGAAAATAAGGTTTTGGCTGGGCGCGGTGGCTCACGCTTGTAATCCCAGCACTTTGGTGGGCCGAGGCAGGCGGATCACGAGGTCAGGAGATCGAGACCATCCTGGCTAACACAGTGAAACCCCGTCTCTACTAAAAATACAAAAAATTAGCCGGGCGCAGTAGTGGGCGCCTGTAGTCCCAGCTACTCGGGAGGCTGAGGCAGGAGAATGGCGTGAACCCGGTAGGTGGAGCTTGCAGTGAGCCGAGATCACGCCACTGCACTCCAGCCTGGGCAACAGAGTGAGACTCCATCTCAAAAAAAAAAAGAAAAGAAAAGAAAAGAAGGTTTCATTCATGATACCAAATAACTATATACACAAGGAGACAAAGTAACCTGAGTGAAAACGGGGAGAAACTATAGACCATAGAAATAGACCCACAGGGAATTGAGATATTGGAATTGTCAGATATAGACTTGAAAATAACTGTATTTACCACATTCAGAGATATCAAAGACAGGACTGGTAATTTTCCAAAGAACCAGATATGGAAAAGAACCAAATGTAAATTTTAGAAATGAAGAATACAATCACTGAAATGAAAAAGGCAGTGAATGGATTTAAAAGAAGACTTGGCACAGCTGAAAACAGTTATTGAACTAGAGAGAGGGCAGGGAAAAATACTGATAATCAAACACAGAAACTGAAAAGAATTGGGAATGCAGAGAAGAGTACAGAATATCAGGGAATAAGTGGATGCTCACATTTATGAAATGTTTTTTTCCTACATCTGACAGAATCGTTATTTTTAAGTTAATGTGAATTACATATTAACTTGTTATGGAAGTATAATATAGTGGTTATCTTGGTGTAGGAGGGGTGAGTGGGGCTGCTGTATAGCTGGTGGGGTTTTATTTCTTGGTCTGAGTAATAGTTGCATGGCTGTTTGTTTTGTGATAAATCATACATTGTAACATCCCCCTTTCTTGCATCTTTTGTATGTATATTTCACAGTTTTTTCCAAAAAAAGATGTAAGAAGAAGCAAAAGTACAGGTCCAGGTAGCTATATCATTGGCAGATGCCGAAGGAGATCTGCTCCTTACTCTGCCTGGAGCACAAAACTACAGTTTGCCACCAATAGGGAGGCAGCACAGAGGGACGGCCATCGTGATGCAATCACTTCCAATGGATTAGAGCTGTCATGAGAGATGCACTGTTGAGAAGGATTGTGAGGCCCCATCTGGACCAGAGGGAAGGAGCAGCATCTGCCATGACGCGGGCCAACAAGTGGCACATGTGTGCAGTGTAGTTGTCATTTTGCCTGGATAATGGCTAAGGAATGGAAGTGGTAGCTTCAAGTTGGCTTGGCTTCTAACTCCAACTCTGCCATTTACCAAGTGTGTAATCTGGGACAATTTATCTGTCTTACCTAAGCCTCATTTCTTTTATCTGTATTAAGACGGCTGGGGAATTAAATGAAACAATGTATGTAAAGCACTTATGTGGTACCCAGCAGGTGCCGAGTCCTCGGGAAATGGTAGTTAATACTATTATTGTTGTTGTTTGCTTTAGATCATCTTGTCTGCCTTTCACCATATGCAGTTTTCTTCTAACACAGGGTTTCTTTTATATCTTTTTCTCTGAATTTCTCTTTTCAATCCACATTGGTAATATAAAAAATTAATTCAACTTGAAGGCTGATATTTTAATTACTCCTAAAGTTTTAATTTATTGGGGAACCAGTTACCCACCATCCCTTTGCTAAGACAAGAACCCTCCTTTAGTGTTCCTCATACCATGTGTGGGATGCAGAATTTATTAATCTGGAAAGGCTAAATTAAAAATAAATGAAAATCTCTAATGAATAAGGACACTCTAATGAGAACATGCAAAAATCATAAAACTTGAGGCTGTAGGAAAGCTATCCAGGCAATAGTTCTTTCCCCGTTTATAGGAAGCTTCTTTTCCCAGTAAGAAAATGCATTAGTCACTTTTGAAGCTCAGCTTGATAAACTTACTCCTTTCCCCAAGAGAGAACTATCTGCCTTCCTAGTTCTAGACCTATTTTCTTTTGAAAGCCATTAAGCCTGTGAGACCATTAAAAGTGTCTGTTACTTCATCAGCCAAATGAAGGCAGAAAACATGATCTGTGAGATTCATCACGTCTCCAGCTTCTAGCCAGTGCAACATGATTCATGGAGATCAGAAGTAAGCGTGGGCTAGTAGTCACAACCTGATGATGACAGTGGTGATTGTCACCACCACAAATGCTGAAAGGAGCACTCATTTTTAGAAGCAGTCAGGTATGACTTTGGAAGATGAGGACCCAGAGTTGGCTAGTGAGTTATAGTAAGAGGATATTTATCTGATCACTATCCCTGGGAGGGAACTTGTTGGCTCACAAAACTTAGAAGCCCTCCAGGTGGAATACCTCCTCCTGGCTTAATGGAAAGGTGATGGTGGCACATAGAAAGCCACTCTGTCTTATCTGCGAGTCATCCTACAGTTGCGCTACCACATCTGCTCTCCACCCTTCCCCACTCTGCTCTCTGGCTGGGGAGTCGACCAGATGGCCTCCATCAACAGGCTGCCTCATCTCCAGTCTGTAGTTGGGTTCAGTCGATGGGGAGCCGAGCAAGAGATCAGCAGGTGGGAGTAGGGTGAGGTCAGGTTCTTCTGTCCCCAGATCCTTCCCTGCAGGTCTGGGCTGGCATTGTCACAGCCTCTCCGAGTGGTCCTTTATACAGAATGCTGTCCTTCCCACTTTCTGTAACCACTCTTTCCACTTGCTTCTTCAGCCTAGTGGTGCTAATAGATCACTGTTGTTGCCACTTCCAGGCCACCCTTGTGGTTCTCTTTACCCCATCATAAAAAGCACCAGTCATCTCAAATTATCTTAATTTGAGTGTGAGGAGATGGTGGGACAACCTCGTAGAAATATCTAGTAGGCTTATGAAGCATGTCTTGAACTCAGAAGAGAGGACAAAGAAAATAAATGTAAGTACAGGTGTGGATGCATGTACTTAGTGGTGACTATTGGACTCTTAGGAAGGAGTGAAGTGCATGAATTTTCTGAGAGAGAGTTTAGAGAGAGCCACACAAAGGGCAGAAGACTAACAGAATAAAAGGGCAGAGAGAAGCTCCACCCATGGACACAGCTCACAGGTCTAGTCTTCTGGGAACTGTTTTCATATTTTCCTAGGTGAAGATAGTCTCTCCCTCTCCTCTATGCTTCCACCGTCCTTTGGGCATAATTCTTAGGAATATTATCACTGAGGATAACCCCCATGCAGGCAAAACTCCAGTCACTGCTTGAGAGCATCTGATAACACCAAAAAGACTGGATGAGGTTGCTGCAGCCTCCCAGGATGGCCAGCGTGCCCTAGGGCCTGGCTGCTGGTTGGTGGGGCAGCAGCTGCAGTGTCACTTGAGACCCGGTTAGAAATGCAAACTCATTCCCCACCCATGATGGAGAATTACAATCCACATTTTGACAAGATCCTAGGGGACCTATGTGCTCATTTACCCTAAAGGGTCCCACTGAGACCTGTGTCACGCTTCTAAGACCACACTTCAAATAACAATGGCTGTCACTGATATGGCCTTTACTATGGGCCTGATGTTGTTCTGGGCACTTTGCTTAAATTAACTTGTTTAATCCTCACAGCAACTTTATGGGATAGGTAAACGATCATCCTCTCTTTAAGATGAGGTCAATAGTTGGTACAAGGACACATGGATGAGATGTGGTGGGATTGGGATTCATTGGAGTCATTTGGCTCCAAGGGTCCCTCTTCTTCAACCACTGCACTCTCCTCCTTCTCCCACCTCCCATGGCAATCAGCAGGGTGCTTCATAGGTTCTCCGTAGGTGCTTGGAAGATGCACAAGTGAATGATGGCATAGCTGTCTGTGGTAGCCTCAAGAAAGGGAACCTTGATCATCTGGGGAAAACTTTCTACAGCCTGGGTACGCCTGTCTCTCTCATTACAGAAGGGAGAGACTCTCCGATAGTATTTTCTCAGATAGAGGATGTAGCTGAGGATGGAAAACTTCATTCTAGATTCCCCTGTGGGAGAAGCTGGTGTTTGATCTACATTTTCTTAGAATCTGCATCGCAAATCCAAGGATAGTGAGGTTCAAGGGCAGTTATGGGGCTCGGTGGGCACAGTAAGGACAGTGCCCTTCACTTGAACACCTGTTTTTTTTAAGTTTTTAAAAATTGTTTTAAATTTTCTTTTTGTTTTTTAGAGACAGGGTCTTGTTCTGTCACCCAGGCTGGAGTGCAGTAGTATGATCATAGTTCACTGTAAACTTGAACTCCTGGGCTCAAGTGATCTGCCCACTTCTGCCTCCTGAAGTGCTGGGATTACAAGCCTAAAGCCACTGTGCCTGGCCTTGAACACCTGTCTTAAGAGAAATCTATTTCTTTCAGATGACATCCAATTCTAAGAGGAAGGACTTGTAGCGAAGCTTAGAATTTGCCCACCATCTAGTGACTCTTTTTGTTTGGATTTGGCTAAAGTTTATTTGGAAATACAGAAGGCATAACTTGCTTTGGTAGGGCCAGCCTCTCAGTCAGCCATCATTCAGCTAATCAGACATCTGGATTAAGCAGTATGGCTTTCTCTTCCATTCTGCAAGGACAGCCAGTTCAAGTTAAGGAGCAGCTTTCTAAAACTCCATGTCCTGACTCCTGCCCCAGTCTTGAAAGTGGGCTGTCGCCTTAATGCTGGCTTGAAGCACAGCAGAATCCAGAGTCAGCCCCACTCCTGGGAAGCCCTGACTACATCGGGATTGGGGATATCACATGTAGAAGGGGTTTTCCCAGGCTTGAGGTTGACTCGCCATTTCTTTTCATCCAGGCTTTCCGTATTGGCAGAATCTCACATGGTGCCGCAGCCCTCTCTTCTGTTGGATTGGGTCGCTGAGAAGTTGTGGTTAAGATTGCCCCAGTAAAGCCAGCAGAGTAGAGGACCCCTGGCCTAATGCTGTCCTTCCCCTGCCCCTCTGTGGCACCAGATGGGGATTATTTCCTCCACTTTACCAGCGAGGACGTTATCAGGAGGGCCTTCCTCGTGTGCTTCCTGAATTTGTTTTCCTGAAAGTAAAAGTGATATCTGCTTCCTCTGATTTCACACACAAGCAACAAACTGGTTCCTCAAACCTCTTTCCAGGGATTTCTTTGAGAGACAGAACAAAGCCAGGAGGAGCATGGGGCTGACAGACGGAGAGCCCTGGGTGTCCTATAGCTATCCAGGCTACGTCGCAGTCTGGACCCCACAGCCCTGGCGCCGGGACCCTCTACCTGCACATACCTGACCAGGTCCTCTCCCCATTCAGCCTTCAGCTTAAGCACCACTTCCTGGAAAGCCTTTCTGCAGCCTCCATGCCAAAGGAGGACCCTCGTGGTACCCTATTCTGCTTCTTTAAGGCTCTTCACAGAGTTTATTATACATCAGTTGCATGATTATTTGACTAATGTTTGGCTGCCTACAAGCTCTGTGAGGGCAAGGCCTGCAGGGCTTGTAGTCACCACCGTATTCCCATCTCTAGCACGCAAGCATGGCTCATGGCCTGTAGAGCTTAGCTCAGTAAATAGTCTTTGAGTGAAATGAAGGTATTGGGTTAGGTGATCCCAAAGTCCTCTTCCTGTCATGGCAAACTCTGAGTCCACCTATGAGAAACTTGTACCCACCAACCCCCTAAACCCAAACTTCTCTTTTCCTAGTTCAGTGATTCTCAGCACTGTCTTCTGATGAATTCTGTCATCAAGCCTCCTTGATCGTTTTCATACTTTCCTAAGGCTTGGCTGGAATCTTTGAGTTTGAATAATTGGGAATGTGAAATGTTCATGCCTAAACACCAACAGAAAAGCAGAGCGTCAATGTGGAATCCAAACAATGGAATCTAACGTTGGCAATGATCTCCAATTCTAGGGTCTTCAACAGTTTCTCCCTGTGCCCTCCCATCTCATGTGAAATGACTCAAAATATGAATTCAAAAGAGGGAAGTATGGGTTGAAGATTACATGAAAAGAATAGAGTCCTTAAGAGGAGCCTTGAATCAGGCACATTACCTTCCAGCCCCAGGAAGTTCTCATTTTCCTCTGCTCATAAAGGCATTTTCATACTCTTTTGTGATAGTATCTCTGGGGCCCTGAGCAGAACACTTCATCCCAAAAGTAGGGCTTGGTGAGATGCTGTTTTATAAAGCAAAAGAGGATGTGATCTGTTGTCAGCCCTCGTCAGTCATGGTGGACAATATGGACCAGGTAATGGAAGCACCAACTTTGGCCAATCTGGGCATCTCCAGGCTAACCTCAAAACCACCGTAGAGAAAGGTGCCAGACATTGCTTTCTGCAATGGACGGCTTCTCTTGACTTTTTAAGGAGAAACAGTGTGATTTATAGATGCAGGTCCTCTAAGCCTTTCCTAACCGGAATTGTCAAGTTGCACCCCAGAGGGAATGCGGGCAGCACTGTAAGAGGAAGAAAGGAAATCCATGTCTGCCGGCTAAACTCCATCCTCCCCTTTTCCCGAGCCCAGCACTGAATGATGCCACTGCCCAAGGCCCCATCTCCCTGGAAGGTCTTCCTGGTACCTTGAGAGTCTTTCCACCCGCCAAGAGGCAGTCACTTGACATGAACTCCAAACTAGCGAGACTGAATTTCTAGGTTATGTGCTGTTTGATCTTTGCATGGAACCGTATGTTCCAAATTTTCCAGTAGAGCTCTCCTGTCACATACTCAGTCCTATTGGTCCCATAAGTACACATGTGTTTGTCAGATCTTACCCTGATGTAGGGCTAGAAAAACAGGCTCATCACATGCGTGGGCCAATAGTGATCTTGTGTTCACAGAACGTTTGTCAGCAGTTGCTTCACCAGGCTTGTCTAGGGCCCATTTTCTTTCACCAACATGAGCAGCCAGCCCTGAAGAAGGCCCGACACTCGCTTATCAGCGGTGAGCATGGCCTATCTGAGAACACTTGGGTGGAGAAATGTCGTGTATTTTCCAAATTAGAACTTGAGTTGGAGGAGCTGTTTCTGGGGCAGCTGTGAGCCAATCCCAAGAAGCTGTTAAACATCCAGGCCCTGAGAGCCAAACTCTACATGGCAGGGTAGAGAGGAGGATGTCTGGCCGCACGCCTTCACAAGCCAGCCTGGCTCTGCCACCCCAGGCAGGCCGCGAGGAAAGCAGATGGAAGCGAGAGCCTTTCCTGGACCAGCCTTGGAAACATCTGGGCTCTCCTGGAAGCAGGGACTCCACTAGACTCCCCCGCCTTCCCAGCAGATGCTGCAAGCACGTGTCACTGCTTTATAGACTCAGGTCGTGGAGGCTGAGAGCTGCTGTCTAAGCGTGTGGGGGGCATTTGCACAGTCGTGAAGCCATGGGCTAGGAGCCAGACCACCTGGCACTGAGCCCTGTGCCACCACTTCCCAGCTGTGCGACCCTGGGTAGATCACTCCACTGCTCTGGACCCACTCTTCTCATCAGAAACATATGGTTACAAATAGTGCCTACTTCCTAGGTTGTTGCCGGGAGGAGATGGAATGATCCAATAGAGTGCTGAGGGCTGCTGTCGCCCATGGCAAGTCTTCAGAACGCGCTCATCAAGTTGGAGGGCCTTTGGTGTTCCAGGGCAGTCCTTCACCCAGTGACAGAATCCCCAGTCAGGCACTTCCTCAAGTCACTGCTTGGATACCTCTGAGGATGGGGAATCACTACCTCTTAAAGCACCCTATTCCACCTTCAGATAAGCCTGTTTCTCGGACAGATAAGTGTTTATCTGTGCTGAACCTAAGTCTTTCCCGGACACTTCGCAGTTGGTCGTAGTTCCATCCTGTGGTCAGACAGAACTCATCTAACCCCTCTTCCTCAAATAGCAGTTGAGATCCTCTGAAAATCACTGACGTTACCCTCCTGCCTGTGCCTTTTCACCATTCCTGACAAAACACCTTCAATTTCTTCTAATGATTATTGAATGATGTTATTTCCAATTCTTTCATTCTTGTGGTTTCTGTCTTCTGAAGGCACCCCGTGCTCACGCACGTGACTTGGCTCCATGTGCATGGAGTCCCTCCCCACGTGCCTGAGACACAAAGATAAGAAGATGTGATGAGACTCAAGGAGCTCTCAGCGAGGCAGGGAATGGCTTTCCAGGCAGGGGAGCCGCGTGCGCTGGGATTGGAGGCACGAAGCCAGAGAACTGCGGGGTGTATTGCTCAAGCCTAGGGTAAAAACTGGGAGTCATTTGAGACCAAACTGGGGAAGGAGGCAGGTTAGTTTACCTGCAGGTGACAGGGAGTCACTGGGTGACTTTCAGCTACAAAGTGACATGTTCCAGTGTGTACTTTAGGAAGAGCATTTTAAGTGTAGCTTGAAGACTGGGCAACACTGGAACCCGGGAGACCAGTTGACAAAATGACGAGCACCAAGGGGACAGAGAGGAGGAAAACGAGTCATGGATGGAAAAGCTAACAGTGGCTCTTCTCCTGGGGGCAGGACAATGAGTCATTGCTTTTTTCTTCTTCCCTGTGTTCTGCAATTTCTCTATAATAAGTATTTTCTGTTTTCTCTATAATTAGCATGTATTATTTATACAGTAAGAAAAATGTATTCATGTCTAAAGATACTTTTAAACCAAACCAGCAGGACTTGGTTACTGAGTGGAAGAAGGAGCCTAGGAGATCAGTTTTCTGGTCTGGGTGCTCAGGTGAGTGGCGTGACCCCCAGCCTGGACGGGGATGTGAGGAACAGGGCATTTGGCAGGAATTCTTATGGCATCTCTGACAGCTGAAATGACGCCCACAAGCTGCTTTCACTCCACTTGGCCTCTCTCCAGCCTGTTCAGTGGCCTCTGTCCCCTGCAGGCCCTGAAACTCACCTGTCCCTTAGACACCTATCTGGAAAGCAGGTGTCTGTGCAGCAATACTCACCAGCGCTCCAGGACAGCAGTAGCATTTATTTAGATGATAAGTTTTGTCACTCCTTCAGTAAATATTTACTGAGTGCCCACATATGCTCAGCACCAAGCCAGGCCTTAGC
The DNA here is from genome assembly GCF_000001405.40 of Homo sapiens. NCBI lineage: Eukaryota > Metazoa > Chordata > Mammalia > Primates > Hominidae > Homo > Homo sapiens. The sequence goes on from NW_018654718.1 coordinate 832,149, forward strand.
AACAAAATGGAAAAGAACAGGCACAGTCCCTCTCACAAAACTCAGCCTAATGTGAGAGACAGATATAAATGTTTTAAAATCCCGTTAAGGAACATAACATTTCAAACTGAGGTGCACTCTCCAGAGGATAGAAAATAGTTCCAAGAAGACATAAAGGAAACGTTTCTGGTCTGGGAGTTGCGTGATGATCCCTGGGGAAACAGATGCTTGGGCTGAGAGTGAAGGATAAGTGGGAGGGAAGTGGGGAAAAGCATTCCAGGTTGAGGGAACAGCATATGTGGTGGCCCTGTGGTGGGAGGAACAGTAGCATATTCAACTCTCTAAAAGAAGAGCTGTTTTACTGGAGTGGGTTGGGGAGAGGCAGTGGGTGGAGAGGTGGGTGTAGCCAGACCCGACAGGGCCCTGTAGGGCACAGGAAGGATCTTGTCTTCATCCTAAGAGCAGAGGAAGGCATTCAAAGTTCCAGCAGGCCTGAGGCAGCCTGCTGAGCAGCCCTCCAGCTGTGGCCTGGAGGGGAGCCTCCCGATGGGTGTCCCTTTATGTCCCACACCCACCGTTCTCTTGCCATTGGAGGCGGTGGCACTGAGGCCCGTCGAGACACCCCTTCATGCCTGGGTAGCCCAGATTTGGGGTTCCCACCACCTCGAGTAGCACTTGGAAGACGTCCCCCACCCCCCACCCCCAGCAGATGCCCTGAAAGCCGCTTTGCAGTTCAGTTTTCAACTTTCTTCGCGGCTCTGCATACTCCAACACTAATGTGTATACAACTTGCTAATTAATGGAATCATTTCAATCTGAAAACATCTTGTTCTAATGGGAGGCTGCAAGCACTCTTATTAATTCACAGGTAAAATCATTCCAGCTTTTCTCTTCTTTCTTTTTTTTTTTTTATCTTCCCAGCTTGGCTTAATAGCTGGGAAGAATCATTCTAATCAGCCTTGCGAGAATCACATCACCAGAATGAAAAGCACCAACAACGGCCTTGGGGTTTGGGAAAGGGGTGACCAGCCTTAGTTTACCCAGGGGCAAGCGCGGTGGATGAATGTGAGGGTGAGATGCCCCACACAGAAGGTAAAGACACAAAAAGTGACCTGTGTAGTGCGACTTGGAGGGGGGTTTCCTGTCCTGTGTGTCAGAGGTGGCACTCAGGGTGACTTTCTGCACCACTGGCTCTGCTGGAGGGAAGGAGGAGCTGCCTCCACATTCTCACCTGGCATGTGAGACTCACTGCACTCACCTGGGCAGGAATCTCACACGTGACTTTCTCGGGGCTGGGTGTCATCTGGGGGTGACTTGCTGATAACCACCTTCCTGTCATTTGCAAATGATTTGCAGTGTCCCTTTAAATGAATGCCATCCCCAGTGTGTTATTTCTGGTATAACCGAGCTTAGTAAGGGGGGCCTTCTCCCCATAGACCGCGGTGCAAGCCCCAGACCTCACCGACAACACCCATGTCCCCAGGCGGGCTTTTCCTTTACTCTTTTTTACCAGAGGGATCTGGGTGCTTTTTAGAGTTTCTTTTCTTGTGGTAATAAGAACATAACAAAATTGATCATTTCAATGATTTTCAAGTGTACATTCAGTGGCACTAAGTATCTTCACACTGTTGTACAACTGTCATCACCATCCAGCTCTGGGACTTTTTCCAATCCCACCATGGGAAAAACCTCGAGGATAAATGAGTCCCTGCAGGGCCGTCTTGAGTCCACATGAGCTCTCACTGTCCTGAGATGCTGCTCTAGGAGAAAAAGATGCTCAGTTGTCTGTAAGATGGGGTATTACACAATTTGACAGTTATGGATGGAAACAACATGTTCTTCCCCTTGGAAGTACAGCAGCTGCCAGTCCTTTGCTTTGGATGAGTCTCCAAGACAGATTTGGAGTGAGGCCAACCTGGATTTAGACCCCTGCACCATCAGTCCTTGGCGTGTGGCTCTGAGCCTCAGTCTTCTCATCTAAACAACAGGGCTGGCAGTTCCTTCCTTGCAGAGTTGCTGGAAGATTGCATGAGATGGCGTCAGCACGGTACCGCGGTGATGCTTGGTTCAGTGAGTGGCTCTGTCCCCGCAGGTCTCCAGGTGGTCCTGAATTCCATCATCAAGGCCATGGTCCCCCTGCTGCACATCGCCCTGCTTGTGCTGTTTGTCATCATCATCTACGCCATCATCGGCTTGGAGCTCTTCATGGGGAAGATGCACAAGACCTGCTACAACCAGGAGGGCATAGCAGGTAAGAGGGGCAGGCGGCTGCGCTCCCAAGGCCCTGCCCTCTATCGCTCCCAGCACCTTTCCCGCTGCTGGCTACACCAACATGACCAGCAGAGCCCAGGGAAGGCCCCATTCATTCAGACACACACTGGGCATGGTTAAGTGAGAGGCAGAGACCCGTATCCTTTTTTTCTCAGTTCCAATTTTTGTTTTAATCTCTGTTAAACCGGCCTAACGCAAACTTCGTTCAGCACTTTTCAATAAGCTACACAATTTGAGAAACATTTGAATAACTTAGAACCTATCTTTTGTCAATCTACGACTTTTCAAGCCAACCCTGAGTATTTTAAGAATCAGAGCTGACCTGGGGTCGTCAGTCTCTGCTCCTTCCATGCTTCAGTGTGGTTGGCCATTGGGAGCCCTTTCACGGGGCCGCTTAGCCCTGAGCAACAGGTTCTCCCAGCACCACTCTAAGATTTTTCTACCTTCATGGTGCTGATTCCAGATCCTCTGTAATTATTGTTTCTGCTTCTCCATTCACAGGCAGATGCCCCAGAGCCCCTATTCCAGGTGGGGGAGGAGGGCAGGTGGGAATCACCCCCTTGCCGGCAGCCAAACTTCCTCCCTTCAAGGAGAAGGCTTAGTTCTACCCCATGACTCCCAGTCCCTTCCTTTTTGAGCCTTCCCACTTCACGTTCCTTCCATAAATCAATATATTTAACAGCAATGCTGGCTCATTAGGCGCTTCCCTGCGTGGCACTGGAGTTTTGGCTTGCAGGATATGCTGCAAGCTGCTGCTAAAGCTACTAACATCGCAGCTTGGCCTTTTAAAGAAACATTTAAACAGAAATTGACAAGGCTTTTAAACAGACATATACAGTGGCTTAACACAAAGAACTTGTTGAAAAAATAACACCCACCCCAAAGGGGCTAGCTGTGTTAAATATATATGATTTTTTTCACACAGCAAGATCCATCATCTTAGTTTTTAGCATCTTGGTGGAAAAAGGGGAGCATCATCTGCCGGAAACAGTGAAGGATACCTAATTTTCTCCATCGACACTGCACCTCATTCCCACTCAGTCCCAGCACTCAGTTAAATGGGACCTCTCGCTTCATTGGGGTGAGGAGGGATAGCTTCCAAACAACAGGGAGTGAAATTCGTAGCAGAAACCAAAACAGAATACTTTCTATGTATGATCTAGTATGACCGGATGGATTAACTGCATATTTGAGGGCATTTCTAGTTTATTTCTACATAGCCACAGTCCTAAAAACAAAACAAAACAAAAAACCACACACACAAAACGTATACTCCTATAGACACAGAATCACACAAATGTTTTCACTTTTTGGATGGAAGTCTGTTTAACAGGAGACTGTTTTTTCACTCTAGAGAGAATTTCCAAATTACTTGGGTCATAATTGTATAAAATAAACTATCCTGTTTTCAAAAATGGAATCCTTGTTAAGTTGGAAGAAGCAGGTCTTGCCTGTAGCTAAAATTCTGAGACTTTTTAGCCTTGCTTAAAGAAATGCGAAACCATATATGAATAATATTTTCCCCTTTAATTAAAATCCTTCCTTTTATTCAGGTTGATTTATAGCTAGCTCAGAACCAATAAATTTATATGAATTGTGTGGCCCTGTGAGAGCTCATTTTAAGACTCCTTAAAAACTGACTGTGGTATGTCTGAAGTTCATGCAGTTGTATTGAAATTATCAATGACCCATTTGACCCAAACTCCTCAGGAAGTCTCAGACATGTGGAGTCTCAAAGATTCCCCATCAGTTCAGCAGTGAATGATGGTGAGGCCCTCACTAACAAAATGGGGGAGAGCGAAATGGTAGAATTCAGCCATCGAGCCAAAGATGGCGGCCCTGCTGTGCAATCAGAGGTCTGTGCACCACAGAGTAAGGAGAGGGGCTCCAAAGCTGCAGGCAATTTCCATCATCCTAACGAGAAAGCAGTCCAAGAGTGTTTTCTGCCGGTGGTGGGCTCCTGCAAGGGCGGGTGAGGATAAGCGGCCCTGAATACTGGTTGGAAGCCCAAGGCTTTGTTACCAGGCCTCAGAGGCCCTGGATAGTCAGAAAATGGTGAGCATGGTAGACAAAGAAAGCATGGCACGGGGAGGGAGCCGTCCTGAAGGCCATAGCCGTAGGGCCCAGTGAAGAGGTCGCCCCAACGCCCCAAGTACCGAACCTGTCATGGCCTCCTCTTCTCTTAGGACAAAGATAAGACTTGGCCTCCCCAATTGGAATGGCCAATTTAGGATCACATTGTCCACCCTTGATAGTAAACAGGACCAGGAAAAGTGCCTGAGAAGTTGCCTCCTACCAAGAGACTCATCAGATTGTTTATGTGATGGGTTTATCTTTGCCTGCAAGTTCAGAAGAGAAGTAGGCTCCCATCACAGAAATGGCCATGAGCCAAGGGGGCCAGGACAACAGCAGAAGTGCTCCAGAGAGAAGGGCCCTGCCAGGCTCCATGAGAAGGTGGCCTCACTCATTCGCTGGAGTCAGAGTCCCTGCTGGGAAGAGGGGCCCAGGACACAGCTGCAGAAGCCTGTCCTCTCAAATACTCTGCAATCAGGAGCTTGCTGTCCCTTCGTTCCCAAACCTGCCGTCTGATCACAAGCCAGGACCCACTCTGTCACTCTTAGCACAACACGATGCCGCTGCTATCAAGCCCTTGTCCACCCACAGAGTGGGCAGTGCAGACAAGGAGGGAAAATACGCGAGAACCCAGACATGTCTGTGCAGCCGTGGAGTAGAAGACCAAATACTTGCAGGCTTTGAAACCAACCCCTGAGTGTTTTGGAGAGTTTTATATAAACTTTGGAATGGGTGGTTTAATTTTTTTCTTTCTTTCTTTCTTTCTTTTTTTAAAATTTCAGACTTTGGATTGAATTACCCTATTTTCCGCAAATTTAGATTACACAAAAGTGCTTTGTGAGCCTTTGTTGTAATTTTTGATGAGATTTACATCAAATTCTTTTTATAGTCCAATATTATTTCACAGACTGTGAATTTTATGTATCTCTAGATTTCAAAATACGTTTGATTTTGAGCCATGTTTCCAATAAAATCCATAAAGAAAGTTATGGAATTGTCCAGGTGAGCCATGTTCTACCTCTAGACTGCCCTTCCAGGGAGCAGCCCCGGTGAAGGCGGTCTCAGAAGAGGCGGCGTTTCCCTAATCCCGGAGGCATCTGCAAGGCGCCTTCTCAGCTCCTCAACAGACACATCACCATATGCCGATACCTTTTGTTTCCGGTTGTCCCATCTGTTTGATGGTGCACTGAGCCAGGTCACTCTGAATAGCTTCCCAATCACAGTAATTACCCCTGAGACTGGCACAGAGCTGGTTGGCTAAAACCTAGAAATGAAATCATCTTCATTCTATTTACTCCTTAAAGTTGAGTTTTAAAAAAGTAATTGATTTTTGTCTTCAGTGATTTCTCCTTGGAATCACTAACTGGAGCTCTCCCAGGATTGCATGTTTGTGTTGGTATTAACTGCGTTTCTAACTCTCTCCTAATCGTCACCTCCATTATTTTACCGAAAACTTAATTTGGACTTTCCAGAATGACTCTACCTCTCTTCATTTCTGTCTTAAAATGTAGAACCTGCATTGCTTTGTTTCTGTCTCCCACTTCATGTTCCCACTTTCCTCCCCAGGACTTCATGACTCTGCAAAAGAAAACTAACACATTTTTACATTTAAGCAAATTTCTCCTCACCCTAGAGTGTGTGTTGCTAGGACCTGCTGATTTGTGTGTGTTCACATTTTTTCAAGTGTTCGCTTTAGCGCTTTTTATAGATACCTATTTTTACCAGATCATCACTGCTTCTTAATTGTTCTCAAATCTTTTTCATTATTGTTCAAATCGGATTTTAAATAGCAGAGTGGCACTAAACCTTTAGATAATGTTTCTGAATCTCATCCCTTTCTCTCTTATTAGTGAGATCACTTCCCCTTGATGCCATTTTCTTTTTCGCAGATATTCGTAAAATCCCCAGAGATGTTTTCCTTTCTCGAGGACACTCAGAATTCCCTTTGGCAGCCTTCTCCTCTTCCCTGTTTGTGATGTTTCAGGAACTGAGAGTGCAGGGAATGCTGTCAGATGAGTGGTCCCAATGTAAAGATTAACTTCATCTTTATTCTGCGAAAAAGCAAAACATGAGAAAAAGATGCAAGAAAAAGATGCAAGCTTCCCCTTCACTTTTTCACCCTTTCTCTTTGTCCCGTCTCTGCTGTCATTCCAGTACTTTTATCACAGTGACTGAACACATCTCCCTAGAAAGCTATGACTAGAATGGGTGACAACCCAACATAATTAATGATCTAATTGGCTCTTGGTTTTCCAGTCTCTCAGCTCCCAAATTTTTCGGTGCTTATTATCCACTTTTTCATGTATTATTTAGGCTTAGGATTTACATTTTAGCCTCCCCCTTTTTTGTAGCATCACATCCAAATCTCTAAAGATTTCACATTTTTAAAAGTCATAAAAAGTTGTAGTTAGAGGACTGCTTGTTTCAGCTGCGTTAATGGAGCCCTCCTGGGAGCTGGACCCTGAAATAAGGAAATGGTGTGGATACTGTCTCTCTAGCAGTTCAGGGACCAGCAGTGCAGACCTTTGCACCTTGATCAACGAACACAGGACTCACACACAACTTTAAGCACTGGCCCAAGAATAAGCCAGGAAGCAGCATTATTCATAATAGCCCAAACCTGGAAATAATCCAGACGTCCATCAGCTGGTGAATGGATAAACATACAATGAAATACACTGCTCAGCAATAAAGAGGAACAGAGCCTACTGATATATGCAGCAGCACGGATGAAACTCAAAACATTATGCTAAGTGAAAGAAGATGGACATAAAAAGCCTCATAGTGTGTGATTCCATTTATATGAAATTTCTAGAGGAGGCAAAGCAATGGAGACACAAAGCAGATCAGGTTGCCAGGGACTGGGGATGGGAGGAAGGATTGACTGCAAGCAGGCGAGGGGGGTTTCAGGGAGTGATGGCCGTGCTTTAAAATGGATTGTGGTTATGGCTGCATGACTATATAAACTTACTAAAAATAATTAAGATGTACATTTACATTGATAAATTCTGAGGCATGTAAATTATAAGTCAATAAAGCTGATGGGGTCAGTGGGAGAGAAAGAGAGGAGAGGAGAAGAAGGAGGAGGAGGAAAAGGAGGAGGAGGAGGAAATGACAGAGGAGGAAGAGGAAATGAAATTGACAGAGAACAAGGAGGAGGAGGAGGCCACAAAGATGACCACGAAGGTGATGATGACAATGAAGAGGAGGAGGCATGTAAATTATAAGTCAATAAAGCTGATGGGGTCAGTGGGAGAGAAAGAGAGGAGAGGAGAAGAAGGAGGAGGAGGAGGAGGAAGAGGAGGAGGAGGAGGAGCTGCCACTGCTGCTGGGAAGACACAATCGGGCATATATTTTCAAGTAGACTCTATTCTCCTAAGAATTATCTCTTACTTAAGGATTAATATTTCTCTTCTGGTCTTCCTCTTGGGAGTGAACAGTTTCAGATTTAAAGCCACCGACTGAGAATCAGCCCACCGGCCAGTCCTGTTCAATGCACAGCCTAACGTAGGCAAAGTAATCACACTTACGATTGTTTTGATATATATGAAACCAGAAAATAATCCTGGGTTATCTGTTGTCTCTAAATGAAGAACTATAAGCAAATTCTCTCTCTCTCTCTCTCTCTCTCTCTCTCTCTCTTTGGAAGTGTATTTTCATTGTTATAGGCAATCATTTATTTGTTGGAACTGGGGTCTCTTCTGTCTGTTATTGTCATTACTTTGTCTAAGGACAGGACAATGTCCTTGATTTCACAAACTTTTGTGAATTCCACACCGTTACCTTCCATAGCCAGAGCCAAGACTTTCTCAGTGTTTTCCCATAATGGAAATTCTTAGATCAGTCAGGTCTTGTTTAAATTTACCATCAATCTCCACACTCAAAATATAAGTCACATCTTCATTCATTAATTTGCTGGGAGCTATTCCCAGCACGTGAAATTAGTCCAACTGCTGCATTTAGCCACAGACACTGTGTTCTACTGTTTCCTGACAAAGCCCCGTCCGTACTGAGGAAGCACACTCCCTATTATTCACTGCCGCTCTATCTTGATAGAGGTCAGAAAATGATTCTTCTCTTCTGAAAAGTATTCATGCTGCAGAGCAAAGGGCAGAGCTGTGAAGTCCCACATGACATGCATGAAATACAGTCAGTAGCGTGTACTCACAGGCTGTAAGGAAAACGGCTGCAGGTGATCCCTCTCCCCGGCAGTCAGAGTCCGTTTTCCGTCTTTCGCCTATGTAAGGCTTCACTGTAAAGTGACTTGCGTCCCTGGCAATGTATCCTCTAATACATAGTGGACCCATATAGTTAGAAAGCTTTATTGGATGGGATCGGTTGGCTAACTATGTGAAGGAGTCTTTGCATTGGTATTGTCCTTACCCTAAATTCTGGTATTCCAATACAAGTGTCTATAGAACTCTACCACCAGAAAAAGAAAATATGGACTTCTAATCGCTTTCTGGGTCAGTTTCCACTTGCAGTGGTGGCATCATCATTATTTTTTGATTGGCCATTTGATTTTGAGGCTGACATGTTGCAGCAGAATGGGCAATAGAAATCAATTACTAAGATTAAAATACAGCTTTTACAACAGTGAGTGGAAAGGACTGACCTTCTAAATTAACAGCAGCCTAAATGGAAAGCCTACTTTCTTGTGTTGCTTAATTCACATCTGGGGACCTGATTTAAACATGTCTTGCGCTGTTGTTGCCATGGTTGCTTTGCCCATCCCATCAACCTCATCCTGTCACTTTTCTCTCTGACTTCTTTCTCTGCCCACATCTCTCCCTCCCTGCTGCTCCCGTCTCCTGTCTTCTTCTGGCCATTTGAGATGTTCCAGCAGAAGATGACCCTTCCCCTTGTGCGCTGGAAACGGGCCACGGGCGGCAGTGCCAGAACGGCACGGTGTGCAAGCCCGGCTGGGATGGTCCCAAGCACGGCATCACCAACTTTGACAACTTTGCCTTCGCCATGCTCACGGTGTTCCAGTGCATCACCATGGAGGGCTGGACGGACGTGCTGTACTGGGTACGTAGCATGAGTGGGCAGTCAGAGGGTGGGGGAACAGCGGCCGTGAACCCTTCCCTGACACCTCCCTTTCTCCTCCTCCCCATGGTCTTGGGGTCACATACGCATCTTGATGGAATGGTTGATGAAGAGCGTCTTTGATTTCTTCCAGGTCTTGCCTGAGAAACAAGGCATGAGCTTTTCACCCTAACGAGTCCCCTCCCCCACCCGCCAGCCTTAGGGGAAGGTCATTTTTCCAGTGCGTCCCACAGTGCAAAACCCTGGTGTGCAGGCATGGATGAGCTGGCCAGGCTGGCACAAGGGTTCCGTTCAACTCCTCCTCCCATGCAGAGTTCCTTCTGCCCTCATCCTTTTCTTGCCTCTTTCCTCAAAAGGGAGCTAGAAGGCAGAATTATGTATTCTTAGGGCAGAAGAGAAGAAGTCCTGATCTTCTAAAAAGAAGTTATATAAAGAAACCATTTTTATTGAATTGTGTAGCATTGTGACATGCTATTCAATTTTTACTTTTTATTTTACTCTTACCTTAACATATTAGAATAGTCCATCAGACAAATGCATTGGCAGCATTTTTACTATTCCCCAAACATGCTGCTGGTCATGTGATGCCTATTTAGAAATACACTTTTTTTTTTTAATTTTTATTTTACTTTAGGTTCTGGGATACATGTGTAGAACGTGCAGGTTTGCTGCATAGGTATACATGAGACATGGTGGTTTGTTGCACCCATCCACCCGTCATCTATTAAGCCCCACATACATTAGGTAGAGAAATACCACTTCTCGAGAGCCACCCAATCAATAGCAAATCTTCGTTTACCTTAAAGTTGCCCCTTTTATTACCCAGTAGCCAACACTACTTTGCTGCGCTTTGAGCCTCTGAAGTGCCAGATTTTTGTACAGCCTACCCCACAGGCAAATCCACACTCCATATTTGAGCTGTCTCGATTCTGGCAAAGTCCATTATTAGGAAAAACTCCAGAAAATTTATTCTTCATAGTGTCTCCAACTTCAGCCTGAGAAATGACTTGCCAGAATCCAGTGTTGTTCTCCAGAATTTGGGCGAATAAAGCATGCTGCCAGTCTTAAAAATACCATCTCCTTCAGAGTTTTGCAAATAGGCAAATTTATTTGGCCATCGTGAAAACAATCTAAGAGCCTGCTCAGGGAACATGTCTACAAACCAAAGCAGGGAAGAGTGAGAGGGGAGCAAATGCTTCCCGTTGAGCAGAGCTGCCAGATCAAAAGGAAATCATGCCAAGAGAGGCGTTGACTTCTTCCTGAATCGGAAGGAAGAGTTTTGTAACTGTACGGAGATTTGGTGCACAGTATTCTGTCATATGATTTCTTTAAAAGCACCATGTCCTGTTGATTCAGAATCCCTCTTTCTCAGTTTTTACATGATAGTCAATATGCCAAACCCCAGTGTTGCTATGACATGTGTCCCTCCCTCTGTAAGTGACAACTTGAAACTTGCCCGAGGACCTTGTACCCAGCAAACATTTCCTGAGTGTCCTTGCCTGCCAGGGGTGCTCCTAGGCTCTGAGGATTCAGTCATAAATAAGATCCAGTCCAGTCCAATTATCTCAGTCTAGGAAGCCAACTAAACTCTAAACTGAGTAATGGCAGTATGGCTGGACCCATGCCGCGGCAAAGCTGCTGTGTTGTGATACTTTCAAAAAGAAGACAAAGGTCAGAACCCCTCTGCCTCAAACTAAAATGAAACACTGGAAAACATTTCTGAGATTCATGCTCAATAAGACCTTGGTTTTGAATAATTTGTAAGACAGAAGGAATTGAACTTATTACACTTAGGGAAACTTATTTTGTTTAGCAAAGCAGACAAAATTCCCAAGTGGACCTAGCTGGTCCTTCTTCCTGGGGTGGGTCCCTCTGACCAGCCAAGGACAGAAACATCCTTCTGCCAACAGGCAGTTTCTGCCTACAGGCCACATAGGATAAATGATTGTGTGGGACTGTGCTTTGGGGCCTCATCCCATAAGCTTCAGGCCCATGCATTCCATGGCATCAAACTGAGGGCAGGTGGCAGTGGAGGGTGGGTGGAGGGTAGGAATAGATATGACTGCCTTTGCTGATGTATTTTTGTGTTCTTCCTTCACCACTCCCTTCTTCTCCCACCACCACAAGTCATTGATGCCCCACCAGCCAGATGTGATCCAAAGAAATACTGTCATAATGACAGCCGGGGCGGGGAGCAGAAGCAGCAACAACTGCAACCACCAATTTTCAGCAGCTGTGTTGTGCCTTCTCCCCTGGGGAGCGTGTGATAGTGCTCAGGCTGGGAATGGAAACAGTGTCAGAGGTGAAGAAACAATCCCAGGCTCATGGGACATGCCTCTCTCTGATTTTCCCAGCACCTTCCCAAAATGGCCATGTTGTGTGTGTGTGCATTTGTATGTGTGTGCACGCCTGCAAGTGTGTATACACACACGTGCACATACACACACCTAAAACTGAAACTTGGGTATTCATGATAGAAGCCCTGCCTAGCCCAGTGCTCCTGCTTTCAATTTCTCTAATTGCTTTGACCTTTCTACGGCTGTTTCTTCCTTCTTCCTCCCTCTCCCTCTTCCTTTCTCTCCAGTGTCCCTCCTCCTTAGCTTCTAGGCCAGTATCTCTAAAGCACAGACTCTCAAATCTCAAAATGTTCTAGCATCAAACATAGAGCTTTGTAAATATAAAAATACCCAAACCTCCCTCAGAGCCATTGAATTAGAAGCTCTAAAGTCGGGGCCCCAGTATCTGCATTTTGAAAAAGCTCTCCAGGTGATTCTGATTTCCAGGCTGGAGTTTGAAAACGCTGGAAATCTAACCTGTTGAACCTCATGGTGCTGGTATGATGCTGCTGGCTTTGAACCCTTCTAAGGAGATAGTTTCCACAGGGAGGAGGGGGAAATAAGGCCTTTCACTCAGAAGAATGAATTGTCCTTCAGGCACAAGGGCAAGTCTAAAGGACTTGAGAAGGAGCAGCCAAGATTTTCAAATATAGTAATGCATGGAAACCCCAGAGCTCCATTCATTCTAAATCACCAAACAGCTGGAAAAGAGTAAGTCACTAAAGCATCAAAGAAGCGATTGGTCAGCCGCTGGTTATGGCCTGAGATAGAAGGGATCAGGGAAGGCACCTAGCAGATGGCAGCACTTGCTTCCAGTTGTGGATGATACAGTATCTTTCTCTTTTCCTCTAACATCCGTTATTGCATTCCATTGTTAGATTTTAAAGAGTGGACTAAAAATAAAATCAGACTTGGTCGAGTAATACTTGAACATTGCTTCAGCTATGAAAGCCATTGGCCATGCATTGCATTGAGGCTCCAACAAGCCGAGCAATTTGCTGAAAACATTTCTTCTACCTAATATCCTGTTTGAGGAGTGTGCAGATGACAGAATAAGGAAGGGTGGATACCGGGGATTTGGAAATGAAACAAAACTCGGGTTTGGTGTATAGTTTCCTTAGGAAATTACTTCTTAAGCCAAAGGCTCATCCTTTACTCTCAGAATGTCCAAGACTCTTAAAAACAGATGGGTAGGTGTGGGGAGTGTGATCAGATAAAAAGCGCTGGCCTTCTTCAGAGGCAGTGAAGCACCAAGGAGGGAAGAACCTAATGTGTAACGTTACCATTGTTTTCCATTCTTAGTTTCACGTTTTGTTTTTTTCAAAAATCTAAACATCCCTAGCCTTTTGCACATCATTCAAGGCTGCTTGTCTCCCATGGTCTACGCATGAGCCATCTCAAAGATGTAAAGTCTGCTGGGTCAGCCTCCTTTGCAGGACCTTGTCGATAGGATTCATAGGCATGCTCTGAGAATTCCAGTTGGTTTGAAACTCTGAGCATGACCTCTTACACACTGTGGGCAGTCACAATCAGGTAACAGAAATATCCATCAATTAAACATCTTTTCAGTGCTGACTTTGTGTTCAGCACTTGAGATGAGGCCCCTGCTCATGGGAAACAGAATGACATGGCCACTGATAGGGGTTGGGGACACACGCAGAACGTTGCAGGTGAGAATTGTGGAAGGGGGGCAGCAGCTAGACTAGGCATCACACTAGAGGATGTGTTTCTAGCTCTTTAGGAATCTCAATGCCTGGATAATTCATCAGGAGCATTCTGTTGACTTCTGTCCACCCCATGCCCTTCTGGGATCCCCAAGAATGTTGCACACTGTGAACCACAGTAAAGAGCCTCTGGCCCGCGTTATCCTGGGTTCATGCCCCTTCCCATCCTATTGGGACCACCCTCTTCCTGACACCACCCATTGCCCCTGCATTAGTTTCTCCGTGATCAGTTCTTCGACTGATTTTTTTTTACAAGTTAAAAATTAAACTTAAAAATTAGGTTATAAAAAATACTTAATGAGAAATCATCTAAAAGAAAGATTTTTTTAGAGTCACAAATAGTGTGTTCTCTAGAACCTGGAATTTGTTTTGGTTCAGCCAACAGGAGACTCTTGGAACAAAAATCTAATGAGTTAACTTTTCATAAGTCACTTGTCAGCTCCACCCTTCATCTTGCCATCCCACTATGTGTCTGGATGTGCGGAGAAGGTATTTCTATTAAATTCACACACACACACACACACACACACACACACACAACAGCTATTAATCTCTTGGTATTGGTGCTGCTGAAATATCCCTCGTTTATGACAAAGACCTTTTGCATCCAAGCAGGTTGAATTGGGTGTTTTACCCTATTTTTGTCTACTCCATCTTCACAAAGCCACCTCCTTTCACTGCAGAATATAGAGTTGCTGAAGGCTTCATAAAAGTTAGAGCTGAATTCTGCTGATGACCTAGGAGTCATTCTAAGTGAGGAGCTGAGAAACCCTCAAGTAACCCAGAAACAGTGTCCAGGGCCCTTTCTCAGGTATCGGAGTAGAGACCGTGTTAGGACCTCTGTGGTCCCTGACTTTTCACCTGCCTCCGTGCTACCCCCAGGGTGCACCTGTTGCCTAAAATGGAGAATCCCTGATCTAAACAGTAAACTGGCTGTTCAGAAGCATATCAAGGAAGAGAGTCAGCATCTCTCAAAGCCATTCTTTATTTATTTATTGGGTTTCATTTTATTTATTTTGCTGGTATTAGATGAGTCCTTATGATTCTGTAATTTAATTTAGCAAACATTTATTGAGCATTTGCTGTTTCCTGGGACGAGGGATGTGGGAGCACAGAGAAGAATAAGGCCTGCCCAGGCAGTTCAGGTCTAACTAAAGAGTTGCAGGACATGCGGAGGAACACAGCTGAGCCATGGGGGTCAGTGCCCTCTGTGGGAGCAGGACAGCCCTGAGGGGCACAGAGCACTCCAGGACCAAGTGGGGCTTTACTGGACCAGGAGAGAAGGCTCTTCTGCCTGGGGAAAGCAAGCTTTGTCTCAGTTTGGGAGGCCGCAGAGACCTGGGTTTTAGGTTCTCTCAACATTGCTATGGCTGTCAGCCAGTTGTCTCCTGCACAGGTCTTCACACACTGGGGCCCACTACTCTCTATGACAGCTCCCAACCTCCCACATGATGTCAGCACATGAGTCCATCTGATTCCAGGGAGTTTGAAATGCATGGAGGAGCTTATTTTGTTGGCTTGCCTTGGTGTTAGGAGCTTGTTGTTTTCTTCCCCCATGTAAACTAAGCTTTTACCTGGGCTCTGAGGCACTCCCGGGTTTTCAGCACTCAATAAGCAGGTGCAGGGGTGGGGAGCAGCCAGGTGGAGCCTGTTCCACAACTTCCTGCTCACTTGGTGCTCCGTGAGGTAGCTGCCCGTGTCCCAGCAAGCAAGGTGACATAGATTCTGAAAGCCGCAGGTTGATGGAGCTATTGCCCTGAGCTGACTGGTGTTCACTGGCAGCAGCAGATCCTGTCCCCCAGTGACAGTGTAAAGCACCGTGGCTTTCACAGATTTACACCTCCTGCCTTTCGATGGCAGGTGTCAGCCTCTCTCTCGACATTTGCTGAAACGATTCAGCCTTTTTGGATCCACAGTGCCTGTGCCAAGAACCTTACAGGAAAGGTACACACAGCTTGAGAACCCGTGGAAGTCTGCTGGGCTGGGGAGTTGGCCTCGAGGAGAGGGGCTAGGGAAGCTTATTCCCCTGTTTATCTTTTTGGGGAAAGATAAAAAGTGGACTTGAGGGTTTAAATCTGGGGTTCCCTTCAAGGAATTAGATGCTGGTTGCCGAAAGGTCTTTGATAGTGTTCATTCAATGCTCCCTCCCTTTGTAGTGAGGCTGTTTCAGCCAAGGCAGGGGCCGTCCTGCCAGTACTTGGGCCTGGAGGCCCTCAAGGCTACAGACAATGAGCTGACTTTCCTTAGGAAAGTCAGGAGACCTGAGGAACACGGCTTAATGGCTCTAGAAGACCTATCCCTTATTTCACCTCTAAATAAGGGTGTCAGCAATCTGGGTCATTTTTTTTTTTAAATCTGACTTTATTCTTTGTCTTCTTAATAGCTCCATTTCAGCTGCTTTAGGACATCAATCTCATGACTCCAGGCATCGCCCTACTTCAGAGCCACCCAGCTTTGTGTGCTCTCTACTCAGCTGTCCCCCCAAAGTAGGTGGACCAGAATAAAGAGGAGAAAGTAAGAGGGAAGTGAAAGGAGAACTTTCCTTTCAGACCAGAGCCAGGCAGGCCAGAGAATCACCTTCTGTGGCAGCCGAGCATTGCTCACCCAGGCAGTGGGGTTCTGAGGACCACCCTGGCCTCGTCCGTCTCCATCTCTCATCTGTCCTCCTGCTTCCTGCCCTCGCCTGCTGTTCCCCATCTCGAACCTCTAAAAAACCAGCCCACAGCCCAGGGGGGACCAAAGCAGCAGTGTGGGACGGCGAGGGGGACCCATGAGTTTCCTCTTATGGTCCTGGCTGTCTGTGGGGCCATGACCTTGAGGTCTGTAGCTCCCCCTTTGAAGTCCTTCATATGCTGGAAGCCTCTCACCTTGTGTGTGGCGCAGAAGAAAGGATTCCCAGACTAAGCTCGGGCCTTAGGAAATCTCCAAGGCGCGTGGGTTTGTGTGGCCTCCAAGGCTGCATTTTCTGTGAGGTTAAATGTTCACAAAATTTAAGGGGTGTGAGGAACTAGTGAGGAAAGATTTCATTTTGAGGAAGTTGCCTGGGCGCCATCGAGCCCAACTCCCACTCGCCATCTGCCCAGGCTCCAGAGGCAGCTTTGGGAGGGGAACTGTGGTGAGCACGTCGTGGCCTCCTGGAACTGGCTGCTCCCACGTGTCCTGAAGAAGGTGGGGTCTGTGACCCAGAGAGGAGCAAGGGGAGTTTGCCAAGAACAGACATCCTCTGCCACTCTTGATCCCCTGACGCACACGGGGCAAGCTCCTTTGGGGTCGAACAGAACAGACCAGTTGTTTGGAGTAGGTCAGTACCATGGGGTTCTGCACGCGCTTCAGGGTGCCGGCGTGCCCTCGAGGCTGTCTGCAGGATGCTGTGTGTGTGCAGTGCACATTACTGCTGGTGGGAGTCCATAGTTCTCAAAAGCTTTTCCTGACTGCCCCACCCTCTCAAAAAAGTAAAGCAGGCCGGGGGCAGTGGCTCATGCCTGTAATCCCAGCACTTTGGGAGGCCGAGGTGGGCGGATCACGAGGTCAGGAGATCGAGACCATCCTGGCTAACACGGTGAAACCCCGTCTCTACTTTAAAAAAAAAAAAAAATTAGCCAGGTGTGGTGGCGGGTGCCTGTAGTCCCTGCTACTCGGGAGGCTGAGGCAGGAGAATGGCATGAACCCAGGAGGTGGAGCTTGCTGTGAGCCAAGATCACGCCACTGCACCTCCAGCCTGGGCGACAGAGTGAGACTCCACCTCAAAAAAAAAAAAAAAAAAAAAAAAAGTAAAGCAATACTCATTTAGAGGAAAAGAAAGGGACTGCTTCTGACCCTCCTTAGCAGGACTTACTCTGAGAGAGGAAAAGCTACAAGGACACCCACAGGCTCCCCCTGACCTTGGATCCAGGTTTCCCTCTTCCTCAGCAGGTGCCTGGGACTCCCATTCCAGGGCTGTCTCAACCCCATTGCCTTCCCTGTATCAGAGAGTCCGATACACAACAGAACCCTTACACAAGTAGGCGCTCGGTAAATACTTGTTGAACAAACGTGGACTCTGATGTGACCACTGCTAAGAATAGTCAAAGAATGACCTCACGGTTCCCATCGTCAAATGGGACCTGCAGACCACAGCCCATCGTGGCCAGCACGGCTGTCAGTGTGGCCTGTGGTCAGGCAGCTCATGTGGCTCTCATGCCTTTCTCTCCCTAATCTCATGTCACCAATCCCACCCATCCTGTATTGGCTCGGGTTTGTTTTTCTTCTCCTGGTGCTGAAGTCTGGTGTGGTTTCCTTTGCACTGTTGGTTCAGACAGTTACCTTATCGCTAAAGGAAAGCTCCCAGGCTCCCTGGGATGGGGACAGTGTCTGACACACAAGGACCTTTCACCCCGCCTCTCCTAACAGATGCTCTTTTGCTGGATATTTTAGTAGTTCAGCCACTGGGAGAATCTTTGCAGCCAGGATGGCCTCACAGCCATAGGCTCTATTTTTAACAATTGCCGACTTCTGCAAACCTCCATTGCTATCATAGGACCACATGGACTCTGGGGCTTCCTTCCTGCTCTTTATCTCCGTTGCCTTCAGTGGCTGTGCAGTGCAAGGTTGACACAGGCCTGCTGAGCCTGGCCCTTGCCCCCCTCAGCCTCACGCAGACACTCTTCCACTGGTGGAAGCCTTCTGGGACCCTGCGTGCTTCCTTCTGCAGTTGCAGCTGCCAGCCTGCACTGTAGCTGCCTGGTCATTTCCTGTCTCCCCTCCAGCAAGGATTTCGTGTTTACAGCACAGTACCTAGCACATATCAGGTTCACTCATTCACTCAAAGAGCGTTAGCTGAGGACCTACTATGTGCGAGGCATCGTTGTAGGCACCTGGGGTACACCCGTGAACAAAGCAGGCCAGAACCAACTGTCCTCGGGGAGCTCACATTCTAGCATGGAAGACAAACAGCAAATAATACACGTAATAAATAGGTAATGATACAGTTACCAAGTGAGAAGTGCTCTGGGAAAGCAAACCAGATGTGAGAAAATGGGCATGCTCAGTAAACCCACGTTCAATTGAATTTCACGATGGCATGGCCAAGTGGGCACACACTGGGAATCTTCTTGCCCCAGACACGATATTTGCACTATGCACAATGATTATGTTGGGTGAATTTTCCTAACCAAAATTTAGTAATATCAGATACATCTCAATGGATCTGTAAAGAACATATTGGGATGTAACACTTCATACCAGTCAGACTAGCTAGGTGTCTCGGTACTTCTCAGTCTTTTATTCCCGGCATGCAGAGAACATGTTTATCCAGCGTACTTAGACAAATGCATGTGGCTGCTGAAGCTGCAAAGCCCAAGGGCTGAGGGTATTACTATCCCACCTGCCTGAACTCCTTTGAGGCCCCTGGGTGGAAATCGTGGGGTGGTTATCAAACTTGAGCATAGCCTAGAATCACCTGGGATGGTTAATATGCAGACTGTGGGCCACCCTGAGATCTTGGGGGCATGGGGCAGGAATCTGCTTTGTTCATAACTCTCCCAGATGTTTCTGATGCTGGTGGTCCTTGGACCACACTTTGAGGAACACTGCTATGCAACCTTGTGGAGGTACATGGAGAGCCACACACTTGTGTTGTTACATTTGAAATTGGGAGCTATGGAGAGAACAATGTGATCAGTGGTGCTCAAGCATGCATCAGAATCACCTGTAGGGCCGTCAAAACGTGGGTTGCTGGGCCTTCCCCACAGTGTCAGGGTGAGGTCTAGGTATGTGCATTTCTGAACAGGTCCCCAGGTGACGCTGAAGCTGTTCGTCCGTGGGCCACACTTTGAGAGCCATTGATGTGAATCATTCAGGACACTTGTGTGCCTTGGAAGTTTGGGTTTCTATGAGCTAGTTTCACAAGGACAAAGTTGGGTGCATTTTTAGGAAGCCAGAACTTAACCCTGTTTAGTCAGAAGGCATCAGAAGAGATAGCTTTGAGAAACTAAATCAGAATAAATTTCCTCTGATGGAAGCACAGCTCTGCAATTTATCTTCACGTCCACCCTCCAGCCAGTGGTGAGCTAATAAATGTTTAAGCATCTCTTCTTAGGGTCAGCGGGTACAGGGGGCTGATTTATTGCTTGCCTATCTCTGTGGTGTAAATACTTCCACCATGGTCAGTTTCAAGCTGCCAGTGTGGTCAACGAACACGGAGCTGGGAAGAGATGTGCACGGTGAGCTCCCCTCAGCCCCCAGGAGCCAGCTCCGGCGCACCACTCCCTCTGGCTGCCGTAGGGGTTTGTGACCTTTCAGGGCGTTCTCCACCATTCAGTAGTTACAGTCAGTTTCCACATTAAGGACCATTTACCCCTAAGCTGTGGTTGCAGTCACAGGACCCTTCTCTGAATACATAAACCAAAATGATTGCCTCTCCCAGCCGGTGGCCCGCAGTACGTGTGAAGCACTGGGGTTTAGCCTCTAACTTCCGGGCTTGGCCCACGGTCCAGGTGGCCAAGGTTATCTTCTGAGGAAGGTTATCTTTCCTCACACCTCCTCTGTGGTTTCAGTTCTCCAGGCCTGTCAGCAGGAGCTGACGCACTTCATACACCAAGGTCAGGGGCCTCCGGGTGCAACAGAAGGCTTAATGTCCAGGCAAACCCAAGTGAGTTAAACCATCCCATGCTGAAGAAATTATTTTTTGAGGTGACCCATTTTCTCAGACAAGTGAATAGAAAACATTGGAGAAATGTTTCTTTTTCAGAAAATAAAACCACAGAGAGACAGAGTGATTCCTCTTGAGGCAGAGCGGGCCGAGGTCCCCTTCGGTCACAGGAGTTCCTTTGAACATGGGCGATGCCCTGGGTAACACGGGTAACCTGGTGCACATGAACAAAGCCCACGTTCAGCCCCGTCTGTCCCCTCCCAATCTGCTCACACCTGCTGCCTGCCTCTTTGCTGTAACCCAATTCTGCTTCTTCTTTCCTAACTTTCCTTCGTCTTTCCAGATGCAGGACGCTATGGGCTATGAGTTACCCTGGGTGTATTTTGTCAGTCTGGTCATCTTTGGATCCTTTTTCGTTCTAAATCTGGTTCTCGGTGTGTTGAGCGGGTAAGCTGACCGTTTCTATGTCCTCTCCACAACGCAGCCGAGCAAGGTCTCAGGTTCCACTCCGTACATGCCCGGGGTCCTCAGGGATGGGACCCTGACAGGCCCAGGAAAACCACAACAAAGCCTCTGTTCAACCACAGATTCTGACCCATTGGCCAGGCAGGCTGTTTGGCCTCTGATTTGCACCTAGAGGGTCCCCGGATCCTGGCGCTGCGTGGGTCAGTGTCTCGGGAGCCGGGGACCGGCACTGGCCGTGCTCGGTTGCTGAGTGTGCCTCACTAACTATCATTCCGTTCTTCCAGGTCAATGATGCCGTAGGAAGGGACTGGCCCTGGATCTATTTTGTTACACTAATCATCATAGGGTCATTTTTTGTACTTAACTTGGTTCTCGGTGTGCTTAGCGGGTAAGCAGGACCAAGGAAAAAGGTCTTGATTTTTCCATTTATTTTTATTTATTCTTTCTGCTATTCCTGGCTGTATTCTTTTTCTGGCTCTGATGAACCTGGGATAAGGGGTCACCACAGGAGCCTTGAAGTGGATGTCCTTGTCCTGGCTGGGTAAAGGGTCAGATGTGCCACTGGTCTTGGTGGTGGACAATGGAGGAGAGCTGGCTTCACCACAAAAAGTGGGTCCAGCTGGCCCCTCCCAGCCTCAAGTAGCTGTCCAGGCAGGCAGGGCACTTCTCCTTGTGCCTTCGTGGCCTCTGGTGAACAGGCCTGGGTAAGAAAAGACTGGTTTAAAACATAAACAAAGACAGACTCAAAATCTAATTCTCATTTTACTTCATAGACTGAGCAGTCTATCTCTGAGTTTCCTTTTCTGAATGGAAAGGACCCTTAACTGTTTAAAGCCATATATTATTTAAGAATAGAGGAGATGGGATGCAATTTCCTCTAACTTTATATCTAGTTGGCTGCAAGTATCACATCTACCTAATTTCAGCCCTTGCTCAGATGAAGTTAGAAGTGGTAGAAGTAACCGGGCATGGTGGTGCACACCTGTAGACCCAGCAACTCAGAAGGCTGAGACAGGAGGATCACTTGAGCCCAGGAGTTCAAGGCTGCAGTGAGCTATGATCGTGCCACTGCACTGCAGCCTGGGCAACATAGCGAGACCCCATGGTAGAAGTAGCACGTGGTTGGAAGGAAGCACCTGAGGATGGCCACCTTTTCACCATGGAAACGCATAGGATATTTCCTCAACCCACTTTCTTCTTCAGAAGTCCACACCAGCCATGCCAAGGCCTAACACCTAAATGCTCCTGGTGACCTGCTCATGGGTAACCCACTCTGCTGCCTTTGCCACTTGGGGGAGGGGGGTAATCTACTTCTACTCTGCTTGAGACTGGTCAGCTGCTTTGCAGAGTCTTCCCTAAATGTCTAGAGAGGTTAATGCTGGGAGAAATTTAAGCATAAAGACAAAGATTGCTCTCCACTTTCCCCCAGTACCTAAACTGGGAATCGCTACTCCCAGCTCCTACAGCTGCCCTAATGCAGTTCAGAGCAGTGGGCTTGGCCTTCAGAGCTGCGTAGAGGAAAGAATCTCCTCCCAGCTCTTCCACCTCCCATGGAGAATGGCCCAGTAGAGACCTTGATGACAAAATGCCTTTTGCTAAGGTGAGGCCACACAGGAGACTAGTGCCTTCCATCAGGGATAACAGTGATGAGCAGAACAACGTAAGTCCCTGATTCATTGCCTGGAAGGTAGAGAGGTTTTCAGTTTTATGTTCAAACACAAGAAAATGCCCATGTGTTTATATGTGAATCTCTAAGGAAAAGATTGAAAAAATCAACCTCATCACCCTGAATCAAAGCAGAAATTGAGGCATCCCAGCTCTGCCCTTGCTGGGTACATAATGTTGGGTGGTTTCACCTTTTTAAATCTTAGTTTCCCCATCTGAAAAAGTGAAGCTGATAATTCCAGTGCATAGGTGGCTGTGATGATAGAATAAGATCATTTTCAGAATACTTAACACAGTGGTATATAATAAGTGCCCAATAATGGTGCTATCATTACAATGATTATTATTTACTTGGTGCCTGTTATAACTAGAAGTATAGAATCATCAAATATTAGACATGCTCCAGCCTTTCCTCTTAAAGATGAGGAGCGTGAGCCCAGAGATGTTAAGTGATTTGTACAACGTCACTTCCCTGGTAAGTAGCAGAACCAGAGCCAGCCCTCAAGGCACCGCCTCCCATGAGATCTATGATGAATGAGCTTGAACTGCAACACAAGCCACAGCTCAAGACTTTTAAAAGAATGTAACTCCACTTTCTTCCCCTGGAGACTGGGAACCAAATCTGAGCAAGTAACCCCCCACCAAGAGCCTGAAGTGGAGAATGAGGGCTGGGCCCTGAGGGTCCTCCCTGAGCAGAGCGTCTGCCCAGGAATCAAAGCAGTGAAGTCAAGTGACAGAAACTGCTGATGTTGGGGAAGAAGCCACTTTGAAGGCCATATCTTGGCTGACTCAGCCTAAAAGCGCTAGGGTGTATTTAGACCCCTCACCCCAAACCTGGAGCTTAGTAATATTCAAAAATGTTGGTTGACTCAGAACAAGAACATTAAGGCTATCTGACCTCTGAACTTAGGAGTCTTTGAGTCGATACGCTGGTCTTTCCTGGAGACCTTCGCCAGCCTCTGTTTCCTGACCTGTTCTGAGAGCTGCCGTCTGCTCCTTGCAGCTCCTGAATCACTGATAGAACATCTGCCAAGGCTTCCTTGGCCAAAGGTCTGCCCTAAAGAGCAAAGATGTGTGTATGGGCGAGCACCTCCCCTTTCTGGTTTAAGGAGGCCTCTCCTCATGTGTCAAGGGCTGGCCACTCTGAATTGGTTGCCCCCGCCCCATGCAGTGCCAAAGCTGGAATCAGCTTCTGTTGGCTGACCACTCAGAGGCAACGGTTTCCAGTCAGTGTCTTGATTAGCCAGGACCGTAGAATAGTCACACACTTACTGGGTGCAGATGTAGTTGACCATGCAGTCAAACACCCACTTATTCATCAGACTTCTGATTAAGCTACACTTCCAGAAGCATTCAAAAAGGTCTCACTGCTCCATGAAATTGACTGTCACATTAACAGTCACTAGCATTCTCTGTGTCAGGCTCCGTGCTCGGCGTGTTCGCTAGATTCGCTCAGTTAATGCTCATGGCAACTCAGTGAGCTGGTGCTATTCCTGTGTCCATTCTACAGAGAAGGCAAGTGAAGCTCACCAGGCAAAATGACCTCAATCCCAGCAGGTGAGAAATGCAGGATGCAGAGCTGAGCCCAAGCGATGTGAATCCATCACTTCTATCCCTGACCTCTGTGGTGTACTCTCCCCAAACCCATAGGACGGGTTCATCCCATGCTTTTAAATGACAGGCGAGAAATGGAGAGGGGAAGAGCAGAAGCTGCAGTAGGAAGGGTGAGAGGAGCGAGCAGGCAGGCACAGAAGCAATCAGCACAGACTGCGGGAAACAGCCAGCAGGCACACAGAATCCCAGCAGGAAGCTGCGAAGGCAACCGCCCAGAGGCCTGCAGCAGGGCTGGGCTGCTTAGCAGAGGGACCGGCAGCCCTGCAGATCTTCATGGCCCTTGAAAGAGAGCAAAGCCACTAACTGAATAGCACTGCAGTCTTGGAGCCTTCTGGGACTGGGAGAAGTGGGTGTGAAACCCTGCATTCCAACAATTAAGGATAATATGATTTTATAGCCCTGCACAGTAACTCATCCTCATAAATTATGTCCTTCAGTCACTAAGGAAAGATTGAACGGTGCTTGGTGTGTTGTGCTTGTGAAGGTAGAGAAGATGACTCCATAAAGCTTCCATTTAAAGTGTGGAAATTCAGGGCTGCGCATGGTGGCTCATGCCTATAATCCCAGTGTTGGGAGACTGAAGCAAGAGAATCATGCGAAGCTAGGAGTTTGAGATCAGCCTGGGCGACATAGTGAGACCCTTTCTCTACAAAGAAAATATTTTTTAATTAGCTGGGCTTGGTGGCAGCACCTATAGTCCCAGGTATTCGGGAAGCCGAGGTGGGAGGATCACTTGAGTCCAGGAGTTTGAGGCTGCAGTGAGCCATAGTCATGCCACTGCACTCCAGCCTGGGTGACAGAGCGAGACTCTGTCTCTAAAAGTAAAAAAGAAAAAATTTTTAATGGAAATTCAAAGACTTTTGGCCCTGAGAGGGTTAGACCTCTTCTATCTGGATCATGCACACATCCAGAACACCTATTTCTGATGAGGCCAGATAAAGTCAATATAAAGAATAGATATTAAAGGATTTTTTCAAAATACTTTATTATCTGATGGTCCTCACATTAACCCTATGCAAGACATAGGACTGGTGCTCTTATGGATAATAATCAGATTATGATTACTTCCCCTCAGAAAGCTCAATCTCCAGTCGACTAGAATAAAGACAACGGTGATGATGACATTCTTGAAATTGCACTTGAAGCTGTAATGAGGTGGAAGCCTCTGGACTCTGGTTGCTTTTTGTTTTAAGCGACTGCAAACAGAGGGCTTGGGAAGTGCGCCTCCAGTTGGCAAGAGGCCCACGATTTCTTACATAGGTAGTCATCCCATCCCTTTTCCCACTGGGAGATGGGCATGTCTTGTCCCCAAAAAGCAGAGGACCCGGGAGGTAGGCATTTTACAGCCAGGAAGTATCGCTGGACCATGGCCCACAGTTAAGACACAGTATCTGGGACCAGAAGAAAGCAATAAAAGGTCAGGACACACGTGCCTTGTGGGTGGGAGCAGAAGAGATGGCCCAACATACACAGTCATGTTATGGAATGTAACCCTTACATGTTATGGAATGTAACCCTTATTCATGACGGTTACATTCCATAAAGTCACCACAAACATGAAGTAGTGGACACTGAGACGTTGGTCCTGAGGAACTACAGAGTTGTTTCCTGTGAGCCTCTGCCCACATTTTGTCAACCAATCAATACATAACCTTGTTTTAAGTGTGTTTCTATTTAAAGACACCTTATTTAATATATATGATTGATTCATGAACATTAAACTCCTGGCCACTAGCACCGTAACTCGCACCTGCGTGAAGCTTATTTAATGCACGTGTTTTCTCTGTGCAGCACATCATAGCCCTCCTACGCATAGTGACACAGGACGGCACTTCAGCATTATGCTTGGGGCCATTTTAAACAGCAAAATCACCAACAAAAAGCACAAAAATGAGAAAACATGGCACTAAGTGGACGGTGAAAAGGACACCTCACAGTATGAGAGCTGAATTGGGAAGGCAGAACTCTACATGCCCCTTGTTTGGCCTCAGCGGGAACATGTAGAGTTTTTGTCATCTGCACATGTCCACAGATGACTGAAAGTGCCACGAGTATTGATTCTGGAGTTACAAACACATTTTAGTGAGTAGGCGCATTTGTAGATGTGGGATCCACAAATAAGGAGCCTGGGTGGTATCGATGATCAAAGGGCCTAGCACACCTCAGGCTATTGGTTGGATTCCACACACACCGCCCTGTGCATGCTTCACATCGCTGAGCCCTGGCCCCTGGCTCTCCACACCACCCCTCATTTTTCATGTTGGCCATTGCTGGCGAGAGATGCAGTCCTGTCTCGTGACAAATCCCACAGCTGTGACTGATTGTCTTGCCGGCTTCAGTCCCTGGGCCCAGTGCAGACTGTCAGGCTGGGGCTCCATGTCTTCATTAGCTCAGTCCCCAGAGCAGGAACATGGCTGGCATCCAGGCAAGGAGATAAAGAGAGCCAGGCACTGCCACCAGCAGATCCTTTACCGTGGGAAACCTTGGCTCATCTTCCATCCAGCCTCAAGCCTGTCTGTGCCTCATACTCCATGGGATCCAGCCATGCTCCAGATCTGACTAAAGCCCTTCTCCATCCCTCTCACACTCCCAAAACACATCCTTCCTCTATGAGGAAAATTATCTTCAAGCCAGGCAGAATCACCAGCATACCTCGTGTTCTGTTTCTCCCCCTGTAATGTTTATTTTAGATCCCCAGAGGCCTTGGGGTATAGATGGTGAGCTTCATTCCATGGGACTGTTGCTGTAAAACAGGATTGGGCCAATTGTCCCTATTCCAGTTGAGTCCCAGTCCTATTCTCCCAATTCCAAAAGAAGGATGGGAAGGTGTTTTGTAACCAGAACTTGAACCCTCTGCAAAGTCACTCAAAAGAGCTGAAGTGAGCCCTTACAAGGGACTGTGAAGTTCAGCCCCTTGCAACTCCAAACCCACCCCAGAGGGGTGCAAATGGAGGTAGACAGAAAGACAGTCAAGAGAGGAGGCCTTGAAACATAGTTTTTGGAGTTGATTTGCATAGGGAGAAAAATGCTATATGAGGTTACTGTCTCCAGGAGCAAGACTAAGGCCCCGAAGGCTTAACCAGGTACAGGGGATAAGAGGTTAGGAGGAGAGGGGATGGCATCTCTCTATGATCATCCCCAGAAGGGAAGGAGCAAAGTTTCCCTCGCCATTGTGAGCTGTCAATCTGTCCCTTTTCCCTAGCATAAAAGTCCTTGGGAAAAAAATGAAGGTACCCACTGGTTGGCAGGAAGCCCAAGAAACAGCAAGTACAATCCAATTAGAATTGGATTCAATCAAATTTAAGAAGAAAATTCAATCCAAACCAGAGCATCATTAAGGCAGCAGTTGAAGAGAACTGGTTAGCTTGACAGCCCCCACATTCTCCCAATTAAAAAGTTCCCTAGGCCCCACCCCAGCCCCAACTCCATCTCACCATAAAGACGGTGCATGCTGAAATTAGTGCTCTCCCAAGTGGCACAGGCCAAATGCAAGCACTAGGCAGTGCAGGTAGTGATGGAGCTGCCCCACATGACAGTAGACTCAGAAGCAGAGCCCTTTGCCCTCTTATGGTTTGTGGTGCTGTCCCTCCTTCCATGGTGCCTTTCCTAGAGTGTGGCTTCAGCAAAAAATTCTCCAAGGTGCTTCCAGCAGCCTCGTGCCCTGAACTGGGCCTTCATGGGTGAGAGAGGAAGACATCATGGCTCCAAGAATTAACCAAGATGTCCTATGCATGTACACACACACACACACACACAAATACACACATACATGCACCACCAAGGGCCTCATTCCCCAAAGACTGCATATCAAAACCAAAAATACTCCCCTATGCCTATTTTGCAAGAAAAGGCACAGACTTGCTTTGAGGGTTGAGAATTCACTTTGTTGATGATTGCCTTCTCCTGCCAGCCTCCTCCTTGCTCAGAAAGTGAATTCGAAGTCAGAGAGAAAATTAGGACAGAATCATAGAAAAGAAATAGTTATTGTGTCAGAAATTTTTCAATAGGCCATTCTTCCAGCAAATCCCACCCCAGTTTCAATTTCTACTCATTATTACTTTAAATCAAATGCATCATTTAACTTTTATATCATCTTGATTTTATGTATTTTTCTATTCTGATTGGATTTCTTTAAACCAAAAGGGCAGCCCCCAGGACATTTTCTTGTGTTTGGAATCTTCATTTGTCTTCATGTGGGAGAGAACCTTCTCTAGATTAGAAATCCTTCCAGGAATGCTGAGTGGCAGGTTGAGCTCGTCATAAGAATAGAGATTGAGGACATTAAATCTCCTGGGTCCCAAATCAGTGGTATACTGGTAAATATTTAACAATTGGCTCTCTATGGGGAAAGCCCTGGTTTTCAGCATTTGCCAGTTACCATGGTGTAAATATTCCCACTGTGGCCGATCTCAAGCTACCAGCGAGACATCCCTGAAGCCAGAGTTGGGAAGAGACATGAATGATTGGCTCTCAGGACCTGGGGCGAGTGAGTGGGCTTTGGTACACTGCCGGTCCTAAAACCTTGTGTCACCTGGAGACCCTTGGGAGAATTTTAAACTACCACTCAATACTGGGTGGGATGGAAATGCATGTTCTGGAATGGTGGTGGAGGTTTTTAGTTACTGCTTGGAACGAGTTCCCAGGTCTTCGGAGAACAGTTATTAAAAAGCAAAGCCTGTGATCATGATCCAGGAAAAGAGGGAGATGGACTTCATCCATCCCCTTAAGCCTCTCCTGGCCAGTGTCAGGAATGTCCCCTTACTGACGCTTCCCATCGAGGTGATAGTAGACCTAACCTAGGCTGACTAGCGGAGCTGTCTGTGGAAAGTAGGGGCGTGTGGGCAGGTTTCTCCCTGCAAAGCAATTAAGACTCTTGTTTCTCCTTATCTCCATCTCTCCTTCCATCCTCGACCCTTCTCGGTGCTCCCTCCTTCTCTGTGCTCTCCTGCCCTGCCCCTCCTCTCACTCTCACCAGAGAGTTTTCCAAAGAGAGGGAGAAGGCCAAGGCCCGGGGAGATTTCCAGAAGCTGCGGGAGAAGCAGCAGCTAGAAGAGGATCTCAAAGGCTACCTGGATTGGATCACTCAGGCCGAAGACATCGATCCTGAGAATGAGGACGAAGGCATGGATGAGGAGAAGCCCCGAAACAGTGAGCAGCCGTCTTCTTCTGTGTTTGGGCTGGGTTCTGGGGGAGAGGAGACAGCATCGGGGTCAGCACAGAACTTTGACCGCCACCCTTTCTTAGAAGCCCACGGGGTGCCTTCCTGGAGCAGCAGTTATCTCACTGATGGCAGTCACTTGCTGCACACAGACATCGGTCACATGTGGGAAATCATAGCTGTCGATCTAGAAAACCTCATGCTCCTTTTAGAATATTTCACCTTGAAAGACTGTTGAGATTTTGCTAAGGCAGAGGCTTTTTTAAAATCAGAGATCCTTCTCCTCCAGGTTCCACCTCTTTGGGCAGGGGCACAGGCTTCCCGTTTGAAAGCGCAGGCTTGTTTAAAAGGAACAATGTGTGCCAAGCAGCTGCCTGGAAAACTTTATACCTGCTCAGGATTCCTTCCCCCTTTGCAGATTTCCATGCACCACTGAGCTTTCTCATAGGAAAGGTAGTGAAAGGTTTTCCTTAAGGGGGTTAGATTCAAAGACCTGGGGAAGTGCTAAGTGGGAGTGTTGGGGGAAGCCCAGAGGAATTCGGCAGAATGCAATTAGGTGATGGAAGTTGAGCCAATTCCCTTCCTTGGGGGTTCACGTGGCCCCTTGTTGGATAGGCTGTGGCTGAGATAGAAATGAAAGTGATGGATGACATTGACTCACAAATACGTAAAAAATGACGGATCATGAAAATTCAGGCTCTTACCAGACTAGCTCCATGGTTCTCAAAGCATGGCCGCTGACCAGCAGCGTCAGCATTACCTGGAAACTTGTTAGAAATGCAAAGTCTTGGGCCCCACTCCAGATCTATTGACCCAGAAACTGTGGGAATGGGGCCCAGGAATCTCTGTTTTGACAACTCCCCCAGGTGATCAAGATGCATAGTAAATTTGAGAAGCTTTGGGTTAACTCTAACCACTCTCTATATCTCATTTGGCCTTGATCTCTGTGACTCGAATCATACTCTTTCTTTCTTTTTCTGTGTGTGATATCTTTCTCTTTCACTATACATGTTTGAATAGGTGCATTTTTGTCCTCTCAAGCAGCCTTACTTAAAAACAGTTTCCTAAACACTGAGCATCTAGAGTACTCCACGAAGCAAACAGGTTAAAGAGCCATCCAGGGCATTTGCTGCGTGGAGTCATGCTGGTAAAGACAGGGAACTGGAACTTCACCCTGAGCAGAGAGGATGATGAGAAGAGCTGCCAGGAGCAGAAACAGGTGCAGGAAGAAAGGACGAAGATAGCCAAAGATGTTCACGGGAGCAGAATCTCTGCTCCCTCATTTCAAAGATAGCTTTAATAAATCTATCAACTGCTCCCTTTCTGATAACGCTGCTCAAGGAGCAAATACAAAATTAAAGCACACAAACAACAAGGGACTGTTAACAACATAATGTAGTAACCTAAGGAGGCCTTTGTGCTCCATTAAGTGGTTTTGCAAGTTGGAATACAGGGCCTTTGATGGATTATAACAATGAGGGTCTTCCTGGAAAAATGCCTGACACCTTCTATTACACTGTTGATGGAACTGAGGAGTAGTTGATTAGTTTGTGGCACTGAGTGGTATGGTAAATAAATAAGTTGGCCTGTGAGCCACGGAGAAGCCTACCTCTAAAATGCAGGAATTTGTATGCTGGCTCCTGGCTCCACCCTAAGTCAGAGCACTGGTGCTACCTTGTGACTGACGGTGATGAGCATTTCTGTAGCGCGTGTTATTGAAAACCTGCAGTAGCCACTACACGCTTAGCAGCCAGTGGTTATCCACCGAGATAACAGAACGTTGCTATTCTGTTCTCCGCCTAAAACAGGAGCTTCCAAGGGAGAGTGTGCTGCTTCTCCATCTAACCCATTAAATGAATAAATTGTTAGGAGAGTTCCCAGCATGGAGTATTATTTGCTGCTGGAGCAGATCACACTGACAAGGCCCATCTACCCAAATTTCTTGACAAACTTTGAGAAGAGCATAATGAGCTGCCTAACCCAATAGACAGTCTCGCTAAGATTTTCCTAAGCCTAGATAAGGATGGCCTTAGACTCTGGAGACTGGTTTCTCTCACCTTGCACTGCTTCCTTACGGCTGGAGGAGCCCTGGGGGTCTGTTTCTTGTCCTAAGAGGACTGGAGTGGGAGCCTGGCTCCTTCATTAGTGGAAATGCTAATTAGTGGGACAGTTCCAGGGGATGAGGCAGGGGAATGAATATTTTAAAAAGCAAGATGTAGAGAGTAAGATAGACACATGCAATGAAGTGGAACGTGAGAGACAGGAGTGGAGCTGGGAAGAGACTGTGTCTGTTGGGGAAGTCCAATTAAAAGTAGAATTGATGTGATGAAATGATTAAGGAATCAGAGGCCTAATTCACTTGCAAAAAAGGTAAGACAGTGGCTCAGAAACTATCTTCCTGTCTTGAGAATTTCATAGATTGCTCTTTGAAACAAATACAAGGGGAGAAATCCTGCTACGTTTGAAGCATGTGTGTTTCAATTACCGTAATATCTTAGCCTTTGAAATTTCTAAAAGACTATAGTATGGTATGTTTGCCAATTCTCTTCAGCTCAAAAGCCAAGTCATCTTTTAAGAGAAAAGGCCGATCACTCTTCATCAGCAGCTGTGGTGACTCCGCTTCTCCCCTGGGCAGCATCTGGATGCCCGTGGTGTGAGGCTGGGGAGGTGGGGCTGAGTGCAGTGCAGGAGCTGCTTGGTGACACCCAGCATATCTTAGGGGAGCCCAGGGATTCTGTTTCCTTAGGGAAAGCTGCAAAAGCCACCAAGGAGTAGAAAAAATGGGCTGGAAGGACAACAGAAAGAAAGCGTGCAGTTGGGGACATTTCTCTAAATATTAGTGTAAGTGAAGTGGCCCGTAAGTTATATACAAAAATATGTTCCAGTTCATTCATTCATTAGTCCACCCATCCACACATGAAAGGTCTGCTCTCTGCCAGGCACTGCCATAGACACTGGTGATAGAGCAGTGAACAAGGGAGTCAAAAGTCCCTGCCCTCGTGGAACTTAGATTCTAGTAGAGAGACAGGTGGTAAATTAAATAGCATGCCAGAGAGGGGGGAAGCAGTGAAGGGGGAAGAGTGTTGAGAGGTTGTGATTTTAAGGGGTCAGCCAAGGAATGTCTCACGATCGAGGCAGCATTGGAATAAAGACGTGGAGGCTGGAAGGAAAAGCACCATGCAGATAGTTGGGAAAGGAGCCTTCTAGAGGCTAGCGAGAAGGGGCCAATGAGAAGGGGCCACGCTGATGAATCCGGAGCTGAGGAGGCTTGTGCAGCTGGAGAGGAGGGAGTAAGGGGGTGAATGGTGTAAGGTGAGGCTGTGGGACCCAAGGAGTAGGGTATATAAACTATTGTGAGAACTTGGCTCTTACTGGGAGTGAACCAAAGAGCCTCTGGGTATTTAATTGCTATTGAGCAGAGAAGCAACACGATCTGACAGACACTTATCAGGATCCGTCTGCCTGCCATGTGCAGAATGGAATGAAGGTGGGCCAGGGAGAGGCAGGGGTCCCGTCAGGTGCCTGCTGCCTCAGGAGATGCTGGGCCTGGTCTTGACACCCATGGAAGTGATAAGGTCAGACTTCAGGATGATGTCATTTGCAGACGCGTCAGATATGGGATGTGAGAGAGAGAGGTAGGGCATTTTCCAAGGCAATTGTCCTAAACGATGGCAAGAGGGGAATTGTCATTTATGGATATGGGGAAGTCTGTGAGAGGAACGGGTGTCAGGGCAGGAGGATCAGGAAAGCCATCTGAGACCTTTAAGTTTGAAGTGCCTATTAAACATCCAGGTGGAGATGTTGAGTATGTAATAAGGAATGAACCTCTCCAGGAGAGAGATCTGTGGCTGAACTGTAATTTGGGAAGTCAACAACATATAGAAGATACTTAACCCCTGGATCTCTGGATAAGATCACTGGGGTGTGAGTGTAGACAGAAGTGAGATGCTGTCCAAGAACTGAGTCCTAGCCCTACTGATGTTTGGAGATTGGGATACAGGGAAAGAACCAGCAAACAGGACTCCTAAAGGCATGGCCAGAGAGACAGGAGGGAATGCAAAGGAAGGGGTGTGAGCGTTGCTGCTGTGACTGGAAACTGACCATTGGGCTTAGCAATGTGGGGCTCACTTGCTGGTGCCTTAACACAGGCTGTTGGATGAAATGCTGGGGAGAAAGCTTCCTGGCAAATCAGCCTTACCCTGTGCATCTCTCGAGTCTGCATGCCTCCTGCAATGGCATGGAGCGTTGCTCTGCAGGCTTCTTGCTTCTTTGGCATGGCCCAGCTTCCAGCCATCTGAAGAGTCTGGCCATCAGGAAACCAGAAAGAGGAGAGGAGGAGACTCACACAGACTCTAGCATGCCCATGGCCTCAAGACAGTCAGTGTCTAAAGCTTAGCCCATCACGATGTTCCCTTCTACAGCAATGCCAATACTAGCCACTGCCTCTGCAATGGGTTACAGTCTTGGAAAAAAGAGGACGTGATACTCAAGAGCCATTTCAGAGCCAAAAAGGCAAAAAAGGGGCAAGAAAGGGGCATGTTTATGTACTGTTGCCCTGGATGTGGCTTCCTAAGTGGGGCAGCCAAGAGCCAAGCCCCTTTTCTCTCTGGGTAAAGACTAGGATAATGTTGAGGTCTCCCCACTCTAGTGACTGCTTCTCCCCTCCCTCTGAGCAGCAGTGAGAAGCCCCTGTGAAGGGACCCATTGCAGAACTGTCATTAGTGCAGGGTTATTGTCATCAGCAGAGATGCACTGCTCAAAGGGACAGGGCTCATCTTCCAGCTCCGACGTTAAATCTAATAGAAGGTCAGACACTACAGGGAGAAGCCATAAAGAAAAAGAGACAGATTCTCTTCTTTTTCCTCTTCAAGATGAAAAAACACATCTATTAAATATCCATCCTTACAGGAATCTCTCTTTCATGTCATTAAGACAACTTAAATGCACCCTGGCTCTCTAAAGCTTGCAGTTCAATACAGACATTGATGTGGATGAGCACGTAAACAGACAGACAGACAGTGGAACCAAAATATTGAATTTCCATGCAGATAAGCAGGATTAAATATTTACCCCATGGTATCGAGTTATGTGACTCGGGAGCCACTTTTGCAGTCATCACCAGCTAGCAGAGCCACGTGCCTGCTGCCTGCCCAACAGAGTCTAGGATCACATATTACTGAGACAGGAAATTGGAAGGCTTGTAAGAGCTGCAGGTTGCCCACGATAGGGCCCCATGTGGCTTGAGAGCAGTAACCTGAATATCGCTGATTTACATTATTTTATATGTGTCAAGGGCATGTACATAGTTATTTGATCTTTAAAAAAAAATCAGGGCCGGGCGTGGTGGCTCACGCCTGTAATCCCAACACTTTGGGAGGCCGAGGCGGGTGGATCATGAGGTCAGGAGATTGAGACCATCCTGGCTAACACAGTGAAACCCCGTCTCTACTAAAAATACAAAAAATTAGCCAGGAGCGGTGGCGGGCTCCTGTAGTCCCAGCTACTTGAGAGGCTGAGGCAGGAGAATGGCGTGAACCCAGGAGGCGGAGCTTGCAGTGAGCCGAGATCGCGCCACTGCACTCCAGCCTGGGCGACAGAGCCAGACGCTGTCTCAAAAAAAAAAAAAAAAATCAGTACGATCAGTATTTATCTAGATCTCTCGATACCTACAACACAATCCCATGTCATGGCACATACGAGTCACACAAACACATGTGAAGCATCTGGCTCAGATTACATGAGAAGACATGCCAATATTTGTTTTTGTCCTTGATTCTGTTCATACCTTGCACTGTTGAGTGATCATGCTGCCAGGCCATGAAGTGAGAGCAGATCCTTAAGGCAGAGCCTGGAAGTAGCTCCTGGGCCTTCACGTTAACTCTTAGCTGGTCCTAATCAGAGCCCTGGAAACTTTAGTGCTGGAAAGTTGCTGGAGAGATCAGGTGAGGAAACTGGAGCCCAAGGTGGGAAACAGCCACCTGCCTAAATGTTACTGAAGTCAGCACTCAAACCCAGGGCTCCAGATTCCCCATGCAGGACCCTGCCCAGCAGACCACAGTGCTCCTTACAGAAGGCTTCTTGGATACCCAGGCAGCAGCACTCCCTAACTGTCCCTCTGTCCCCCTAGCTCTTGGGGCACATCCCCATTTATCTTGTGGAATTACATCCACCTCTTTACACTTGCTTGCTGGGCTACACTGAGAGGTCCTTCTTGGGGCTGCCTTTAATTCACCGTTGTGTCCCCATGACCTGACACAGGCCAGAGCATGGGAATGTCATGGCACATATGAGTCACACGAACACACGCAAACGCGAGTGCATGCCATATGCCAGTTTTGGCAAAGCACCTTCTGCCATGCTCTAAGCTGTTGGAACAGGTGAGCTCACACTGCCCCTGGACTGAGTTGGCTCATTGTTCTGTCTGCTCAGAATTGACTTCCTTGTGGCATCACCGATGACATCCTTTCAAAGTCATTTCCTTTCATGAACACGGTTGCTTTCCAATAGCCCTCAGTCACTCTCAACTCTTGGAAGGCACCATTTGGAAACAGGCGAATAAGCACAGAGCCCCCCATACGTGTGGACAGTGGCGATGACAGGGAAATTGAAGTGCCGTGGGAAAGCATTGGGAGTTCTTAAGCAACGAGATTTTGCTGTTCCCTGAAGACCATGGTGGCTAGTGGGGCTGTGTACTGGGGCTCTGCAGTGAAACCACTGATGGATATTTCTGGTTCTGGTAGTCATGAATACCCATGGGCGAGGTCCTGTGGACTTGGTGTTGTGAGAGGCATCTCACCCAAAGCGGGGCGTGGGGGCCATGTTGTAGTAAGGATCCAGAAGGGGTCTGTTCATTGGTAGCACATTACCTTTGGAGCACAGCCTGGCTGCTGTGCTATCTGGCCCCGTAAGTGTACAAATGCCATTTTCCCAGCCAGGGGAGCAGTGGAAGAGCTATGGAAAGGCTGTATTGTGTATACAGTGCGAAGTAGGCACGTCAGCCTGTTTCAGTGAGCTGTCGGACACTTCCCAAAGCAAAACCACCAGCTCTGGGCAAGGCTTGCTAGGTTAAGCTGTTGGGAAGCCATGACAGTCTTCTCATTGCCCAATGGCCGTGTGCTTCAGAGGAGGGAAGCCGTGACAGTCTTCTCATTGACCAATGGCCGTGTGCTTCAGAGGAGGGAAGCCATGACAGTCTTCTCATTGACCAATGGCCGTGTGCTTCAGAGGAGGGAAGCCATGACAGTCTTCTCATTGCCCAATGGCCGTGTGCTTCAGAGGAGGGAAGCCATGACAGTCTTCTCATTGCCCAATGGCCGTGTGCTTCAGAGGAGGGAAGCCATGACAGTCTTCTCATTGCCCAATGGCCGTGTGCTTCAGAGGAGGGAAGCCATGACAGTCTTCTCATTGCCCAATGGCCGTGTGCTTCAGAGGAGGGAAGCCATGACAGTCTTCTCATTGCACAATGGCCGTGTGCTTCAGAGGAGGGAAGCCATGACAGTCTTCTCATTGCCCAATGGCCGTGTGCTTCAGAGGAGGGAAGCCATGACAGTCTTCTCATTGCCCAATGGCCGTGTGCTTCAGAGGAGGGAAGCCATGACAGTCTTCTCATTGCCCAATGGCCGTGTGCTTCAGAGGAGGGAAGCCATGACAGTCTTCTCATTGACCAATGGCCGTGTGCTTCAGAGGAGGGAAGCCATGACAGTCTTCTCATTGACCAATGGCCGTGTGCTTCATAGGAGGGAAGCCATGACAGTCTTCTCATTGACCAATGGCCGTGTGCTTCATAGGAGGGAAGCCATGACAGTCTTCTCATTGCCCAATGGCCGTGTGCTTCAGAGGAGGGAAGCCATGACAGTCTTCTCATTGACCAATGGCCGTGTGCTTCAGAGGAGTGGGAAGGTGACAGCCACATAACATTTTGACAGGAGACATTCATAGCTTCCTGGGCCTGGCATTAGATCAGCATAAAGGTGCCTGGCAGCTCTGCCAAGCCATCAGCTAATAAAGGCTCTGCTCCCCTTGGGGAGACGCCTACTTGACTTTAGGGGAGTGTCCAGGCCAAAACGATAACCTTGATAAGCCAACAAACTCCAGAATCCAGATGGCTAGGTTTATGGTGGAGAATATTGTCAATACCAGCTGAGAAAGACACCAGAAGAAGGATTCCCACACCCTTTTTAGATACCTGCCTTTGTATTGGTCTACCTTTCACTGTGTAACAGCTATGGTAGGAACAGAGGCTGTGTGGAGGGGCCTATGAGCAGCAGGGGCTGGGTCGGGTGTTGTGGAGGCCACACTGTGGTTTTGGAGGGACAAGAGTTACCAGGGAGCCACCGGGACCTCTCCTGCAGTTTAAAGTGGATGTGGATAGAGAGCAGCTGTGTTCCTGGGATCGCTGGCTAGCCAGCCACCCTGCAGGGGCAGAGCAAACAGGCTGTTAGCTCTTGAACTGCCAGGCACACTGGGGGTCCTTGGCAGGGTGTGGAGCATGAAGGCCCTCTTCCTCTCCAGGGCCTGGAGGACAGCATCCTCTGCCTGCCCGCCAGGGTCCCAGCCCAAACCAGCATCTTCCGAGCCCACTTCTCTCTCCAGAGGCTTCTTCATCTTCCCAGTTCCCCAGGATACAAAGCCGCCTTCCTCTTTCCTCTCCTGTGCCCTTCCACAGTTATCAGTGCCTGCGTTCAGTCAGTCAAGTCGTATGGGCTGTCCTCTTCGCTTCTTCGCTTGGACTTCTCACTCCTTCCCTCCTCTCCCCTCACCTCTCTCCGCCTGGACTCGCAGCCACCTTGCTGCCCTGCCTTCCAGCCCCGTTCCCACGCAACCTGTGTAATGCAGCCAAGTTCATATTTCTGCAGCCGACTGTGTCACTCCCTTGTTCAAAAGCTTTGAATGTGTCTCCATGGGTACAGAATAAAGCCTGAACATCTCTCAGTATTTCAGGCATCTCCAACCTGTCCCAGCCAATAGCTTGAACCTTATCACTCCCTACTGCCCTGCCGCAAAGCCAGACTGCATCTTGTTTTCCAGAAACGCCTGCTGCTGTCCTGTTTCTGCACCTTTACCCATCTCCCATCCCTCTGCCTACAGCACCTGTTTCCTCCCCTGCTCCTCCGTGGCCTCCTAGCCCAGGTCGAAGAGCACGTCTTGGCTCAGGCCTCCCAGAGCCCCCATCTCAGGACAGGCACTGTCAGCACTCAACCCTCACCTACCCACCAGTCGGTGGGGGTGGCCCAGCCGTCTTGTTATATAGAAAGCTCTTGGGAGGCAGCAGCGTGCATTGGTAACTTCTTATTCACTCTCCCACTCAGTATGTAGGGCAATGATTTCTATTTCACAGACTTCCCCCAAAAACACATAATGAATTGAATTGAATTCTCTTCGGATCAGAGAATTAAGGTCTGATAGCCCTATATTCATACCTAGTTGGCCAAATACCATTTTTCCAGTCTTAGCCATGCTCATGGTAGCCCCCAGAGAGTGTATTGTGGTTGACAGAATGGGCAGAAATGATTTGGCGTTGAGAAAGTGGGCCGAGAGGAAAGTTTGGAAGGAGTTAGAATTATATAGTCCCAGGAGAAGAGAAAGCCGGGAGTCGACAGAACAGGGACAAAGCTGCCTCATGCCCACATACTCCCCGTAGGAGGGGTCATTGTTTCACTGTATGGCGTCAACTTTTAGATTCTGAGTTTGGATCATGGATACATTTCAGCCCTCTGGGGCTCTCCTGGGCTGGGGGGCAGAGGAAGGACAGGGGCAGAGGCATGAGAGGGGATGTCTTTTTCTTGCATGGAAGGTGAAGAAGGCCTGGATGGTCTCCTTTCATCTTGCCCAAGATCATCTCACATGGGTATTGTTTGCCCCATTTTGCAGATGGGAAAAGTGAGGCTCGGAAAAGTTAACGTATTCACATTGTTCAGCTTGTAAGTTGCACAGTTATGTGGCCGTTGCTCCCTCCGTACCATGCTGGTCTCTACCACAAGCCCCCTCACGAATGCCCTTCTCTTCCAACCAGGGGAACCAGAAGTGGGCCCTCCAGTCCCCCAGCCGGAACAGCCTGTGAATTTTCCTTGGTTGTTGCATTTATCGCTTCAGCCTAATATGCAAAGCAGGTGGACGGAGAAAGGAGGAAAAGAGCGGAGATGGGGCGGGAGGGCGGGGGCGGTGGTGCTGGTAGTAGGGCATGGGTTTGATTTTTTTTTAAGTTGAACTTTATGATTCTGAGAACTCTGTTTGAAGCATGGAAAGAAGTTATGGCATTATCTTGCTCACGGAAAGAAAAAGCGAACTGAGGTCAAGCGCCATCCCTTTGGAATGGTTTAAGAGGCAGTTTTGTTTGGAAGGAGATGTGTCAATTCCGTGACCTATCCGATTTCCTTCAGTTCAGGGTTCCTTGGGACTGGCTTAGAGGAGGGTGTTGATCAGCCACAATGCTCTGGGGATGGGAGTTCTAGCTTACCACTTTCCTGCCTTGGCAAGTACGGTGTGAGGAATGTCATGGAACCGCCTCTGATGATTCTGGGCTGTGCAGTGCTACAGCGTCATCACTTCTGAGTCTCTGATCCCAGGAACCTCAGCACTATGGGGCCCCGGGGGGGATCACTGACACGTGGTGTCTTTGGAGAAGTCCTGTCACCTACCTAAAGCCACGGGTCGCTTTAAGAATGGATCTGCCTGTGTCCACTTGGCCTTGCCCAGAGTAGGCACTCAGTAAAGAGCTGATTTGACTTTAATTTGGTGCTTTGCAAATCGATCTATACACTTGGGCGTTAAAGTAGCTCAGCAGAGGGATGGAAGGGGAGATGAATCATCCTGAGTTTCCCTTTGATCCATTTTCTCCAATAACCAGTGCTCAGCCCCGAAACAGAGCTGCCTACACTACAGTTACCCTTGCCTCCCTCACCCACTCCACGCTTCCTTCTCTGTAAACAGTGGGGGTAAGAAGCTCATGCCGCATCAAGATATCTTAACTGTCAGAGGCTATCAGTGGAGGGGAGAGTGACAGCTCCAGCCTTTCTCACTACTTGCTGATGTGGAAAATTATCATCCAGTAATGGAGGGAGATTAGCCACGTATTGTATTTCCATCGTCGGGTGCATGGCATGGGAGGATGATTTATAGAACTGGAACCCTGAAGCTAGTGGAAAGGTCACAGAAAGTGGAATCATTGGCCTCAACACAGTGGCTAGTGTCTGAGGGAACCTCCTAGAGCCACATGCATGCCAGGCCATCCTGAGTGCTTGAGAGAGACATGGGCACATTAACACACATTTAAGTCCCAACAGGGCACCCAGAATACTAAGATAAATAGACACCGTCTCTGTCCTAAGGGGAATTACAGCCTAGTTCAGGAGACAGATGCACCAACAGACAGGTGACAGTGATGAATTGCAGTCATGAACCAGGGGCTGGAGAAACACAGAAGACAGAGAGCAGAGTTTGGAAGAGGGTGGGAGGGACTGCCTGCCCCAAGAAGGATTCATGAAGGTGCCATGTCAGTCAGGGTTGGTGGACCATTGTAATAAGCAGCCCCCAAATGAAATCTCAGTTGCTTAGTACAGTAAAGGTTACTTTTCACCCCACGGTGGAGTGTGAGCTGGGGATGGGAGGGAGGAGAGTTCCACCACACCGGTCTTCAGGCCCCAAGGCTGCACCCCTTTTGTGGCTTTGCCACCCCCGGGGCCTCACAGTCTCCCCTGTCTGCTCTGCATCGGGCCAGCAGAAGAGGGAGCAGAGGGCCTGCTGGAGGCTTCAGCAGCCAGGCCTGGGAGTGTGGGCATTGCTCGCGACACACCATCGGCCGGAACACAGCTCCCACTTCCGCCTGACTTCCAGGGGACTGGCGAAGAGCAGCTAACTAAGTGCTCGGGGGCAGAAGGACTGGGGCTGGGTGGGCACAGGACAGTGTTCCTGCTGCAGTTTGGCAGCAGGTCACACGGCCAAAAGATCGCAACCGGACCTTCTAAGCTGAGGGGGCTACATTTGCAAAGTTGTAGAAGCAAAATAATTTTTAAAAGAAGGAAAGGAAATGGAATTGCACATGTTTCATGGTGATTTGAGTTC
The DNA here is from genome assembly GCF_000001405.40 of Homo sapiens. Lineage (NCBI taxonomy): Eukaryota > Metazoa > Chordata > Mammalia > Primates > Hominidae > Homo > Homo sapiens. Next base: position 873,171 of record NW_018654718.1, read on the forward strand.
AGGGTGCACAGGGGAGAAGCCAAAAAGAAAGATCAGGACAGAAAGACTGGGACCTGGTCCCAAAGGGCCTCGGAGTGGGACTCTATCCTGTGGTTAAGGAGGAGCCACCGAAGAGATTTAAGCAGAGGGATGACAAGGTACCAGTTTACCATCGAAAGGTCACTGTGCAGCCGAGTGTGGACAATGGGCTGGAAGGAGAGAGAAGCTGGAGGCGGAGTGGGGGTCAGTCAGAGGCTGATAAGGCCTGAGTGGGAGTGGACAGGCGGGGAAGGATTGGAAAGAGCCTGCATCCACTGGGATAGGGTCCTAAGGGCTGGCAGGCCCTGAACACCTATCCTGGAGGCTCCAGGATAAACACCTTGTGCTTTTCAGCCTCAGGAATGATGGAGGAGGTTGTGCAGTGCCATGCCCCTCTGAGGGGCTCTTCCTGGGAGTTGGTTTGTCCTGCCTGCTCCTTGGTGGGATCCCTGCCATGACCCTCTGCCCCTTGGCATTCCAAGGCCTGTTTAATACCCATGACCATAAACACACCCACAAGCAGTCCCCTTACCCTAAAAGGTGCCACATGGAGAATTCCAAGCAACTCAGCCTATTAAATCCTTGCCTGCATGATTAAATGCCTCCTGGGGAAAAAGTCGAGTAACAACCCCAAACATAGGCTTTGATGGCTCCATCCTTCAGGATTACTTCACCAAATGGAAATACTCATGCCTCTGGTGACAGCTGCAGTGTTTCCAGAAGAGATTTCTACCCTCATATAATAGGAGAGACTTTGTCCTCTTAAATAACTATGATACCTGCTGTAAGTACTGAACTGTTAATCACCGTGATCACTTTGTGTCGATGCCACACTGCTAGAGGGACAGAACTGAAGCCTTGCCAGAAACAACAGAGAATCTGCTCAAAGAGTTGCCTAATGAAAAGGGTGGTCTGTTGGGGAGATAGATGGAATTCTTCAAAATAGAAGGCAATTGGCAGCGTTAGGCTGGGGTGAGGGTCAGGAGAAGAGGGGCAGCTGGGGAGAGAAGGGCTGGCTCATTTATGTCTTACTTTCTTTCTATATCCTGGTACCAGGTGCTGGATTCCTTATTTAGCCATGTGGTTAGCTCCATCGCCATCCAAAAATTACGGAATTCTAAAACCCTGGGGCATAAAGGGGGCTCCAGGTCCCTGAGTCTGTCCTCATTCCCTGGGCTTAATCATGCATCCCCCGAACCACACCCTACCCCATGTGGGGGCTGTTGGCCCAAAGACAAGTGTCTGTGCTGCTATTCCAGGGCCTTGTCACATCACACTGGAGTGACCACCTCCCAGCTGACAGTGCTCCCGGATTCCGTTTCTTTTAGAGATATGAGCAGGTTTCAACACTGTCTCTGGAAAAATCACAGGACATGCTCAAAGGTAGCATCATGGGAACAGGGCAAGGGCCTTCCACAACAGAACAGGAAGTTGTATTCATTTCCAAACACCTGGCTTTGAGCCGAAACTTGCACTTTACTGATAAGGCCATAAACTCTCCTCCTCCTGCACCCAGTTTGATTCACCAGCAGGGCCCACACATGTGGTGCCATCCAGAGTCATCCCTCCTCAAAGGAAATGATGGGCAAGAAACGTGTTTGCACAAGAGTCTCTAAACACAGCCCATGAATGAATGGTCTCCGGTGAAGGTAGACTGGAGTGATAGAGTAGCATGTTCACTTCTACATGGCGCTGCAGAGAGCCTAAGAAGAGAATGAATAAAGAAAAGTGTAGCCATTTACTCAGTCATAAAAATACACGTCCATTGCAATTTAGAATTAATACAGATTAGTTCCTCCGACTGAAGAAAAGTAACCCCAGCAAAGATCTGCAGGGCCGAGCCACTGGACAGAAGAGCTTTGATAAGAGAAATTTAAAGGTTTATGCTTTCTAAATAGATACATTTGAATTTTGATAAAAGAGAAATTTAAAGGTTTATCCTTTCTGAATATATATATTTGAATTTTGATAAAGTTATTCAGTGTTTTGTTTTATTCTACAAGAAAGTAAGGATATTAAGACATTTTAAAAATGTCTGGGCAGAGGAGCCCTTGCTGTTCCCTAAATCATGTTCTAAAACCTTATTTGCTAAGCCTGAGTCTGGTTTTGACTAACATGGCCCAAGTCTTACTCTAAGAACTTCAATAGTGCCTTGTGTGCAGGATCACAGTGTATAAAGATTAGAGGTCAAGCGAAGACAAACCGCAGGCCAGCACTGTTAAAGAATGATTACAACTGTGCTGGGACTTGTTTGTGTCTTTTGCTTGAAGTAATAGACTAGATCTACTCTCAACAACTTACTGATGAAGTTGAAAAGCCTTAATTATTTGCTTGACAGGCTAGCTTTAAAGGAAAAAGCCTTTGTTTACCTTCTCAATTTCAAGCTTCAAATCAGCCTGTCCAACCATTGTATCTCATGTCCATGACTCATGAGATATGATAATGGTGTCCACTGTCAGTTATTATGTTAACAAAATTATCTGAAAATAACCAAATGCACACCTACTAACACATGCACACACACCAAACACAGGAGCAAGAAGAAATTAAGGACTCCTTTCTTGTCAGGAATATTCAGAATTAGAGTCTCAATGAATTTACTAATATTCGCTAAGGTCAGCTGGGTCCAGCTTTGAGTAAAAAGCTTGGCATGATGCTTGCTATGCCTGGCAGAGGCAGAGAAAAAGATCCCTGCTGTCCCCACAGGGGAGAGCATCTGCTTGACATGAAAAAGTAATGTCAGTGGTGGGTCCCAGCCCCTTGGACCACTTCTGCATTGACTAGGAAGCTAAGGGGTCAGTTGCTAACCATCAGGCCGAGCATCCTAGGTTTTCATCAAGAAGATCCCAAGCTTCAATAAAAACTGCAGAGTTTCTTCTTGTACCTCTTAGATGGTATACAATCATGTCCATGAATTATAATTTCCATAATCCCTTAGTAAACTAATTCTATTAATCTATTAAGTCCTACCCCTTGATTAGATGAGTTGAGAATACAGCAATCTGGGATGAATGACCCTCATGTTCCTCTCCCAACAGGATGCCAGAGTTTTTAGTCTGAACAATTGTCGTGTGCTATACAGGAACTAACAGGAGCCAGAGAAAAGCAGGCAGCCAGACTTCACGGCCCCACTTGATAGCCAGTCTGCAGTTGGCCTCTCCCAGTTTCCTTGCTTGTAAAATGACGGGGGTTAGGTCAGTAAAAGCCCCTTCCAGCTTTGGAATTTGTTTCTGTAGTTCTCAGTTGACACACGTTAGCTTTAGCTCCAGGAGCCTGGGCCAAACCTGATCATTTCAGTCCATCAGACCCCAGAGGAATTCAGTTGATTCTAGCTTCTTAAGTCCTCAGACTCCTGGAATTGCACTTTTCCTCCTGCAGGATTGCCTGCACCCTGAAAGCCAGCCCGTTCTTCCAACGATCCTCTGCACACTTGTGCACACCCTGATCTCTGCACGGAAAGCCCAGCCCCACCATCTGCCTTCCGAACTGCCATGTTACCAGGCCAGGCTTGCCCTACCCATCATGCCATGTGCCAATCACGGAGACACAAGTTTTGCAGCGGAGAAAGCGTTTGTTCACAAGGCAGCCAAGCAAGGAGATGGAAGAGCAGGTCTCAGATCCACTTCCCCAAAGATGGGGTTTTAGGGATATTTATGGGATAGAGGAGCAAGGTCCAAGGCATGGGGAAAGGTGATTGGGGGTAAGGAAAAGTGAGGCCGTCGGTTATCTGCGCAAGTATAGTCAAGCTTCACAGCTCTTCCTGGGATTCAAGTTCACAAAATGGCATCGTTAGCGTGATCTGAGGATGGATGTTTGGGCCCTCTGATGCCAAAAGGTCGCCCATTGGACACTCACGCAGGCCCAGTTGGAGGATTAGTGGTCTGAGCTAGCTTGAACTGGACAAGAGCTGACCCCAAGCTCTTGAAAAATGACTTAAGCAACCATTATCATGGTGACTTATACATCAGAGATGTTATCTGTAAGGAGGCTTGTAGAAGTTTAGTTACATATTCCTTAACTACATGACTTTTAGCTGCATATGTTTTAAAATCAACTAGAAACCAGTGAGGCAAGTTAGGTTTGGTGACCTCATTAGGTTAGCCCTTGGTTTCACCACCCCACCTTCAAAGCCCCATCAACCATCCCTTCCTTTTCTGCCTTTTCTATCCTCACCACCTCTTCTCCCCAGCAGGGTCTTACCCGCTCCTTCATGCTCCCAGAAACCCCATTCCACAGCTGCATCATAGTACTTATTGTATGTGATCTGTAGTGTCTCCCTGTCTGCTGTATTCATTGCATTTTATCTGTGGCATTCATCTATCTGATACCGTCTGCTGGGTAGTACATCTTGAATGTGGGGACTTTTGTATTACCAGAATCCCATACAGATCCTGGTGCATAGGCAATCAATGAATATTGGTTGGAAAAGGGTTTGGAAATTGGGGGATAAAAGTAGGGTCTTGGCTTGGAAGTCCTTGGAATTCTGCCTCTGGGAATGGATCACTTAGGCCTGCTTTGTCACTTTGTCAGATCTAAAACGAGGTTGGGCCAGATCTGATCCAGCAGAGGATATGTAATTAACCAGGCACATAAATTAATTTTTAATCTTCCATTCCTTGCCTGTCAACATTTCTTTTTCACTTCTCAAGGAGGACATGATTATCCCATGATGTTTTTCTTCATGTACTAATTTCTCCTCCTCTTTCTTCTTCAAACCTGTCCACGGAAGTGTCAGAAATACTTCTCATTTTATCCTTTCTCAGGAAGGCCAGCTAGCCAGCTAAGAATAGCAGTCAGGAAATGGTTAAGAGAATACCAAGAATAAATTCTGAGTTGCTTCTTTACAACTAGAAAGCTGAATACATTTAAGGCTTGAAAGGTCAACTCCCTTCAAAGGGGGCAGAGGTTTGATTTCGTCCATTATGTGGTCTTCAGCACAATGCTCATTTCATTCACTGGCTGCAATGGAGATTTATGGAGTAAATGTTATCACAAGCTGAGACTTAATGAGAACTCAGCTGTATCTCCTGGATGTAGTGGAAAGCAACCATTTTGGTAATAAATAGAGAACAGCATCTAATTTGTAAATTCCTTTTTCCGTTGCTAAGTTTAATCAGATCAGTGAAACTGAAGGGAATTGTTGATGACCAAAAATTATTTTCCATGCCTTAATCTGGCCAGGAAACATTACTCCTAATGGAAATGGCCTGTTGCTCTGGCGATGGAAGGGGATGACATTTGTCATTAGACTAACCCAATTGTTGCATATTGATAAATATGTTTAGGCCAAAATCTATTTAAAACCCAATAGAAGCTGAGGCCCCATGTTGCCCTGGTACTGGTGTTACTGGTTCCTAGAAGTAAAAACTCTTTCCAGTTAAACTACAGAGATCTGTAGCAGTGGCCATCCTAAAGATTTCTTCTTGCCCTCAGTGATCATCCAGAGCAAGGCCAGAAGGACCATGATGGAGCCCAAATTGTGGTCATAAGTGACCTTTTCTGAATGGCAGAGAGTGGGTTCAGAGAACAGAACACAATCTCTGGCAGGGCCTTGGCTTACTTTAGGGTTAAAACAAATTCAAGGGGGCACAAAAGGGAGTTGAATGCAGCTCTCTTTTTTCCAGCGGTGCTTCAGTTTTTTTCGTGATGAATCATAAAGATCATTTCCAGGATAGGGACCATGCCATGGGTAAGTGACCGTTAACACGCAGTAGGAACTTTATGAATACTGCATGACGAGAATGACAGCAATGAGGAACACATCTGAGAAGCTGATGGCCCCAGAGGGAACACGGCTAACTGTGACATCTTTAGGGGGTGGCCCTGAGAATGCTGTATCCCTTCCAGTAAGAGTACCGCCTCCAGGCGACCTTTAGACGCACAGCAAGGGGTCCCGAGGACATTCTTCTCTTGGCCTGCACTTGCTTTTATATTCATGTGCTTTTGTATACATGCCCAGTGTCCAGGCATCCTACACACTCAGAGCTCTAATACTGAATATTAGGAACGACAGCTACTGCTCATCAAGCACCTCCTTTTGCCCATATTATCTTTGCCCTCACTTCACATTTTCAGATGAGAAAAGTGAGGTTCAGATCATTGGCCTGAGGCCAGTTCGCTAACAGGAGGTTTACCCAGGCTTACACCCAGGCACGCCCCATCTGACTCGAAAGCCTTCCCTCTTTCTCTTTTGTCAGAGAGGCAAGCACATGGTAACCCCCCAGAATCATGAGCCTGGTGATAGGAGAAGTGGAGTGGAAAGAAGCCCTAGAAAGGGAGTATGGAGACCTGGTTCCTAGTCCCAGCTCTGATACTAACTGGCCCTGTAACCTAAACAACCCTTTCCTCTCTGGGCCTCAATTTCCTCATAGGTAAAAGTAATACCCAAAGGATCTCTAATTGTCTGTTAATCTTTCTGCATTCCAATCCCCTTGAAGCCCCATCCAGCCCTGTCTTTCTCTTGGAGTTTCACATTCCAGAACAAGTCTGTGGCTAAGCTGAGGAGAGGATGCCCTCATTTTGCAAAGAGACGCTTCTCCCATCTTGGCCAGGCAGCAGAGGTCACAAGAGAGGAAGTGTCCACTGCATAAGGACTCTGGACAGCTTCTCTGCCAGCACGCATCCAGCAGCTGACTCTTTCCTCGGGGCCCACGCTCTCCTGCCCTTTTCCCAGAGCCACTACCCTGACAATGTCTGTCTACCTTGAGAGCACTGAACAGTAGAACCTCAGTGCCGGGAGGTGTCCTGAGGTTCTCTCCTTCTCTCCCGTCATCCCCACCTATGTGTGAAACTCCTCTACAACACCTTCACTACGGAGTCTCTCCACCCTGCTTCTTACACACTCTCCGTGTAGGAACTTACCAGTCACAAAAAACCCTTCCATCTTTGTGCAAGCCTCAGCTGCTGGAAGGTCTTCCAGCTGACACCTGCAGCTATTGAGTGACAGTGGAAAGACAGTGTCCTGGGTGCAGTGGCATCCTCCCGATGGTGTGGTGAATTATCCTGGCATGGTTAATTACTCACACTAATTGCTTTTCTGTCACTGCGCTCCCTCCTGCCTCCTATGTTTCCATGAGGGGTTGTGCTTTTGAGATCTTTTCCCACCTCTTCTCCCTTTGTCCTCCCAGTGACTCTGAGGGAAGCGCTGAGCTGCTACACCATGTTCCTTCTCAACCAAGGAGCCAGCACTGAGCAGAGAGGAGCTCTTGCCTCTTGCCTCTGGCCCAGGCAGGCATCAGGGATCTCTCTGTCTCTCTCTGTCTGCCTCTCTCCCTCCCACCCCTCGACACAGTCCTTCCTTCCTCTCTGACATCTGTGCTTGGTCACTCCCATCTGCAAGAAGGCCCGCTCCCCCACAGTATTATTGAGATAGTAACAGGCCACTGTCTCCTCTCTGCTTTCCCCAAATCAGGCACATCCCAACTTCACCATCCAGGTAGTTGTTACTCTTGTAATGTAAGCAGCAAAAGCGATAGAGCAGCTTGAAGCTGCCCAGGGCCCATGTTCTGGCTGGACAGGCCCACCGATGCCTGTGTTCACACAGCCCACACTGCCCGACACTCCCACTCCTCACCCCAAGAGCCTTCCTGTGTTCCATCCACCAGGACCAGGACTCCATCCCCAAATCAGAACCTCTGTGTCCTTTCCTTCCTTCCAGGTTTCCTGGGCCACTGAGCCTGCAGCATGAATCCTCCTAGAATTTAAGACTCAGAAGGAGACAGGTCACGGAGAGGTAGCAGTGTACCCCAGGCAGTCGGGCCCAGGTGAGCCCAAGGTCAGGCCTCACATTTCAAGTCGATTTCAGGATCATTAACATTCCCACTTCCTGTCATGCCCCCAGGCCTTTTGCTTGTTGAAGACAGTGGTCCCTGTTCTCTGGATTTCAAAAACCATTTCTCTCTTCTGAAGGAAGAACAATCAGCGTCCCCAACAAGCCCAGCTCTCCTGAGAAATTACAGAATAGTTCTAAGATTCGGGCAAAGAGGGAGGAGGGATGAAGGGTGAAGAAGGCCTTTGATTCAGACTCAGCCTTGAGAGGAAGGATCTGGAGGGAGAGGCTGTTCAGTGGAATAATGAGAGTGACAGAGGCAGGCGTTCATCCCCGTCTGTTCTTTTTGCACTTTTGGTTTGGGGTCGGTTTCTCCTTCAATGTGCTTGGCTTAGAGCTGCCCCAGCTGCTGTGGGCATGAAAACCACTGCTCACCAGTCTCCACATCTTGGCCCTTACCCAAAATAACCCAGGAGGGAGGAAGGAGCTCATGGGTGGGTGGCTGGATAAATGGCTCCAGAATAATGGATCAAACATTGAATGAGTGAAGGAGTACACACCCCGTCCCTTGGCCCCAAGATGCTCATTCATACCCCTCTCTGAGCGTGAAGGAGAAACAGCAAAAGCTGAATTTGGGGTGTGTGCCCCAGTGCCAGCCAGTCTTTCCAGGGTGCTTCCGATGCCTCCAGTGGAAGTCCCCAGCCATGTTCCCTCCCTGGGGCATTCCCATCTGCCCTCCCAGGGAAGGCTGCTTGGTGCAGCAGAGGTGTGCTCTCTGGGAGCTTCGGTGGAGAGGAAAGGACAGGGGAGTCAGGATACGAGGGCTGGTGGAGTCTGCCAGGTGGGGCTAGGGCAGCCTCGCTCTTCCTTGTCCCAGGAGCACATGTCAAAAGCGCCAGGGCTGGGGAAGCAGCAGGGAGCAGAGGCTGGAGAAGGCCTGCGTCCCTGTCCCGGTTCTGCTCTCGGCAGCCTCAGTTTTCTCATCTCCACCTGTGGCTGGAGACGCCTTCCCCAGTAGTCTCCCCAGGTTGTTGGGAGCATGAAATGAGGTGCTGTCATGTGAGCGCTTGAACAGCCACACTGCTGGACTCTCCTAATGAACGAGCAAAGAACCATATGTGTCAGCACACCAAGCTACATGGCACAAATAGTAAATGCCTCAGGGAAAAGGACCATTCTGGGATGCCACGTAGGTCAAGGAGGCTTCATGGAGATGGTCGGAGTTGGAGGGTAGGTAGGAAGGCTTTTGTGCATGTGGGGGAGTGGTGGGGATGGAATTCCAAGAGTGGGGCAGCAGGGCAAAGACCCAGACACAGGCGCACAGCTCCCAGCAAGCGCCCTGGATGCATTAAGCCCTCCATCAGTGGTGTCAAAGCAAGAGGAACCGTGTGTGGCATATTCTGGAGGCAGAGAGTAGGACTGAGTGCATGGATCAGAGGGCGAATGCTGGAAAGGGAAGGTGTAGTTAGATGGGTAGAGTGAAAGCGGATTGCCAAGGGCCCTGGGAGCCAGGACAAGGGTCCCGTGTGCTGAGTGATAGTGATGTGACATGGTGAAGTCCCTGCTGAGAAAGACTCCTCCAGAAGATGAGAGAATTACGTGTGGGCTTCAAGCCCCTCTCTCTCTGTGCCGAGAGTCCCCTTACAACCAACAACTTAACTGTTTCATCCAATCAACCCACTCCTTTCTTGTAGAGCTTAATTTTTTTTTCCAAGGCAAAGAAATCTTAGAGATCTCCTCTCAACCTTCACCTCCCCCACCCCTGCAGCAAATGCTTATCCAGGCTTTGCCTGGAAACTTCTACTAATGAGCAAGTCCTCATCTCTCCAGATAGCCAGGCCATTTGGGAAATGTTTCATCCATTAGGGCACGATCTTCCCCTGCAGTTCTCCTTCTTTAGTGCAGTGCCCTCTAAAACTACTCTGGGCAGGTGCTGTCTTCCTCCTGTGGAAAAAAACTTCATATGTTGGAAGGTGGTGGCGAGGTCTCTTAGGTTCTCCTTATCTAAATTAAACCTTTCCATTTTTTCTTCTACTGTTCTCTATAAGTGACACAACATGACTTACTGGCCCTTCCCCATCAAAGAACTCTATTATTGCCCCCTTTAGACATGATCCTGAGCACTGAACCTCTATCCTAAGGGGGCCTGCCTGATACATGGGAGAGGGAAGCCCTGCCTCCCTGGGTCTTTGCCTGTAGCAGTGAGCCTAGAAATGCATGAAGCCGCAGGACCTCTCACAAAAGATGTGGGCAATTAAAGCAGCTAGAGCCGGGCACGGTGGCTCACGCCTATCATCCCAGCACTTTGGGAGGCCGAGGCGGGCAGATCACGAGGTCAGGAGATTGAGACCATCCTGGCTAACACAGTGAAACCCCATCCCTACTAAAAATACAAAAAATTAGCCAGGCATGGTGCTGGGCGCCTATAGTCCCAGCTACTTGGGAGGCTGAGGCAGGAGAATGACATGAACCTGGGGAGTGGAGCTTGCAGTGAGCTGAGATCGCACCACTGCACTCCAGCCTGGACAACAGAGTGAGGCCCTGTCTCAAAAAAAGAAAAAGAAAAAGCAGCCAGAGGCCCGGCATGGTGGCTCCCGCCTGCAATCCCAGCACTTTGGGAGGGCGAGGTGGGATGATCGCTTGATCCCAGGACTTCAAGACCAGTCTGGGCAATGTAGTGAAACCCCATCTCTATTAAAAAAAAAAAACAAAATAATTAGCTGGGTGTGGTTGTGTGGGCCTGTAATCCTAGCTACTTGGGAGGCTGAGGCAGGAGGGTCACTTGAACCCGGGAGTTTTAGGCTGCTGCAAGCTGTGATCACACCAGTGCACTCCAGCCTGGGTGACAGAGCAAGACCCTGTCTAAAAAAAAAAAAAAAAAAAAAAAAAAAAACCTAAAACTAAAACAACACATAAAGTAGCCAGATGGACCAAAGACTCTGTCTGCCCCAGGGCAAGAAAGAGGAAAACAAACTGCAAGCATCCAGCAGGCAGAGTTGGGAGAAGAATTAAAGCAAAGGACACGCTACATAGCAGGGCAAGCTGATCGATATTCTGACAGCTGCCCATAAACTCATTCATGAAATTATGGGGCTGAAGAGACACCATGGGGTTGGAGTTAAAATGACTCACTTCACATAAATGTCATCAATGGCGGCAGCCTAGAAATTTAAGGCAGCAATTTACTTGCCTGCTGGAAGGGAAGACACAAATGAGACCTGTCTGAGGAAGTCTTGCTCCATACTCAAGGCGGCTTTCCCTCTGTGGCTGTTCACGGCCTTCAAGGTAGTGCTGGGCCCCTGTAGATCCTCCTTGCAGGAAATCTGACCTGCTCTTCAGCAGCAGAAAGCAGTGAAGCAGGAAAGACGGGGCCCCAGAGAAGAGAGAAAATGAGAACAAATCGTGAGCTCTGCATAGCTTTGTGAACGGCAAAGAACAGGGTGCAAACGTCAAAACTCATCCATAGTAAAACTCTGACTTCCGTACAGGAGAGGGAGCCTGGGGCCTGTGTCCATCCTTGATACTTTTCTGACCAAGGGTGGGCTCCTGGCCTCTCCGTGATGTGCATCAATGGTGAGTGAGAAAGGGAGGCAGCACTGATGGTGGAAAGAGGTTCAAAACTCTACCACTATCTGCCTCTGCGACTCTGGACAAGCTGATGACCCTCTCTGGACCTTAACATTCTCACCTATACAATGAAGGGCTAGGTGGGGCACAGTAGCTCATGCCTGTAATCCCAACATTTTGGAAGGCTGAGGTGGGAAGATTGCTTGAGGCCAGGAGTTCGAGACCAACCTGGGCAACATAGTGAGACCTTGTCTCTACAAAAAATTTAAAAATTAGCCATGCATGGTGGTGCATGCCTGTGGTCCCAGCTACTCTCAAGGTTGTGGTGGGAGGATCACTTGAGACTGGGAGCTGGAGGCTGCGGTGAGCCAAGATCATGTCACTACACTCCAGCCTGGGCAACAGAGTGAAACTCTGTTTCAGAAAAAATAAAAATAAAAAATCAAATGAAGGGCTGGCCTACAATCCTACAGACCCCTTCTGACTGTGATGATGTCATGATTAAGATCTCCATTTCACACTGGGGAAACCGAGCCACAGAAGAGTGAGGTCACATAGCTCCAAGTGGCAGAGCCAGGATCCAAACTCAGGCCCCTGGCCCCCAAGCCCATGCTCCTAACCACGCTGCCTGCTGACTGCTTCCTTCTGCCCAGAGGAGCCGGCAGGGAGGCCCTGGGCAGGGTCATAAAATAAGTGGCTTCTCCCCAGGACCACCACCTGCACCCACTGCCCTCCTCCTCCACTTAGTGATGCCAGCACATCCTCAGGGCTCTCTTACCCTTGCTCTCCCATGACAGATAGGAAAAGGCTTTATAAATTCATCAATAGACATTCTAGCTAAGAGGATGGACTTGGCATCAGATCTACCCGGGTTCAAATCCTGAATCTTATTGGCGCTTGCTTGGAGTAAACGACTGAATTTTCTAAGCCTCAATTTTCTCATCCAAAAAATGGGGACATCTAATGCCTCCCTCATAGGGTTACCTCAGTTAATGTATGTAAAATTCATGGAAGAGTAGCTGGCATATAGTGAGTGATTGAGAGACTGAGCTTTGTTGTTAATATGAAGATAGAAATGGCTGATGTTGCTATTGCACACTCTGGGAGACAAGGCCTTAAAATCAAGGAATGGCCATTAGGTGTCATGGAACCGGGTTGGAGGAGGATTGGGGGTGCAAATCATACTCTATCCCTTTCCAATCATACCACGTGGGTGACCATCTGGCATGTGGCACTTAGCACTTAAAAGGACACCACTAATGTCCTTTTAGTAGTGAGAACTGGGTTTCCAAAGGAGTGCTCTAGAGAAAGACCACCACACTCCATGTCTAGAAGATCCCTGTCCCATCCCTAATGGTTGCAGGCAAGCTGTGTTTTCCCCTTGGAGTGTCTCGCCCTCCTGTGTGGTCAGATAGCCTGTTTTCCCCATAGTCCCCGAGGGTCTGAGCATGTCCCAGGCTGCCCTGCCATCTCTAGTGAAGGTGGGGTGGGGGTGGGAGAGGGAGTGTGCCAAAGTTCAAGAGTTTGTTGGGTGCAGCTAAACTTACTGCCCCTGCCCCCTCCCGGCCCCATCCACCTCCCCGCCAACCCGGCAGCAATAACCAAGGCAGCCTGATAGACTCCGTGGTGCCCTAATGGTGGAGAGAGATTTTCTGCTTGGGAGCACAGGATGTTTATGGCCTGCTGAGATCACAGTAACCCTGGCTTTCTTCTTTGGATTATGGCTGCAGATCAAGGGCAGGCATTTATGCCTCCTCCCAGTTTATAGCAGTGATCATAATTATGGTGATGGCAGAGCGCACTTCTATTGTGCCTTTTTAATAAGGCCACTTTGTTTGGCTTCTTAATATTTAATCCTGTTTTATATTTACTTTCTGATGGCTTAAAATCAACCAGGCTTTAATTGCTTATGCAGAGGAAGCCAAGCTGGGCCTGGGCTGGCAGGAAGTTGTTGAGAAGGTTCTGGAAGCTGATGGCACCTTTCTCTGTGACCTTTCCACCCAGGCAGGCTGCTGTGGCCTGGGAACTGTGTTTCTTTTTCTCTTCTCTTTTTCTCTCATCCACTCTTTCCTCTTATTCTACAACCTTCTTTTCTCTTTTGCCATTCCTTTCCTTTCTTTTCCTTAGAAGAGATCCTCAGTTCACCCTCCGGTTCAATTTATCCATGTAAGAGACCAGAGTTGTACTGTGACCTGCCAAAGCTTTGGAGCTACTTAGGGCAAGGCCAAGGCGAGGACTGTCTTTGTTGTTTTTCCTGGACTCACAGTATTAGAGACTCCTAAGACTCCAAACTGGGCAAACACATATGAAGAGTTCCTTCATCTATCCACTTGACAATACATATGGCCACGTGCTTGATCTATCCAACGGTAGAAAAGTCATAAGGAATAACTTTCCAAGTTATTGTTTTCTGAAAGAGAAAATTAAATCAGATGAAACATGCCGTGCCACAGTTCCTCAATTCCTGGGAAGTAACACAGCCCAGTTGCTCAGGTCTATTCTGCGGTGGGGCTGGAGCAACCCTGCTACAGGCCCCTGCACCACCAGCTCTCAGCAGCAGTCCAGCCTGCAAATGTGCATTTCAGCGACGTCGCCTGATGGGGCTGAAAAAGGCCTGGACTCAAGACCTGTCATTCTCTGCCATTTACTAGCTCTCCCCTTGGGCACCTAACTTCAGCCTTTGGGGACTACACTTTCTTTTGTCAGTGGGGATAATAATATCTACCTTGCCTGTGCCGTAGGGGTATGTCGGTCAGTGTCCCCATGGAAACAGTAGGTACTCTTAAACTAGGTGACTTGAGGAGGGCTTCATAAAGATGCAGGCAGGGTTTAAGGACTTAAGGAGGGCTTCATAAAGATGCAGGCAGGGTTTAAGGACTTAAGGAGGGCTTCATAAAGATGCAGGCAGGGTTTAAGGACTTAAGGAGGGCTTCATAAAGATGCAGGCAGGGTTTAAGGACTTAAGGAGGGCTTCATAAAGATGCAGGCAGGGTTTAAGGACTTAAGGAGGGCTTCATAAAGATGCAGGCAGGGTTTAAGGACTTAAGGAGGGCTTCATAAAGATGCAGGCAGGGTTTAAGGACTTAAGGAGGGCTTCATAAAGATGCAGGCAGGGTTTAAGGACTTAAGGAGGGTTTCATAAAGATGCAGGCAGGGTTTAAGGACTTAAGGAGGGCTTCATAAAGATGCAGGCAGGGTTTAAGGACTTAAGGAGGGCTTCATAAAGATGCAGGCAGGGTTTAAGGACTTAAGGAGGGTTTCATAAAGATGCAGGCAGGGTTTAAGGACTTAAGGAGGGTTTCATAAAGATGCAGGCAGGGTTTAAGGACTTAAGGAGGGCTTCATAAAGATGCAGGCAGGGTTTAAGGACTTAAGGAGGGTTTCATAAAGATGCAGGCAGGGTTTAAGGACTTAAGGAGGGCTTCATAAAGATGCAGGCAGGGTTTAAGGACTTAAGGAGGGTTTCATAAAGATGCAGGCAGGGTTTAAGGAAGCCAGCAAGTACAGTACCCCAGGGTAGCAGCTGTGTGGATCTGTTACCGGTAAAGGCTGGAGGAACAAAGTGAGGGGCAGCCTCAGAGTCAGAGAGCAGCTATGTGGAGAGGGCCATGGGGCAGACATGTGGCCTTGGGCAGCAAGAAGCAGCCAGTCTACACCAACCCTGTGTGCTGCAGTTGGGGAGCGAACGCCCCACCTCTCTCTCCTCGGGTCCACCCACGGACGTCCTGCTAGTGCTGCCCATGGGCCGGCCCAAGCAGGAAGCAAGGTCAGCTTCCTGGAGCACCAGGCCTGGGGAGAGGGAAGGAGAGTGGGTCTGAGGACAGACTCTCAACTGTCCGGCACCTAGGAGTCCCCTTAAAACCCCATGATGATATGAAGTGTTATTCTAGGGAGAGGGTGAAACCAAAACACAGATCCAGGTTTTTACTTAAAATTCTCACCGACTCCGGAGTCACAGGAGCTCAGAAGAGGAGACTCGGTGGGCAGGAGGGTGGTCCTGGGAGCTGCCACAGATGCGAACTGGGCCTCTGAGAAGGGATGAAATTTGGATAGATCAGGGGTCAGCTAACTTTTTCTAGAAAGGGCCAGAGAGTCAATATCAAAGGCTTTGCAGGCCACACAGAGCCTCTACCGAAACTCCTCCCCTCCACTGCTGTGGTGTGAGAGCGGTGATAGACAGCACACACAGGGCACGGCAGTCCCAGGAGGACTGTGCTGACAAAGACAGGGCAGGCTGCAGTTCGCTGACCCCTGGAATACGTGCAGGAGGTGGACAGGCACTCCAGGGACAGGGCATGACGTAGGGCCCCATGCACGGGAAAGACCAGAGGTTGGTACGGAGCCAGCACGTTGAAGGATGGTGAGGAGGGCAGCCCGGTGTGGTTGGAGTTTCTGCAGGAAGTCTCAGGACATGAGAGAGAACCGACAGTGTCTTAGTCGGCCAGGGCTGCCCAACAGCGTATCACAGACCCAGGAGCTGGAACAGCAGGAGCTGATTTTATCAGTCTAGAGGCTGGAAGTCTGAGATCAAGGTGCTGGCGGGCTTGGTTCCTCCTGAGGGTCATGAGGGAAAAGGGGTCAGTCCCCAGGCCTCTCTTTGGCTTGCAGGTGGCTGTCTTGTCTCTGAGTCTTCACATCGTCTTCCCTCTGTACCTGTCAGTGGCCACAGTTGTTCTGCTTATAAGGATCCGGTCACACTGGATTCAGCCCACCCTCATGACCTCATCTTAATCTAATGACCTCTTTCAAGACTCTGTCTCCAAACATGGCTACGCTCAGAGGTATGCGGGGGCTGGGACCTCAGCATCTGAATTTCCGAGGGGATATAACTCAACTCACAGCAGATAAGATGAAGCCAAATTACAGGGTGTTTTAGATACCAGATTGGAGTCAATGAGGTAGGAAATGAGGAATCCTTTTGCTTGTTAACCGTAAGTCTGATTAGTACTTTGAGAAAATAAATACAAATTATGCCGCTCATATGCAAAAAATGTAATAAGATGGGCACCTGGCCAAGTACATGGCAAAGTCAATTCCTTAGTTCCATCCTGGAGTGCCGGGAAGCCTGGACACTGGATCCCAGCAGACTGGTGACCTGGACTCAGCCATTGGCCTTGTATGACATCCCACCACACTGGAGAAGTTTGGGTGGGGCAAGCAGTGCTCCCGATACCCCCAGCCACTGCCTGGGATGTCTGGGCCTGAGGCATCAACCCTCTTCCTCCCGGAGGAGGCATAAGATTGACAGCAGCTGGTGAGCTCTCTGGCCTTGGATAACGAGCTACCAGCTAAGTTCCGGAATACACACTGGGCATTTTTCTTAGCAAATCTCATGAGAGGCCAGCCACTCCTGCTGACAGGCACATCAGGACATTACAAAGCTCCATCCCTGGGACAAAGTCGAAGCTATTTTGGGTGACCAAAGGTTTCGGAACTAGGCAGATTGTTTCATCTCGCCCCACATCCATCCCTCATTCTCTCATGTGGAGCTTTGCTCTGGTGCCACTCAGTCAGTCATGACGCATAAAAAGCTCCGAGACGGGGGCCTCAGGAACAGGCCGGATATTCTCTATGAGGATGGTTCTCCCCATCCTCCTGCCAGTCTCAGGATGGGAAGGAAGGGAGTCAGGATGTGGCAGGGAGGAAGGAAACGAGAGTACAGCAGCGGGCACCAAAGAGGATTTTGCTCATTGTTTCCTTCGTGGATTTATTGCTGTCACCTTAGTGCCATTTTTCTTTTTTATCAAAACTAAAGTGGTTCTGACTCTCAATCCTTTGCCAAAACCCCTTCTGGAGTCATTTTTTATTCATGAGGATGACTTTGGTCATCTTTGGACACATCATGCTGGCCTCATGGTGGCTAAATGAGACCCAATTTCTTTTTAAGGAGAACATGAGTGTTCACACGCTGACACAGCCTGCGGCAGATTCACTACTTGGAGACTTGCTTTCAGCAATACAGGGAACTGTCAAGAGAGCCATTCGTTTTACAGAGAGCTCACTTCCTATGGGGAAAGTGAGGCTTGTGTGCTCTGACATTGCCCATTTTTTGTTGACCACAGCTGTAAGAAGCCTGGCCCGCTGATCAGTGCAGCCATACTTTCAAAGCACCACCTGGTGTTTAATGGAGGATTCCCAAATTTCAGCGAGTAAACCCTCAGAGGGTTTGCTAACCCAAACACCAAGGAAGGGCAATCTACACAATGGCTTAGCTCTAGCACTCCTCCCCTAGCACAGCTGGTGTGCTTCCAGTTTCAAGAGATTATTCCAGGGAGAAAATGACTTTTTATAATCTCCCCAGTAGTCACACACCAAAGCAGGTCGGGGGAGACACTGGTGCTGTAAGACAATAACTGGGCACCTCTCTTGAGACATAGAAATAGTCCTACTAAGTGCTGTTCAAGCAAGAGTGGCCACCAAGAGTACATGTTTGTGGGGTTGAGGGGAGAAGACATTAATTAAAGGATGTAATCAGTTGTTGGCAATTCGACCATACAACTTGCTGTAGCCATTGATGATATTACTAAAAATGCAATGATGTTAGCCATCTTGAGCTACCAGCCAAGTTCCAGAATACAGACTGGTCATTTTCTTAGCAAATCTCTTGAGAGGCCAGCCACTCCTGCTGGCAGATGTTTCTTGCACTTTCAAAGAAACCTCATTTTCTTGTGGAGTCTTCTCACCAGAAGCAAGGGACTGGATAGCCCAGAGAAACACATTTGGTCCATAGCACCTGGTAAGAGGGAGGTTAGAAAATCGGAAAACAAGCTTCCTGTATAGCTTTCTTCCCCAGCATTCTCCTTCCCAGATCCATTCAATAAAGCATATTGTGCCTTATAAAGGATGTGCTATTATGACATTGCCTGCAGATGAGCAGACAATCAAACTTCACTTCTAAGGAAGTGAAGCAAGTTGGCTTTAGAGAAAAGGTGCCCCTTAGTTTCCAACCAACTCATCATTTGAATGGCCAAGGGAGGGGTCAGGCTTTCCATCTCATCCACTGAATAAGTATCCAGCATTCATGATTCTAAACTTTCAACAATTTGGACATTCAGCTTCCTAGAAGTTTTCCTTGAGGAATCAGCTTTGATACCACTATGTAATCCCTTGGTAATAGGAACACAAACACCATTTCACCATTTGATTCCTGCAGGTGCTTATGGGATAAACTATCGCAAATTAATAGGCACTAATGTGTTCATATATTGCTTCTTCCAGGTGAGACATTTTTATTTCAGAAAGGAACCTTTAGATATATGCAGTGCCCCAAAAGAAAGATCTGAGACTTATGTGAACCATCCAGGGAGATGATTTAGTTGCTCTTCAGATCATTTTCCATGCAGGTGACTGCCAACTTGGCCCCCATGAAAGACCAGCCCTGGTCAAATTCAGGTTCATAAAATGATCATACAGTTACTTCTGAAATTGGACAACATAGGACACTTAGGATGTCAGAGCCAAAAGCTGAATAATGCTTCTGCATGGAAGGCGTCAATGTTCTGGACTCTCCACCACTAAGCAGGGCTCTCATCCCCTCAGACAGCCACCACACAGATAGAAACTTGGTGACTGGCAGCCTACGTCCACCCCCTATATCTCCAGAAAGAAAGACCATTCATTATGAGAGTCCCATGTTAGTGACTGTTTGAGACACCTTTCCCTAGAAGGGAAACTTGAACCAAGTGGCTCATTTCAGCTCCTAACTCTCAGTGCTTTTTGCATGTAGGATTTCTGAGAAGTGAAAAAAAAAAAAAAACCTGCCGGTTATGAAGTTTCTGTTCCACACTTTGTACCTTAAAGATGAGTGTGTGAGACACAGATCTTCAGGTTAAAAATAGGCATGGCCCTTTTCTATCACTAGCCAGTCTCCAAAATTCTCCTTACCAGGCAACATCCAAGGAAGTCCATTGACTATAATCTGTGTTCTAGGATAAG
The DNA here is from genome assembly GCF_000001405.40 of Homo sapiens. NCBI lineage: Eukaryota > Metazoa > Chordata > Mammalia > Primates > Hominidae > Homo > Homo sapiens. The sequence goes on from NW_018654718.1 coordinate 892,459, forward strand.
AGGATGAAATATAGAAAAACCTAAGATTTGGGTTGCCCCTCCCCTCATGCCTTTCCTGGAAGTGATGGTGCAGCCCACAAGTTCAGCAGGGCACATGTTTCCTTCTGTGAGTGGTGACCAACTTCCCACCTGCATTTGCTGCCACTCATTAATATTAGGTTGGTGCAAAAGAAATTGTGGTTTCAGACTGTGAATTTTAAATCATTATAACTAGGCTCAAACACATCTTTATTAATCAAAAGAGGAACCATTACAATCAACACATTTTTGCCAACAAGAAATAAGATTTTTATTCCTATTATGTAAAACTCCGTGCTTCCAGATTCAGCAAACTCTCGGAAAGCATTTTCTGCATCCTGCTGGTTGTGAAAGCATTTTCCCTGCAAAAAGTCGAGATGCTTGAAGAAGTGGTAGTTGGTTGGCGAGAGGTCGGGTGAATATGGGCAGATGAGGCAAAACTTTGTAGCCCAATTCGTTCAACTTTTGAAGCATTGGTTGTGCGACATGCAGTCCTGCATTGTTGTGGAAAAGAATTGAGCCCTTTCTGTTGGCCAATGCCAGCTGCAGGCATTGCAGTTTTTGGTGCATCTCATTGATTTGCTGAGCATACTTCTTAGATGTAATGGTTTCGCTGGGATTCAGAAAGCTGTAGTGAATCATACTAACAGACCACTAAACAGTGATCATGACCTTTTTTGGTGTAAGTTTGGCTTTGGGAAGTGCTTTGGAGCTTCTTCTCCATCCAACCCCTGAGCTGGTCGTTGCTGGTTGTTACACAAAATCCACTTTTCCTCACACATCACAATTTGATTGAGAAATAGTTCATTGTTGTTGAGTACAATAAGAGAAGGTGACACTTCAAAACAATGATTTTTTTTTTTTTTTTTGCTCAGCTCATGAGGCACCCACTTATCAAGCTTTTTCACCTTTCCAATAAGCTTCAAATGCCTAACAACCATAGAATGGTTGACATTGAGTTATTCGGCAAATTCTCTTGTAGTTGTAAGAGGATCGGCTTTGATGGTGGCTCTCAATTGGTCATCGTCAACTTCCCATGGCCTGCCATTATGCTCCTCATCTTCTTCATTATGCTCCTCATCTTCTTTGCAAAACCTTTTGAACCACCACTGTGCCGTACGTTCGTTAGCAATTCCTGGGCCAAATGAGCTGTTGATGTTGCAAGTTGTCTCCACTGCTTTATGACCCAAATCGCTCGAATTTGCTCTTTAACATCCTTTCCATAGTCTAAAATAAACATAAAATAAATAGCAAGTAATACATCATTAACAAAAAAATAAAGTGAGAAATGCCCATTAAAATGATGTATAACATAACCAAATTTATTTAAGAATGTATTTCAATACCAAATGGCAAATTCCAACAATGCAAAAAACACAATTCCTTTTGCACCAACCTAACTTGTGATTGTGCCTTACTTGCCTCTCATTCCCAGCACCCTGCATAGTGACCTCGCAGAGGCACAGCTCATGCCAGTTCTTTCAGATGAAATGGGAAAACTCTATCTGAACAGTTAGCTAAAGCACTTGACATCCAGAACTCCAAGTCCATACATAACTTCCCGTTCCCCATGCAATGATTAGTGTCTTCATGCTCTCCAGTGCAGTGGCTGGTGTCTTCACATGCTTCCATGTAGTAGCTGGAATCTTCACATTCTCCCGTGCAGTGGCTGGTGTCTTCACACTCTTCCGTGCAGTAGCTGGTATCTTCACACTCTTCTGTGCAGTGGCTGGTGTCTTCCTGCTCTCCCATGCAGTGGCTTGTGTCTTCACACTCTTCCGTGCAGTGGCTGGTGTCTTCACACTCTTCCATGCAGTGGCTGGTGTCTTCACACACTCCTGTGCAGTTGCTGGTGTCTTCACACTATTCTGTGCAGTTGCTGGTGTCTTCATACTATTCTGTGCAGTAGCTGGTGTCTTCACACTATTCTGTGTAGTAGCTGGTGTCTTCACACTATTCCCTGCAGTAGCTGGTGTCTTCACACTATTCCGTGCAGTAGCTGGTGTCTTCACACTCTCCTGTGCAGTTGCTGGTGTCTTCACACTATTCCCTGCAGTAGCTGATGTCTTCACACTATTCTGTGCAGTTGCTGGTGTCTTCACACTATTCCCTGCAGTAGCTGATGTCTTCACACTTTTCTGTGCAGTGGCTGGTGTCTTCACACTCTTCCGTGCAGTAGCTGGGGTCTTCACATTCTTCCATGCAGTGGCAGGTGTCTTCGTGCTCTCCCGTGCAGTGGCTGGTGTCTTCACGCCCTCCCATGCAGTGGGTAGTGTCTTCACACTCTTCTGGAGCACTCTCCTCTTCAGCTGTAGCCGAGACCCAGCAGAGCTCACAGAATTCTTCTTCCTTATTTACAAACTTCCTCAAATGACCACCCATTGACAGGCAATTTAACAACTTATTGGCCCATTTAAACTGATTAAAAGCAGACACATATATGTTTTGGATGTGAGCCCTAGGCCTTTGATGGGTCTTTGCTGAATAGAATTGAATTATTGAACTGAACAAGGAGCAAGTAGGTCGACCAGTGGGTTGTTTTTCTACCTGCAGGTGACTCCATCCAGGTGCAAATAGCAAGGAAGCCCTTGAATCCACTACAGGTGAAAGTTTTGCATTGTGGTCCCATGTGAGGGAGGAGACAAGTCACCTGGCTATTGGGTAGGGATGAAGGGGATACCAGGGCTACAGTTAGACTTTAGCAGTGACCCCGCTTGAGCCTGCAAAGGGCGACAGCTCCCTATGGAAACAACAGGGATGAGTGGCAGCCCCCTCCTTGGAAGCCTTCTCAAAGTCACTCATTAGATATGCCAGATAGCCTCTCTCTCCTGGAGTAATTCCTTCTCTCCAGGGTCCATCATTTGTTTTGTGATGTTAATTCATGTGAGTTGGGAGTTTGGTTCTATTGTGTTATGTTTTCCTGTATGTTTTGATTTATTGAATTTTTTTTGTTTATTTTCTGTGATAAAAATGGATGTTCTATGTGAAAGCTGAGTTCCTTGTTTCTTTCTCTTGCCCGTGGCTGACTGCGTGTGCTCTATTGATGTCTTGTTCCTGGTTCTTGACACTGACCATCTTGTCTGTGAAAGGAGGCACTCCGGCGGGCATGCTTGATCAGAAGAAAGGGAAGTTTGCTTGGTTTAGTCACTCCACAGAAACCCATGGTAATGTTCCCCTGTGCTCTGTGTGTGTAAATGCGTGTGGGTGCATACCAGACTGAATGGGAAGGTGTCTCTCTTGATGGCTTGTGCCGCAGTAGTTCTGTGTGTGTGCATATATGTGTATGTATATATGTTGTGTGTGTGTGTGTGTTTGTGAAGGGATGGCAACCTGTCCCCCTCAAAGCCACTGCCTTATCATTGCTTCATATGTGTAAAGTCAGTGGGTGTGACAAACAGGCAGAGCTATTCCTCCAGGAGCTCTTCCTCTGGGCAGTGCTGGCCTAGAGTAAGCACACTGTGAATGCACGGTTGGAACCAGCACAGGCAGTGCCTTGATTTAGAAGGTGCTGTCGTTATTTCCAGTGCCCAGGCCTGCCCCTCCGATTTTGTCTGTCTTTCCAGGCCTAGCACCACCACCTCCACAGCACTGTACTCACACATAAGGCTCTGGGAACGAAGTGTCACAAAGTCACAGAACTTTTTCTACGTGGCCTAGCCCTTCAAACAAGGATGTCTGGAGGGTAGAGAGCTAAAAACTAAAAATAAAAAATAAAAAAAACCTTTGGGCTGAGATGGCTGGAGATAGATGGGTTGGAAGACTGAGAGTGCTTCCATTTTATGGCTTCCTTAGTGTGGTTTGAGCAAAGCCCCTGGCAAGCTCTGAAGGTCTGAGCTAAAACCATCCCTAAGGGCTGGTCTCACCAGCCCCTCCAGACTTCAGACTATAAAGTGAGTGTAATGCTGTGGAATTCAGTGCCCCTGTTTGGCTACTCACTGCCCTCCTGTGGTGCTCCCAGAGCCTAGTAGGCTTTAAGAAGCTTGTCTGCCTAGGGTGTAGAGTACAGAGGTGGTCGAGACTGGGGCGCTCAAGATGAACATGCTACAGGAGGTGTGACACTTGTGCCCTGGACCCAGCCCTACTTGAACACACCATATGACCATGGGCATCACATCCCTTCTCTGGCCTCACTTTCCTCTCCTGCGGAGTGAGGAGGACGAGTTAGAGCCAGATAATTTCTAAAGCCTCACCCAGCCCTAGAGTTCTATAAAATGACATCTGGATTTTTTTTAATTCAATTTTATTAAAAAGGTCAGAGAGGTCTCTCATACACAACAGTCAAACATACGGTAAGTCGTGGACTTTCTGTTTGTATCTTCCATGTTCTTGAAATGATTCTCTTCTCACCAACCTGGCTTGTCTTCATCTGAAGGAAAGGAAACCAGGAAAAATCCACATCTATCAACATTATCCATGCAACCAGTAAAAGTGTTTCTTGGGCTCTGGCAGCCTCGCAGGGACTTGTCACCAGAGGCCACTCCCTCAACTAACAGCAGATTCTGTGTCTGCTGAGGGCTGATGACTTTCTCAGCATATGAGGAGTTCTATTCTGGAGGAACAGCAGAACCAGGACCAAGGATATGATGGCCACTCTAAAGAATAAGGGTTACAAAACTAAGGAACGCATTGTATCATAGTAAGAGAGTGTTGGAAGGTGGAGAAAAATTCTTTGAGTTAAACTTTTATTTAGAAGAAAAAATAATAATAATAAAAGAAATGGCTTCTTTCAAGCCACCAAACTGGGTTCTAAGCCAGAAAACTCCCATTGTTCTGGAAATTCAGCCCACAGCTGCCTTGGGAGGAGGCTGGACAAGTTGAATTAAACGGCTTATATCCAAGTCAGCCTGTTGACATGGGAATGTCAGGGTGGCTGAAAGGGGAAATCGTATCCCTACAGGCTGTCTTCTGACCACAATTAAACATAATTGTGTGGACTGCACACTTCCACTCCTCACTCCTTATGTCTGCAGGGCTAGCTTGAATCTTAGTGCATGGCTCTGGGGATGGCCATTCCCCTCAAGCCCTCTGTCTCAGTTGTGCTCCTGGGTGTAACCAACTGCCGGAAAGGGAAGGCCTCTGTCCACCCAGCAGCTCATCAAGGTAGCAAGCACGCCCTTTCTACAAACAGGCTGGTCCCTGTTCTTGGAGATGGAGCCCCTTAGAGATGGTGGGTGGGATGAAGTAAGGAAAATGATATATTTTCATGAAAGCTCCTCTTTCTGTGGCAAGTGGTAGTTGCAAATGGAAAGCCTCTACAGCTTCTTCCAGTCCACAGAGTGGAGAGGAGAGATTCAATGGTCAGTTTTTTCAGGATGTGTCCTATGAGGTAAAATGCTCTTATTACCAGATGTCCTCCCATACTTCCATTAGTTTACAGTGTTCTTGGCGGCAAAACCTGCCTGGACAACCAGCAGATGTGTCCATCAAGGGGATCTGTGCAGATCAGCCAGCCAGCGTGCTCAGCCTCTCTTTCTGCCAACCCGCACTGGGTCTTGCGGTGGGCGTGTTGCAAACTACTGCTCTTCTGTTCCCTTGTCTCCCCACCCTCAATGCCTGGCTCTGCTTCCCTTTGACTCTTGCAGTGAGCATGCCCACCAGTGAGACCGAGTCCGTCAACACCGAAAACGTGGCTGGAGGTGACATCGAGGGAGAAAACTGCGGGGCCAGGCTGGCGTGAGTAGGCACGGCGAGCCCAGGGGCTGGGGCTTTTTCTGGAGCATGGGTGGAAAAGCTGCATCTGGAAATCACAGTGGGCTGGCTCATCACTAGGAAGGGCAGAGATTAGAGCCGGTGGCAAGAAACAAACCTCAGGTGGGAACCAAGATGGGGAGCAGAGGGCCCTGGGGTGAGGGTGGCCCTGGCCGGGGGTGAGTCTTAAAATCAAGGCTAGTCTTCAATTCATCACTTCTTCGGGGGTGCTGACTCTTAGGTTTTGAGCCTCTTTTCATCACATCTGAGAAATATAGAGGGTGTGTGTGTAGGGGGCGGCCCCAAAGTCTGTTTCTTTCACTCCAGTCCCTTTCGCCCCTCTTCAAAGAGACAGCGAGGTTAGGGCCCTGAGTCCTGCTGGCCACCCTTTCCATTCTGATAAATGTGACCTGGGAGAGAAGCAGCCAGGTGAGAAGATGTTCTGGGAGATGACTGGCATGTGGGTCCTTACCTGAAGCTCTCTCATCCTGCCAGTAAGGGAAGCAGAAGTGCAGTGGAGCCTGCTGTTCTGTTGCCTTGGGGTGTCACGACTGTAAACTCACCCTGGCCTCTGGAAGAACTGCAAACAGAGGCTCTGAGTCAGACCAGTCCCAGGTACAATGCATTTCTGAATTGCTCCACCTGGGGGGCGGGGCAGGGCGGCATCTCCCTTCCCTCCTCGTCTGTGGAATGATGGAGAGCCTGGGCAAGCGCAGCCCTTTCACAACGCTGAGCTGTGGAAGAGTCTAAACACAGCAATGCCGGCCTTGAGCGTGGCCTGGGAGCCCATGTTGGGGAGGGAGAATGAGGCTGACGGCAGAGCAGCTCTCACAGCCGCTGTTTCCAGGGAGCGTGGAGCTTCAGTATCACTCACTCTGACACTGGCACCAGGGAGTCTGCACTGCAGATTTCTCAGCATTGTCGGGAAGCAATTATTGTCAAAATGTTGTTAAAATACGATGCTAATTACATTTTTAAGCAGCAGTGCAAACCTCTTCTTTTGGAATCATACAAAACAAGCACTTGAGTTTCTGGAAGTAGGTCCCAAACAGCAACTCTAGGGAAAGGCCTATAGGAAGGCTTCAAAGTCTGTCAGTTCTAGGCCTTTCTGTTGTCTTGCCACCAAGACGAGGCTTAGAGAGATGATCAAAGGCCCTGCAACTCTGGCTGTTGGGCAGGCCCAAGTCGCATACCAGGAGGGACTAGGGAGCTGGCACCAGGAAGTCACTTGATAGTACATTTCAGGAGAGCATGAGGCTCTGTTAGGAAGGAAACATGATATTCCCCCACGGATGGAGCCTGGCAGTCTCCAGTGGATCTGTCGTTTGCTCAGAGCACATGCTCTGCAGCCTGGAGAGCTCTGCAGAAATGGTCCCCGTTATCCCCATGTTTAGCCACATTCGTACTCTGTGCATACAGAACGCTGAGTCACAGTGCCAGAATTATAATATGCCCCGAATAAAATGTGGTCTTTCCCCATCTCCCTACCTCCCACCCCGCCCCAGACAATGATGAGCCAAGACTGCCAGCATTCCTGGCGGGAGAAGCAGCATGGGAACTGAGATTGCGTGTGATGGTCTGAGGGGAAGTGAGTGACCGGGATCTTTAAAGCTAAGGGTTAAAAGTCTCATGTAATGAGATTAGGTCACGATGAGGACTGCTGTGTAGTAAGGAGGCCTGGATGAAGACGGTTCCTGTTGGGGGAAGGGAGGAAGGAACTACGGCATGTTACTTCATGGCAGCAGGGGCAGGCGGGTGCAGGTAATGAAGAGGAAGGAGCCGTCACAGTCAGGGAAGAGGATAATGAGGCAGAAGTGAAATCTGAAGCAGGAGCCCAGTTGGAGTGACCTGCGGGTGTCATGGAGACCACGAGATACGGAGGCCCGAAACTCAGCCCTGAACAAGGGTGGACACACATGTTTGAGGTTGTTGGGATGAAAACTACCAATGAGGTGATAGGACGGGTTGTTCAGAGTGAAGTGGAAAACAAGACCAAGGGCTGAATCTTGGGAAATGGACACACAGAAGAATAAGACCAAGCAAGCAAAATAGACAAAGGAATGTTAAGAGAACAGGCAGCAGCGCCAGCCTGGAAGCCGCGGGAGGAGGAATTTCAGGACAGAGCTGTTTATCCATGCATTCGTTCAACAGTCTGCCCAGCTTGGTGCTAAGGCTAGGTGGTGGTGACACACAACAGGGAGGAAATTGACACCATCGTGCTGGAGCTCACAGTCTAGTGTGGGAGAGACACTATGCAAATAAATAGGCAACTATAGGATTGGGGTAAGTGTTATGAAGGAAAAGTAAGTGTAAAGTCGGGCTAATAACAAAGGTTTCTAATTTGGACTGGCAGGTTAGGAAAGGCTTCTTTGCAGAATTAAAATTCCAGCTGAGAACAGAAGGATGAACATGAGTTATTGAGGGACTGGCAGACCCTTAACCGTTTGGGTCTGCATCAGAAGAGTGTGAGAAGTCACTGAAGGGCATTCAGAACAGAGCTGAGTGGGAGGTTGATTTGGTTAGTTCTGAGCTCCTGAAGGATCACTGCGACGTCAGGAAAAGAGCAGGGAGGAATGAGAAGCTGCAAGAGCCTGACACAGGTGAGAGGTAATGTGGCAGCAGCTCAGGCTGCAGAGGGAAAGAAGGGCTGTGTTGTGTGTGTGTTCTGGGGTGCTACCCCTCAGGGTTGCAGGGCACTGGTCTTGGGAGTCGGTCTCAGTGAGGGAGATGGGGTGGAAATGGGCCACGACAGAGTGCTCACTCAGGCAGTGAGGCCATGGACAGGGAGGAAGATGGGAGCATGTGAAGAGGAGTAGCATGAGTGTGGGAAGCGCTGGCCTTCATTGTAATAAAGGCAAGGGCAAACTTCAAGACAAGGAAGAAGTCACGGAGCAGGAAGAGGTGAAACAAGCTGTAGGGGAAGCAAGTGCTTATAGGAAGGCATTGCTTCTGAAGAGGAGAAGGGCGACAGCAAAGACAGTTTGAGGCCCTGAACTTGCTCAGGAAGGAGGAATTTCTGTGCACCTGAAACTAATTGGAAAATGAAAGAAGAGGAGTCCCAGAGTCTAGTGCCCACCAACCTCCAGCTAGCCCTGGGATCTTGGCCAAAGCACTCCGCTCTGGGCCTCAGCCTCGTCCTCTGGGAAAAAGAAGGGTCAGACTGACATCTCTGCAGAGGCTGGGGTGGGGGGCGGAAACCACCTGCAGCGGTGCAAGATTTCATGTGAAGAAAGCATTCTACACCTGGAGAAACTGCAAACCGTAGGTCCATGTGGTATCTAAGGGTCCCTTCCAGTTCTGTAAAGCCTACAGTTCTGTAAAGAATACAGAATCAGAAACAGGCTCTGATGAAGGGGTCAGTGACAGGAGTCACTCCGAATGAGCTCAGCCATCTCATCTCCCAAAGCAAGGGTCAGGGGTCACAGGAACTTGAAGGGCAGTATAGAGACTGAAACCAGTGAGTCGTCGAGAGGATGCTCAAAGGTTGCTGGGCAGCACTGATGCCACGGTGGAGACTGATATCATAAATGTGCAGTCAGCCGTATTTTTGGCAGACTCTGAAGCCTGAGAGCACTAAAAAGAGACAGCGGCGTGTCCCAGGGTGGGGCTTAGCCATGCAGGCATGGCAGAAGGCCCAGGCGGTGTGGAGTCTGTGTGGTATCGCGGGCAACATTGCCATGACTGTAGTCAAGCCTGGTGTTAAAGGGTGAGAGTGATGGGGAGGATCCAGTGAGGACAAATGTTGGGTCCTCTGAAAGAGCAGGAGGGATCATAGAAAGGGAGGCTCTGGCCAGAGTCATGGAGCATCTGAGCTCAGCACCCAGGAGTGGAAGCAATTCTATGCCGTGCAAGGGCAGGATGTGGCCCTCCCAATAATAAGAGCTGTGGGGGAGAGGACGTCCTGGAGTTAAGGATGCTGAGTCAGACGCATTGTCAATGTGGATGATGACTGCAGTGCCATCTGACTTATATTAAAGGCGAATTTGGGACAATTCAGGGAAATACTATTTTACACAGCAGGTAGTAAACATATGGCACTCTTTCCTCTAAGAAGAGGGGAGAGGCTGAAAATACAAATGGCTCTCAAGAAGTTCAAATATGTCTCAAATAATGACAAATGCAAACTGAGTAACTAGGGGAAAAAAGGAGTTTGGGGTTTGTCTCTAATTCTGAACCTGAAAAGCACGAAGGAAAATCATGGTCTCCCAGAAGGTTTGTCTTGGAGTCCTGGGTGGAGAAAGTATCTGGGGTTGCATGAACTTCAGTTCCTACCCAGTGGATCTGTTCTGATGGTCTCATGTTCCTTACCAGCCTTCTCTCCCTCCTCGCTCTTCTTCAAGAATCCGCTCAACCTGAGGTAGGAATTGTGCCTCATTGGAACAACAACAGTGGAGACAACCAGGAAGCCTTCCGAGTGTGCTGTGCATAGAGAAGCCAGAGCCCCCAGCTGTTCTCAGAGTTCTTTGGAGATTGTGAAGATCGGTAGCAGGGAGGCATTGGCCACAGTGAACCGGCCTAGGGTGTGGACCAGCACCATGGCACCAAGGCATCTGGGCTCCTGATGGCACCGAGGCACCCGGGCTCCTGGCTTGCGTCCTCTCACTGCAGGAGCACCTTTCCAGCCCAGAACCCTGGGCCACCTCCCAGGAGGCAAAGAGGTCCTATCATTAACGCCAAGGTGTGCAAAGGGAGCAGAAAGAACCAAGGCGTTCAGACGTCACAGAGTTCTCACCTCAGCTCCCCATGGGCATGGAGTTTTCCCTGGCCTCCAGACAAAAGCCGCTGAGCAGTGTCCTCCCCTTCGCAAGGAGTGGAGCCTGCCTGACATGGAACTTAGCCATTTGGCGGTTGCTTGTCAAAAGTGCCAGCCTTTAAAAGCGGATGAGGTTTTGATCCCCATGAACCTAAAATTCTGCTCACAATCCCGGAGGATAGCAACAATAGCAACAAAATCAGTCTTCAAGTGTGGTGCCCAGGCTTATCCATCCAGACCTGTAACAAAGCAGACAAGAAGGCTCTGTCCATTTCGTGCTCAGAATGTGCCCGGATGCCACAGAAGGACCTGTAGTCCACGACTGTGCTTGAAGCAGGACCTCCTTTCCCAGCACCCCCAGCGCCAATCCTGCTTCCCAGGGTCATTTCCCTTGGAGACGAACACTCAGGATTAGGTTTCCCCAGAGGGGAGCTTTTCAGAGCCCACTTGCACTTGTGACCCGCTTGCACTGTGAGCAAGACAACGCCTCATGGCAAAGGGCCGGTGGTCGTCATCAAGGGGCACCCCAGACAGGACTACTGAGGTGTTTCTGAAAGAAGGCCTGGGACCAGGCTAGGCTTGGAGTCAGAGTGACAAGGCTGAAGTCCATGGTCACCCACTTGAGCTTATGGTTAACAGCAAGGGGAGACAACCACCCAAAAGCAGCCTGGGAAGACACTGAAGGTCTGGGGCTCAGCATGGCCCCGCTGGAGAAGAGAGCACCTAGGCTCCCCAGCACCCAATTAGCAGCTGGGAAACATTTGTTTGCTGGTTAAACTGTGGCTGTAAATAACAATGCTGCCCTGGGCTCCCAGTCCCCCTCCCACACGCTGTTAACCTGTGATTAAGCCCTCCAGCCCTCACAGGCAGTCTTTGCGGGTGGGATGAGGTTATTAGCTAACCGTTCGGAGCAGTAAAGGCGCTTGGCTCAGACTCGCAGTGCCCCAGAGATGTAATTATCTCATGCACGATGGCTTTGCCACCTGTCACATCTTCTGGCTTAATTTTTTTAATAAGAAATAACGAGAGGGGCTGGCGTTTTCTTGCTCTGCGACACAGCTAGCTGTGTGCCGCGCTGGGACGTCGCAGGCCTGCGGCGGTTGCCTCCCAGACTCCCTTCTCCTGTTTCCTCCCCATGCCTCTCCTTGTTGCTCCACCACTGTCTCCATCCCTTTCTTCATCTCTAACTTGCGTTCTGTCCTTCTGCTTCTCCATCTGAACATTGTCACCACCTGCACTATCCCCAGCGTTCATGCCCTTCTCCTAGCACCAAAGCCAAGCTGACAGGTGCCTTCTAATGGTCTCAACTGCTTACATTCTCTCACTCTCCCTGTCTCTCTCTCTTTGGCTCAGCCTTCTCTCCTCCACACTTCTCTTTTACAGTCTGTCCCTCCTGCCCTCTTCTCCAGCCTCCTGCCTCCCCTGGACTCTTCCCTACATGACCTAGGGAGCCTCAGGACTTCCTTGAAGGTTCTGCCTTTCCATGGAACCTCCTCCCTGTTCCATGACCCTTCCAGGCAGCCACCCTCACACCCACCCTGAGCTTCTGCCCAGAGGTCCCCAGGTCTTCAGGGCTGCGTGTGACCGTCAGCATCCTGGGTTTCTCCTCGGAGTCTGGGGCTGGCGCCTTAGGCCTCCTCTGCAGCTCTTGGGTGGGGGCTGTTGTGGCCCCTCCATTTCTGGCTGGCTCCTTTTGCTGGTCTTCCCTTCATAACCCTACTCTAGCTGGGCTCTGGCAGACAGCTGTGAGGTCTGTGCCGACCTGTTCTTGCCTGTGATTTTTCTGCTGTTGGGGTCCTCTTGTCATCAGGAGAGGCCTTTTCTTTCTCTGCAGCTTGTCTCAAGATACAGCTCTTCCTAACCTGACCTCATAGAAGTTTCTAGGCAGACCCTGAGGACCTGCTACTCTCCCTCTGCAGCAAGGATTGTCTATACTTAGAAGATGCTAGCCAGGCCAGACCTCAGTCTCCACATTCAAATACATAAATAGGGTTCTTTCTCTCCCAAGATGTTCTAGTTCACACCATGCCTCCTTCCAGCACCCACACGAAATTACCTGGGGAACATCAAATTTCCCTGGGACTGTTGACCGTCTTTTAAATGCACGTGTGTGTCCATCCTTTGGTAACATTTCCTTTTTCTTTTTCAGCCACCGGATCTCCAAGTCAAAGTTCAGGTGAGTGAGACTCACGCTGCTCTTCCTTCCTTCTGCCACCAGCTCTGTCTTCAGCCACCCTGTTGGGTGGCCCAAGGTAATACCTACAAGTTGCCAGTAGTGTAAGGGCTGTTCTTCTAAGGGGGTAACTACTTTCTGTATGGCCATCAAGAAAAAGCTTATGGCTCAGATCAGACAAATAATCCAGCGGTTGATATTTGTTGAATGATCTTGGACTGTCCATCTTTTTGGCAGCACAGTCCCTAGGAAGTTGTCAGACCAAATGTGTTTTCCTCCCTTCTAAGATGAAGTCCAGTTAAAAGAAACATAAAGTGAGCCCTTGTGACTGTCATGACCTACTTCATGTTTATAGAACATGGTGAGATGTAACCTTTGATGATGATGGAAAGCACGTAGGATTATGACACCCGTCTGTGTCACTGCTCTTGACAATGACAGAACCTACAAAAGGATCCAGGGTCCTCAGCCCCCATCTGCCTCCCAGCCTCACTTCCTGCACTTCCATGAAAATAACCTTTGTTCCCCCTACAAGGAACTTCTTGCAGTTATCCAAATGTTCCCTGTCCTGGTGCACACTGAGGCCCCTGCATGGAGCCAATCCTTCACTTAAATCACTATGCCCCCATGCCTTCATCTGGAGAACTCACACTTCTGTTCAGACCCTCAGATGTGACTGCTTCCGTGTTACTGCTTTCTCTGCCATTTCACTGGGCCTGGAAAATACCTTCTGCAAACTCCAGGGAGAGTTACTCAGCTCCCCCTTCCCTGGTGCTTTGCTGATGCCTCTGTCACAGCACTCAGCACATGACACTCGGATTACTGGCTCACAGTCCCCTGCTTCCAAAGGCTCTGCCTGCATGCCTCCAGGGGTTATTTCCAGAGCACCCAGCTCAGTGCCTGTCCAGTGGTGAACGTCCATACATGTGTGTTGAATGAATGAGTGGACAGATGTGTGCAGGGAGAATGTGAATTCACTCCCACAAAGCTTGTATGTGCCAAAAAATATTGGTTATTTTTCATAATTGAGCTAATCTTGTTTCCCTAGCCCTATCTCCTACATGGCAGGAGCATAGAGAAATTTTTATCCAGCTGAGTAAATGTAGCCCAGTGCTGTATTTTAAACAGTCCCTTAAGGTAAAGTGATTTGTCTCTCAGATTGCCTCTCTCCCAGCTCCTCTCTTGGACGGAGCTGGACACATGGCGGAGAGGGACTTTGAGATCCCAGGAAGCAGGGAATGATGAGGGCTGGTCCTAGAAGCCACGCGAGCCCTCTGGATGCTTGCTCATCTCTGCTGCATGGGGCTAGGCTGAACTGCTGTCTGAACTGGTACCTGCTGAGGTCCATCTGGTTAGGGCATCCACTGCTGGAGTCCATGCCCTTAGGGCATCCACTGCTGGAGTCCATGCCCTCTACTTGCCTCCGGCCTTGAAATCTCCACCTCTGCTCTCTGACCCTTGAGTTCTGTTGGCCCACTGACTTTAGCACCTCTATACCTCAGCTGAGGACATGGACACTTCCAGGTCCCTCACACTCCGTGAAGGAGCTAGAGGAGACAGCAGCCCTATGACAGGCTCATTGGCCTACCGGTGTCCCATCACAACCTCTGTAACAGCCAGGATAAGCTTCAAGCCAAGGGCTGACCTTCTCCCAGGGTCTGCCGAGGCACTCCACCAGCCCCAGTGTTGCTGGGCTTCCCCGTGGCCATCTGGGTGTTTCTAAAGCAACTCCCCACCAACCTCTTGGGCTGTGGTGACCAAGGGCTAAAAATTAAGTGGGGACCCTGGTGTCTGACTTTTGCTCCACTTCTGATACCTTCTTTCTCTCCCGTTTCACTAGGACTGGAAAATACAGGCTTTTTTCCCAATCCTTGTTTCTCTCAAACCAAGACCTCATCTACATAAAACATCTAGGGTCAGGCCCATCCACTCTAGCTCTTATTACAGAGCAAGAGCTCCAGAAATATTAAAAAAAAAAAATTTCTCTCTCTCAGTAATGCTTGGCTGTTACTGCTTAATCTCCAGCATCTGGAGAAGTGGCTGGTACATAACAAGAACCTAATAAATATTTGCTGGGTGAGTGAGTAATTAATAAATGAATGATCTTGCCCCAGTAAGACAATAGACTTGACACAGATTCAAACAAAATATCTAATTTGACAGTCAAAGCTGAAAAAGCATGTTGTGCTTTAACAGTTCCAAAGCCCCCACACAATAAGAGTAAAGGGATTAAAAATACACTTGAAAATATTTCCAAAATATCATTCTCAGTTCATGCAAGTGAGTAAATCATAAATTAATAAATGAATGAATGAATGAATGAATATGATCTGGAGGATGGAAGGGAAAATTACATACTTGTGTCTCGAGTTAGAGATTGCCTGGAACACTCTGGGAACATTATTTTCATCCAGTGATCTATGGTGCAAACTGTGCTTTTCAACAAGAGGGAAAGAGCAGTGGTGCCTGTAAACCTCTGGAGTCTCCCTCGGCCCTGAGGCTTTGCTATGTGCTGGCCATTCAGCCCTGATCATCTGCCTCTGGGAAGGCCTTCTCCTTCTGCAGCCACCCCTCAATACACCGCAGTAATGCGGACGGCAGATTTTGTTCTCCTAAAGGCTTACAGCTAGTAGATTGGCACTATCATTGAAACTCATTTCCAGATGAGGATCCTGAGGCTTTGAGAGGCCCAGGTCACAGGGCTCTAGTATGGCTGAGTCAGAGCTCATACCCAGGGGCTCTGCTGCCAATCACTGTGCCATCCTTGTGATGAGGTTCTGCCCGGGAATAGTAAACCCTGTTCCTGTATAGCTAGTGTGTCCGCAGAGTGTGTAACTCTAGAGCCATGCTATTCAACAGAAATATAGTGCAAGCCACATATGTACTTTTAAAAATGTTCTAGTAGGCAGGTTAAAAAATAAAAAGAAACAGGAAATTTCTTTGATTTAAACCAGTATCTCTAAAACATTACTATTTCAATATGTAATTCACATAAAAATTATTAATGACATATTTTGCATTCATCCTTTTGTGCCAAGTCTTTGAAATTCAGTGTGTGTTTTTCCCTTACTGCCCATCTCAGTCTGGACTGACCATGTTTCCCATGCACGGTAGCTGCATGTTGCTAGCGGCTGCCACGCAAGGCCACGTGGCCCTGGAGGTTTCACACATGAGCAGGTATCACACAGCAGCCGTCTAATCTAGATTCAGCAGTTCACTGATGGTGTCTGCTTAGGGAATATCAAAGGTTACAAATAGATTGAAAATGCCACCAACGTTTTCAAAGTATTCCTGATCATTTTCTCAAGTTAGGTGAAACAGTTTAACAATTACAGATAATGGAATTTGAGTCTCAAACTGGCCTTTTCCTTTGCAAAACAGAATGATCCAAAGTCACGGTTTCTTTAAAGAACTGTAAGAATGGAGTCTCTAGGGAAAATGTGGCCGGTTAGTGGATTACAGCCATAGTGGAGGATTCCCTTGGTAATCCAGGTTTTCACTTAGAGGAATTAGTTAAAATAAGAGATTTGTGACATTTGGAGCTCACTGTTCAGAATAAATGTAAACAGTTATGAAACAAATGATTCAGGAAGTCTTTTGTAACCTGAAGGGATTGATTACACAAGTTGGAGTTTCTGGATCTCAACTTTACGGAGTTCTGAAGTGAACCTCACGGGGTTCTGAAATTGGGAGGACTAGCTTGCCCAGTCTTCAGTGAAATGTGCTTCCAATGTTCTCTTCACTTCTGCCATACCATCAGCAACAAGGCACAAATCCAAATTTGCCCCAATCTCTAATAGTCCTTTGTAAAGTTACTTATTTACAAGAGAATTAAACTTAATGATTTTCTGTGGTGTTTGTTGTTGGTTCTGGTAAAAAAAAAAAAAAAAAAAAAAAGTGGAAACTTACTCTAGCCACTAGAAGGAGCCTGCAGGGCCCATCATTTTGATGTTGTCGACGATTCCAGATGCCTGTGCACCATTGCATGTCAAGCAAACTATTTTAGGAGCACTGTCCGCTCCTCACCTCCACCCTCAGCCCTGGTTCACAAGAGCTCCGGGAATCTTCAAGCCTTGTCTTCCAGAGGGAGGTAGTACATTTGCGTAGAGTTCGTCTCTGCTGCTCAACCGTGCCATCAGCCAGGGGTTCCCGTGCAGGATGGACTGTGCTGAGTCCCATGGGTCTGTAACCAAGTGTAAGACACAACCCGATTCCTTCGTGGGTCTTGTGAGCTCCGCGGAGAGGCAGGAACCATACAAATGAAACGTAACTGACAGTACAAGGAAATGGGAACTCATTTCCTCTGGGGACCCTTCTCGCCTAAGGTGTCCTTTCGTGTGCTCCCTGGTGGACCCGCCCAGCACTCAGGCCCTGCTGTGACTGCTCACTTAGTGGTCTGTGTCTCCGTGTAGCTTTTACGCAGAGGAGGCCTGTGAGCGCTGTGCTAGCTACTGAGTATCTGGTGCCTAGCCCGTGGTCAGTGTTTAGTAACTATTTCTTGGATGTGTAACTAAAATGAGTAATGCAGACAGTAAGCGCTGAAGAGTGCCAAGGCTGAGAAGACTAGAAGCATGCATCGTGGAGAAGCTGGGACTCAGTGTGAGCCCCACAGGAGGGGCAGGACAGACAGGATGAAGCAACGGTGGAGTTTCCGGTAGCTGGGAGGACTTGCCTTGCAGCTGGACAGGCAAGAGGAAGGCCCAGTGTAGGGAGAAGGGCAGGTGGAGCTGGGGCTGCGAGAGCAGAAGTTTAGAAGCAGTGATCCCGAAGTTTAGAGACATAGATGAGACCCATTCGTATCCATCCCTCTCTCCTGTGTCTACATATGGAAGGTTCTATTTCTAGAGAAAATGACTTCCAGTTAGTGTGAAGGGAATATGAATAGCAGGCAAATTTCTCCTCCCTATTTTATCATTTAATTTCTGTATCCTCCATGCATATGTAAACATAAATAAATTTACACATTCTAATAAACCATTACATTTATTATACAGTAGGAAGTGTTGCCAGGAAACCAGTTGTCAAGCAAAGCTATATTTTGAAGAGTGGGAGGTGCATAATTATCTTTAAATACTTTCTCTGGATAGTAATTACCCCACCCCCACCCCAGCCCAAATCCATGTGACTCTCCCAAATGGGTCTGCTCAGGAGCACCCCAGTTGAAAGGGACACCGTCCTGTCCACTCCGGCCACTCCTCAGGGGTCTGTGCAGAGCAGCTCCAGACCCATGGGACCAGCCTGACCACACAGCACCCATATCCACTACTCCCAAGCATGAGGAAAAAGGGGCATAATCAAGCTCTCATATTAAACCCACTCCAAGACAGCTCTACATACCGCAAAGAAAGCAACCTTGATTGCCTTGGACTCTGAATAACAATTATCAGTGATTTCTGGAACTTGAGACTGTATCTATTTAAAACATGTTCTTTGCAAACTTCACTGTCAGCTCTTTAAGATCAGATATGAGTTTGTCCTGAAAATTCATTTTTTAGGGGAATAAACTACTTGCCAAATTTCTGTACAGTATTAATAATCACAATCACAGGAAAAAAGCAGAGGCATGCCCTGCAAGATAAGACTGTTTAGTATCAAGATCTGGCAAACTTCAGAGGTCGCCTCTCAAGAGGACCATCTGGGACTCATTGTCTCATTTCTTTGTCCCTCTGTCCACCCTCCACCATCCTCCCTCGGATCCAGGGCAGTATGTCTGGGGGTGCAAGAATCCCAAAGTGCATTTAGAAATCATAACGTTTTAAATTGTTAATGTTTATGGGCACTAATGGGTGTATATATTTATGAGGTGCATGTGATGTTTTGATCCAGGTGTACAATGTGCAAAAATCAAACCAGGGTTATCAGGGTGTTCCTCACATCAAGCACTTATCATTTCTTTGTATTACGAACATTCCAATTCCAGTCTTTTAGTTTATTTTAAAATATGCAATAAATTATCATGACTGTAGTCACCATCCTTCTCTCCTATGTTGTATGATCAAATATTACATCATATTTATTCTATTTAACTATATTTTTTCACCTATTTACCATCTCCACTACCCTTTCCAGCTTCTGGTAACCATCATTCTACTCTCTGTATCCATGAGTTCAATTGCTTTAATTTTTAGCTCCCACATATGAGTGAGAATATGTACAATTTGTCTTTCTGTGCCTGGCTTATTTCACTTAATATAATGGCCTCCAGTTCCATCCATGTTGTTGCAAATGACAGAATTTCATTCTTTTTTATAGCTGAACAATATTCCATTGTGTACATGTACCACATTTTCTTCATTCATTTGCTGATGGGCGCTTAGGTTGATTCTGTATCTTGGCTATTGTAAATAGTGCCGCAGTGAACATAGGAGAACATAGGAGTGCAGATATCTCTTCAGTATACAGATTGGAAACCATGTTTTCCACCTGGTGGCCTGCTTCCCTGTGTAGTGGATTTTCCCCCAAGTGGTAGGCCAGTGTCGCATGTTAAGGTGTGGCCCTCACTGGAGATGGCCTTCAAGCTAGAGCAGAACACTGCCTGGATTAATCCTTTTTCCCCTCCCTGCTCCTCAAGCCAAAAACTAAGTTCTCCCTGCAGTCCTGAAGAAAGAGTACCCTTCTTTGATTACTCTTCACTCTCCTAACCTCATCTTAGATTTAGCAAAGTCTTGGTAACAGGATTTTCTGCAGATCATAGATAGAAAAATGACAGAGTAGAAAGGTGGATGAAGTCAGGCTACTCCAAGAGGCAATTTTGGGGGTATGTGCAGGGATCCGTAACAGCCCAGGTTGGCATCTTGGAGTTTGCTGATGTTTGGAGGGGCTTCTGCCCTGGAAGTAGAGGACCAAGGCTGAGGGCAGTGCACACAGCACGGAGCTGTCCCTGCCCCCTGGGGCACACCCACATGTGGTGCTGCTACATGCCCGGGGGCTAGGAAGGAATAGGCCATTCACAGACCAGTGAGTTCACACAGATGGGGCTTGCTGTTCCACCACCAGCATAACTTGACCCAGGAGGTGACGCTGAGGCTTGATGGTCATCTCTGGCAGGAAGATTGGAGAAACGGACTCATGCCATGGACTGTGATTTAGAATGGAGGACCTCATTTCAGCTTCCTTGCGCTGAAGTGGAGGGCCGGTTTTCACATCCAGACTTAGTATGCCACACACAGACACACACACACCGGAAACAAAGTTTTATGTAAAAATATTTTTGCTTACTGCTTACTTTAAAAAGCAGTTTCCTTACGATATGATACGCACTGTGATATTTTCCACTCTATTCCTTTATTCAGTGCCAGGCATGACCTACTCAATAGATTTCATGACCCACTAATGGGCTGCAGTGTGAGGTTTGAAACCTCTGCCCAGAGGCAGATTCTGCATGCTTATTTAGAGGAATGTCTGTCTAGACGAGAGAGATTCATAGAAAGGAGATCATTTTATGGAAAAATACAGATATTCATGGACTTTATCACCAGGATTCTACTTTGTTTCTCCTCCTGCCTTCATTACCCAGGCAGGAGCTGTATCTTCAATGCCTCGTGGGTCTGCGTACAAGCCCTACAGGTGCCCCAAAGCCATGTGCAGAGCTAAGCACCCCATTTTTCTCATAACTGACCCCTCTGCCTGGAGCTCTACTCCCGCTCCTCTGGCCCTCCTCTGTGCTGCCCTCCCAAATCGCCCCAGCTAAAAATGTTGGCAGTCCCTTCCATACCTGTCTTTCTTATTCTGCACATCCGCTCATCTCAAGGGACTATTGATTCTGCCTCTAAAATTGCTGCCAGCTCTGTGTCATCTTTTCCATTAATATAGCTATTGCCTTCATCATCTCTAACCTGGAGAACAGGAAGAGAATTCCTCATACTCTCCCTGGTCTAGAAGGTGACAGAGGGGCTGTTTTTGTGGGGTGTTCCAATCCAACCTGATCATGTCCTTTCCCCCTCCCCAAGCCCTCAGCATGGCCCCTGCAGTCTCCTCCTCAGCACCTCTCCAGCTATGGTTCTTCTCTCCTTGCACAGTGCAGCCATTTATTAACCATGTCGTCTACTGAATTCAACCAAACAGAGCTGTATATTTTCTCTGTATCAGGAAAATGAAAACGCCTCCACCATAGAATCTTAAAATGTGTTTCTTTAGGATCATCTTAGCCACTGGTTCTCAACCATCATTACACATTAGAACCACCTGGGGAGCCTTAAAAATACCCAACCCCGGCCGGGCGCGGTGGCTCACGCCTGTAATCCCAGCACTTTGGGAGGCCGAGGCGGGTGGATCATGAGGTCAGGAGATCGAGACCATCCTGGCTAACAAGGTGAAACCCGTCTCTACTAAAAATACAAAAAATTAGCCGGGCGCGGTGGCGGGCGCCTGTAGTCCCAGCTACTCGGGAGGCTGAGGCAGGAGAATGGCGTGAACCCGGGAAGCGGAGCTTGCAGTGAGCCGAGATTGCGCCACTGCAGTCCGCAGTCCGGCCTGGGCGACAGAGCGAGACTCCGTCTCAGAAAAAAAAAAAAAAAAAAAAATACCCAACCCCTAGAGAATCAGACTTAATTGGTTTGGTGTTGGGGCTTGCGGACCAGTGGGGTTTTGGGGAGGGTTCCCTAGGTAATTCTGTGTGTAGCCAGGTTTGAGAATCACTGACAAAGGCTCCTAAACCAAGATACGGGGAAGAGTCCATGGAGCATGGATGAGCTTTGAGGGGTCTGTGTGCTGTGTGGGCTCTCAAGTAAAGGTGTGTGTGTGGGCATGTGCCCATTTTTCTGAAAGGCAGATCTAAACATTCATCAGATTCTGGAAAGATTCTATAACCCAGAAAAACAAAGAGCCTGTGCTCCAGATGAACCCCTTCTACCATATGGATGTGGCACACACAGTCAGGGCCAAGAGGCTGGGCAGAAAACTACGGATGGCTCTGCCTGCTGTGATATTGGTCGAGTACTCAACCTCCCCAGCCCTGAGTTTTCTCCTCCACAAAAATCAGGATAATGCGTGCTTTGCAGAGTTACTGAAAGAATTGGAGAGAAGGCATGAGAAGTGCCTGATGTGGTACTGGGCCCCTCCTCCACTGTTACTAATAATGCTCTTATTGCTTACAACACTATTTCTAAGAATGCTGTTTCACAAAAATTAAAAAAACTTCCATTTATTGAGCATCTTCAACTTCAAAGCAGCCAGATGCATTATAAGGTATTTGATCCATCCCCACAATAACCCCATGAGGTCGGCCCTCTTCCCGGGAGAACTGAAGCTTGGAGGAGTTCAGGGGCATCCCCAAGGCGGCAGGGCCTGGTTAGCTGGATGAGAAGCTGGGCTCCTTGCCACCAGATTGGGCTGCTCTAGCAAGGCCAGATCAGTGAGGGGCGAGAAGAGCCATGGTGCTGCATCTTGGGTTGGAGGAAACCTGAATTCACAGCCAACCCCACCCTTCTCTCCCTGTCCCCTTTCCAGCCGCTACTGGCGCCGGTGGAATCGGTTCTGCAGAAGGAAGTGCCGCGCCGCAGTCAAGTCTAATGTCTTCTACTGGCTGGTGATTTTCCTGGTGTTCCTCAACACGCTCACCATTGCCTCTGAGCACTACAACCAGCCCAACTGGCTCACAGAAGTCCAAGGTGAGCGGCGGCCCCAGCTCTGCTCTGGTTTCCTCCTGGTAACTCAGCCCCAAGGCCCAGGGGAGGGCATAACCACAGGCAGAAGGTGGAGGGGAAAGCAGCCAATGGTCGGGGCTCTTGGCAGGTGCTGTGCTGGAGACACCAAGGGCCTGGCAGTTCCAAAGCCCCACAATAAAATGCGCTACCTTGTTAAAAACAGACACGGCTCTCCTGACTGGGCCCACACCATCAGCCTGCCCCAAAGTCACTGTTGGACCCAGGTGATGAGGAAAGGGGCTGCAGCTTGTTTGCCTATCTCAGACTCCTGGCTGCCAACTCCCCAGCATGGATTTTAAATACCTGGGGGCCTTCCTACAGCCCTGAGGTGGCCTTAACCAGAACACATGAGGATGGAATGAGCAAAAAGGCAGAGAAGAGAATAGGGCCTGAGCACAAGGAACCGTCTTCAATGGGTCGTTCATTCTCATTATCCTTCCTTGGGCCCCTAGACGAGGGTCCCACTAGCCAGGCCTCAGCATCATTGCTGGGCAGTCAAGAAGACCTGGCCCCATCCTCCACAGCTGCTTTCCAGAGTCCTGGGAGGCAGGGGGTCTAGTGGCGGAGAAGTCAGACTCAGACAGTGCGGCTCCAACTGTTGGCTGTTTGGCCTGCACAGGCTACTCACCTCTTTGAACCTCCTTTCTCATCTCTGAAAATGGGCATGACGATGGTGGTACCATCCCCACAGGCCTGCTATGAGGAGGAGAGATTGTGTGTGCTGAGCCTATGGTGCATGGGAGATGCTCAGTAAATGTCTGTTATGATTGTGACGAGAGAGCCCTTTCCCATTGGCTTGGCCCCAACTTCTGTTCTGGCCGAGGTGGATGGGAGAGGTGTCATGGGGGATCTTTTTTCCAATGGAGATAATTACTGTATTTCCTTTCCCTGCCTCCCTCTCTGCCTCCTCTGGCCCTGCTCGGATCTCATCCCTCTCCTGGGCCTGCCAGACACGGCAAACAAGGCCCTGCTGGCCCTGTTCACGGCAGAGATGCTCCTGAAGATGTACAGCCTGGGCCTGCAGGCCTACTTCGTGTCCCTCTTCAACCGCTTTGACTGCTTCGTCGTGTGTGGCGGCATCCTGGAGACCATCCTGGTGGAGACCAAGATCATGTCCCCACTGGGCATCTCCGTGCTCAGATGCGTCCGGCTGCTGAGGATTTTCAAGATCACGAGGTACTGGGCTCCCCCTCTCACTTTGAAGAGGGGACTCAGGAAGAAGTTCTTCCAGAGGGCAAGGGAGGTGGCAAGGCCTGGGTGGGAGGGGGGCTGTTCTTCCTCAAAGGGTGTCTCTGAAGTTCACATGCAATGGGGGTAGTTTGTGTTCATTTAGATGGCACATCATTTGGAAATTCCTCTGGCTGCTAATACCAGAGACTCAACTCAGTAATGTAAGCAAGCTAGGGACTTATTCAGCCATGGAAAAAAAGTCCAGAGGCAGCTAGCTGAGGTGCCTTCAAGAAGAGGGTCAGGGACTCAATCTCTTCTCCTGTGCTTCACCAGCCTTGGTGCTGATTCTTCTCCAGGGTCATAAGATGACTTCTGGAGACTGAGCCATCACATTCAAATTGGAGGTGGGAAGAAGAGAAAGGAGCAAAAGGGCCGACCACCCCGGCCAAGTCAGCTTCTCCACTCCCAGAAGTCACTCCCAGACACACCCATTAGGACTGCTGCTGTCAAAAAAAACTGAAAATCATAAGGGTTGGCAATGACATGGAGAAATTGGAACCCTTGTGCACTATGGGTGGGAGTGTAAAATGGTGCAGCCACCGTGGGAAATGGTATGGCAGTTCCTAAAAACGTTAATGATAGGATTACCCTCTCATCCATCAATTCCACTTCTGGGTATATGCCCAAAATAATTGAAAGTAGGATCTCAAAGAGATATTTGCACACCCAAGTGCCTTAGACAGATGAATGTATTTTTAAAATGTGGTCTACACATACAGTTCAATATTATTCAGTCTTAAAAAGGAAGGAAATCCTGACACATGCTACAAAGTAGATGAAACTTAAGGACATTATGCTAAGTGAAATAAGCCAGTCACAGAAAGACAAATACTGTATGATTCCATTTATATGTGGCTCTTAGAGTAGTCAGATTCACAGAGACAGAAAGCAGAATGGTGGGCGCCCAGGGCTGGAGGGAGGGGGCAGTGGGGAGTTAGTGTTTAATGGGTTCTGGAGATGGAGGATGGTGGTGGTTTCACAACAGCGTGAATGTATTTAGCACCACTGAATTCTACAGTTTAAAAAAAAAGGTTAAGATGGTAAATTTTATGTTATGTGTATTTTAACACAGTGAAACAAATTGGAAGAAATCTTCCAGAAGTCTCAGCAAGGGCTTCTGTTCTTGAGCACCTGAGCTGTTAGGGAGGCTGAGAAATGCAGTATTCTAGCAGGACAAGTTCTGCTGAAAATGCGTTCAAGATCTAGCCACTGTAAAGGGCTGTGGACACTGCACTGCAGATGGTGTTCACCCTCTGTCCACATGGCCACCCCTCCATATGTCAGTCCGGCACCTACCCAAAGCAGGCCATCTCCCTCACTGTCTAGGCCAAGCAGTGACTCTCAAGACAAGGACAGGGCTGAGGGGCACCATGCTCTAGGACAATGATTTTCACCTGACTTATGACCACTGGGAGTGGTGGAATCCATTTATTGGATCACAACCATCATTTTAAAACATACTGAAATATAATTCATATCCCATATATTTACCCCTTACAATGTGTAACTTAATTGTTTTTTTATATTCATGGTTATGCAACCATCACCATGTTCTAGTTGTAGAACATTTTCATCACCCCAGAAAGAAACTCCATACCCATTCCACATTTCCCCCATCTTCCCTCCCAGCAACCAAATTCACTTTATGTCTCTATAGAGTTGCCTATTTTGGACCATTCATGTGAGTGAAATCTTATAATATGTGTTTTTGTGATGGCCTCTTTGACTTAGAATAATGTTTTCAAGGGCCATCCATGTTGTAGCATAGATCAGTACTTTGTTTCCTTTTATGGTGAATAATATTCCATTGTAGGGATATACTACATTTTGTGTATTCATGTATCAGTGATGGACATTTGGTTGTTACTATCTTTTGGCTCCTATGAATAATGCTGCTATGAACATTCATGTTCAAGTCTTCCTATAGATGTAGGCTTTTGTTTTTCTTGGATAGGTACCTCGGAGTGGAATTTCTAGATTATTTGGTAACAATATGTTTAAGATTTTGAGGAACTGTCAAACTGTTTTCCAAAGAGACTAAAGCATCTTACATTTCCACCAGCAATGTATAAGGGTTCCAATTTCTTCACATTCTCACAAGCATCGTTTTTAAAGAAAGAATGAAATAGAATAGGAAAACATCAGAGGGTCTCACATGAACGTAAACATTGTTTCATAAAAAGCTGAGATGCAGACCTGACTTGCAGTAGAATACATATTTCTTAATGTGCGTTATGATCAACCTTAGAAGACATATGGGAAACACCTGGAAGGAATTTTCAACCTGTGCCCCTCTAAGGTACAAGTCCCCTGTCCTTAAAAATCTGCTTTGGGGGCTCCCAAAATCTCTGCTTTGGGGAATCTTTGATAACAGGAGCACTAAAACCATCCGTTGGATTGTGATGGGTAAAAAGGGATGGAGGTTGGTGTCTTCAGTTCAGGATCTGGAGCTGATGGCATCTTGCTCAGAGCGTGTTTCTGAGTGTCCCTAGGTGTTGCTCTTCTCGTCACAATTCTCTTGGCAACCACCCAGAGCATGGTCACATGGTGTTGTGGATGGTCCGGGGAGGTAGACATTTAAAGTGTTTCATTTAGTGCACAGAAAGGACTCAATATGCAGAAGCTTTTATTATTCATCTAATATTATGACTGCTATTATTAGAAGGAAGAAAGAGAAGAGAGCTAATAGTGACCTACATATTCACATACTCTTGTTCTTACTTATTTACCCACTACGTATATACTGTGTATTGAGCTCAGAGAGATGGAAAAAATCGAAAAATAAGGCGTATGGCGTGAACTAAATCCAGGAGAAATGTATAGTCTGGTTGGGGAGATGGAGTTTGTGCACATGAAGAGATTAAAGGAAAATCTATGACAGAATATAATGAGCTGGCAAAGTGTGGTGGGCGTGGGAATTACCTGCTGTGAGAAATTGGGAGCAGGAGATAGCTCCTGGAGAAGGTTGAATCTCAGATGAGGGACTTAACAGACACCCACGATTAAAATCCAGAAGTTTAATGCTCCTAAGCAACAGCCTTCTTTCCCTCTCTGACCCCATCGAAAGAGAGCTCTTCCTAAGTGTCCTGAATATGTTGGCATTACAGAAAGTCCTTGGTTTACAGTGAAAGTGGTAGAAATCCTTATATCAGCAATGATTACCATGCACCAGTGCTTACTCTGTGCCAGATAGGGTGAGCAGAGGCCTACGAATGTTAGCTTGAGTGATCCTCCCAAGTACCTACATGAGGATGAGGATAGGCTACTACTATTATTATTCCCACTTTGCAGATGAGAGACTGAGGCTTAGAGAGTTGTCAGTTGCCCAAGGTCACAAAACTGCTCAGAGGTAACACTGGGATTAAAAGGCAAGGCAGGTCTGTGGTCTGACTTGAGGTGCTATACTCCTAACCACTGCCATGCACTGCAGAGCTGAGAGCTGACCTGTCTTCTTGTCTAGGTCCCTGAGACAGGACTTAAAAGATCTTTATGCCCTGGTTCTTGTTAGATAATTGCCGATTCTACTTGCTCCTCCTGGGGTCTGGTAAAACTATTTTTAACTTGCAGTTTTCAATGCCTCTTAAATAATTCTCAAAAGTCCCTGTTTTGGGCTTTTATGTATATATTTCTATAGAAAAGAAATCTTGCTGCTATATATTGTTATGACATCTTGAAAAGATTTAACATTCATTCTATTTTTAATCACCAATTTATTTCTAATCTGAAGATATTGCCAAGAAACCATTTTTAAAAATCTATCTTAATCAGAGAGCTTCCTGTAGTCCCTCCACAAGAAGGAGTAGTAGTATTTTCAGATCTCTATGAAGTCTATAAACAGAAAAAATCATTGTCTAATTGAAAGTGACTGTGGCAAAGGCCGTCATCTTCCTATTTTCAAGTCTCCAAAGCCTCTGGGGGCTTTCGGAAAGCAACAAAGAGACTAATTAGGTTGGGGGATCCCATAAGTCCGTCTCCAGCGCCAGCCTTGGGACTGGGTGACAGTGACCAAGAAAAATGCCTAAAATATGGGTTGGGAGTGGACATTGTGGTCCCTTCAGCTGAACCTTGAAATGGGTCATCTGTGCATGGTCCTGCCATCAGACAAGTGCATGCCTTCTTCTTTTAAAATATCTTGGAAAGTACTTTGCAATGTCTTGCTGCTACTCATATGTAGAAGAAATTTCTTCTCTTTTTTTTTTTTTTTTTTTTTACAATGTAGTCTGAACCAGTAATTGCAATTCTTAAACTTAGCTGAACCCATGAAGGAGTTCATTAAGGAGCTCATCTCTAGAGATTTTGGCCAGCAACTCCTGGAGAGTTCCATGCTAGTGGTCCAATGACCGACCTCACTTGAAGAACCACTGGCCTAATTTCCTACTGCTGCTCTTGGTCTGCTTTCTTCTCCTAAAATACTGCCCTTCATATGCAATCGGAAAACTTGATTATTATTCCTCCTCCTCCTCCTCCTCCTCTTCCTCCTCCTTCTCTTCTTCCTCCTCCTCCTCCTCTCCTCCTCCTTCTCCTCTTCCTCCTCTTCCTCCTCCTTCTTCTCTTCCTCCTCCTCCTGTTCCTCCTCCTCTTCCTCTTCCTGCTCCTTCTCCTCTTCCTCCTCCTCCTCTTCCTCCTTCTCCTCTTCCTCCTCCTCCTCCTCTCCTGCTCCTTCTCCTCTTCCTCCTTCTTCTTCTCTTCCTCCTTCTCCCCTCCTCCTTCTCCTCTCCTCCTCCTTCTCCTCTCCTCCTCCTTCTCCTCTCCTCCTCCTTCTCCTCTTCCTCCTCCTCCTCTCCTCCTCCTTCTCCTCTTCCTCCTCCTCTCTTCCTCCTCTTCCTCCTCCTTCTTCTCTTCCTCCTTCTCCTCTTCCTCCTCCTCTTCCTCCTCCTCTTCCTCTTCCTGCTCCTTCTCCTCTTCCTCCTCCTTCTTCTGTTCCTCCTTCTCCTCTCCTCCTCCTCCTCCTCTCCTCCTTCTCCTCTCCTCCTCCTCCCCTCCTCCTTCTCTTCCTCCTCCTCTTCCTCCTCCTCCTCCTTCTCTTCTTCTTCTCCTCTCCTCCTCTTCTTCCTCCTTCTCCTCCTCCTCTTCCTCCTCCTCCTCTCCTCCTCCTTCTCCTCTTCCTCTTCCTCCTCTCCTCCTCCTCCTCCTGTCCTCTTCCTTCTCCTCCTTCTTCTCCTCCTCCTCCTCCTTCTTCTTCCTTTTCTTCTTCTTCTTCTCTTCCCTCTTCTTTTTTCAAGACAGGATCTCACTCTGTCACCTAGGCTGGAGTGTGGTAGCATAATCATAGCTCACTGTAGCCTCAAACTCCTGGGCTCAAGTGATACTCCAGCCTCGTCTCAGCCTCCCAAGTAACTGGGACTATAAGTGCCATGTCTGGCTAATATTTTTATTTTTTGTAGAGATGGGGTCTCACTATATTGCCCAGGCAGGTCTGGAACTCCTGGACTTAAGAGATCCTCTCACTTGGCTGACCACCTTGCCCAGCCAAAAAACTTGATTCTTACATCTCCACTGTCTTCTCCATACTGTAGTCTCTAATTCTGTCAAGATGGTACTTTTGATAGTTTTTGACTGAGAAAACACATCAAGGTAAGAACTACTATGAATTCAGCAAAGCTTTTAAATTTAAATTCCTACACATCTGTGTATGTTTGAAAAGTGGTAATATGAATGCAAGACAAGGCTGTTTATTCAGAGTAGTATAATGCTTGGTGTACACATGGATTCATGGATCCCTTTCTAGAATTCTAGAATTCCAGGCTGCTCTTCCCTCACCCAGGACCCATGGTCCAAGGGTCGGGAACAGGGATCTAAATCAATGGTTCTTCACCCTGAGGTCATGACACAGTGGTACATCCAGAGCAGCTGGATAGTGATAGCAAATAATTTATTACTGAGAGCTGAAATTCCAAAGTTTGTGAATAGTTTCTTTAAAAAATAAAACAAATTAATATTGTCCTTGTAACATAATAGCATCACTCTGTCACTTGCATTACAAAATGCTTCTATGAATGGGTGAGATCCGGGTGGACTTACAACTCATCCATGATGCCTGAAGGGAGCAGATGTCTTTGATATATCATTATGAGGAAAATGAATTATTTACATACTGACATTTTTTGTGTTTTGTCAAAATCTGAGAACACCTTAGGGAGTATGCTACATGTATGAAGATCATTCATCCTCTTGTTGAGAACACCTTAGGGAATGTGCTACATGTATGAATATCATTCATCCTATTGTTTCAAGACAAAAAAAAGGCCAGGAAGCCTGTACTAGACTGTAAGAAAATTACTTTATAGAAAAGATTGAGGAAGACAAGATTCCTGCTCATTGAAAACAGTGGGGCACACGCATGGCCGGAATCTTTGTCATCTTTGAGTAAATGCCCCAGTACGGTGGGCCTTCCAGCCTCATGATGGATTGGGTTCTTCCACCTGTGGCTCTTGGTGCTGCCCAGATTCAATATCCAGTTTTTCTACTCTTTGTCAGCCCAGTCTGACATATTCTGTGGGGTGGGAGAAGGGCTCCAGACAGATTCAATCCGGACGTGATACCAGTTTACTGATTGCATCTCATTTTTGACACACTTGGTTTTCAAGTGCAGTGAGGCCCCTCTAGCACTTGCTGTTTCCCCTCTCACACCTTCAATCCCTCTTTATTTCTCCTGCTGCTCCTCCCCTGCAGCTCCCTTCCCAGGCCTTGAAATGGGAGCTGGGGCTGATTCAGCACAGACAGATTGGCTCATAAATCTTGGCCACATATGGGCCCCACAGAGCTCCAGGTGAGAGCCGTTAGCACATCTCCCAGGCTCGAAATGTCTCCATGTCCCTACCAGCATCTGGCCTTGAGCAGCAGATCCAGCCCCACACCTTCCCAGCTCTTCCATCACCTTCTAGCCCCCACTCTTCTCAGGCCCCCTGGAGCCTCTGAGCTCATTGAGGGCCATTATTAAGGAAGTCTGTTTGGCAGATGCCCAGTTCCCTGGCAGGGGTCTGTGGCAAAGGTAGCTCAGACTCCAGAGCCTGCAATGTGGCTGTCAACACAATGGGTGGTTCTCCTTTGGTATGGGAATGGACTGGTGTCACCTACTAGGAGAAAGATTAAAAAGATGCAGGTGAGGATGACTCCCTAGCCCTGACACAACTGTGGTTGGAGGGGCCAACTAGGTGACACTGAGTAGCCCCGTGGCCCAGAAGCTCAGAGAAGCATGCTGCTAAGGCCATCCCCAGGTCCAGGCCAGACCACCTTGCCCGCTTGACCAGGTTACACTCCCCATGCAGGTTCCGTTCTTAATGTGACCGAGACATCTGCTGCAAACAGAGAAGACAAGACCTTTGAACTTGTTAACTAAGTCAGCCCTTGCCTCAAAAGTGAAACCACAAAATGGTCTTCCCAGCCTGCTAGAATGGACGGGAGCAGGGGCAGGTACCAGTAGAAACTGAACCGGTAGTTGAGGCCTTGGGGCCCAGGTTGTCCCAGACCAAAATACTCTAGAATTCTGCTTGACTCCTCCTGGCCCAGCCCAGCATATACGGTTCTGCCTCTGGGCATCCTAATCCCTCCCAGCTCTATTGTGTCTTAAGGGGCTGGGGCTCAATTTGACGGAAGCTCTGCTCTGAGGACACCCCCTCCTGTGCTCACTTGCTGGATGGATTCTACCTGCTTCCCCAGGTGGCCTCAGCCAATTCTCACTCCTCTTCACTCCATTGCCTCCCATGAAGCCCCAGCCACACAGATTCACCACAGGGGACTGCTTTATAACTGCTCTTTTAACAATAGATCACTTGCCACCGAAACTAAGAATTTTTTTTTAGCCTTCAGGATGAGAACATTTTGGGCAGGTATCAAACTCAGTTATGACCTTCTCTGGAACACAGAGAGAATAGGGTGGAACATTTGCAGAGCATCCGAAAGTGGTGGGTACTGTTATTTTGAAGATCTCTTATTTATGGCAAGCTCAATGCTCTGCTCTATACCTAGAATAAAGGTAAAGGACCTGGCCCTGAGCTCTTTGAAGCAAAAGGTTCATGAGATGAAAGTTCCAGTTCAAGGAAGGCTCGGGTCACTTTATATTATAGAAGAGGAGGAAGAATTCCACAGAGCCCCAAACCCAGAGACAGACCTAGAGACGGGGAAACAAATGGAGATAAAAGGATTTCTGAACAGATGGTGGTAACTTAAATCAGGAGAGGCAGAGGGAAAAGGTAACAGAAGTGACATGGTGGTCGGCAAGTGAGAGAGCTTAAAGGGAGGCTGGGAGTAGGAAGGTAGAGGGAAGGAGAGAATTTAGGTGGCAGAGAACTTGATGTGATGAAAAGCCCTCAGATGTGCTGTACTTTTAAGGATAAAACAGGGAGCCGAGTGGGTCAGATGGGGGATGGGGTGAGCAGGGACGCACAGTTTGGAGAGAATGATTCCAGCAGCTGGAGAATGGGAAAGGAAAGTTGATGCCAATGATGGCGACGCAGGCAGAGTGTCTGGGGGGTGATCTAGAGCTGGACACCGGCACCCGGGTGCTGTAGAGCCCACAGTACTGAATGTGAGCTTGTGGGCATGTGTGTGCACTGCTCTGATGAGAGAGTGCTTCATTTTTATGCTTTTCCATGAGGCCTGTGACCAAAAGACATGAAGTGCTTTGCTCTGCTGCTGCTCGCTTCTCTCCAAAGCTCTTGCCTTTTTGGTGTGTGAGCGTGTGTATCTCATATTTTTGACCAATGAGGAAAAAAGCTTCAGCTGATTGTGAATGTGCCATTAACCCCTCTAGTTTACCAACAGTGAATCTTCCTAAAAAAGATGGTGATTCTAGGATAGGAGGCCATCATCCAATCTTCAGGCCATAGCTGTGCGAGCCATCAGACCACATTAAGAGGAGGGAGTGTGAGGACCTGCAGGACCGCCAGCTGTTTATTTAAGTGGTTTCACGTCACCCTACCCACCTCAAAGGCTGCCACCTGGACACCTCCAAATCCCATCCATATCAGTGATAGTGAGCCCCCACCCTCAACCTGCTACCAGCCAAGGCCTGCCAGTCTCCAGAATTCAGCCCATCTCCTCTGAACCCTATCAGCATTCTTTGCCACATCATCATTTCAGCAATTCCTTTGTCTCATCTTCTAGATGAGCATATAAAACATCCCTGATAATTTGCACGTTAGGAATGGAAGCCTTCTGCTCAGCAAGCTGAGCACCCCTCGTGATGCCAGGCCCTGGGCAGCAGCCTGCCCCCTTTATCCTGCTGCAAAGGAAAGGAAAGGACAGGTGGCAGGCCTGCCTCGGGCCCAACCCCATCTTTCTCTCTGTTGAATGGGAAGCAACAGTAGGCTGAAGACAAACAGCACAAACAACCATATCTCTGTCTGTCTGTCTGTCTGAGCCATGTTTTAACTGTGTTACTGGTCCCCAGGACAGTGTCTTTCCCCTCAGGTGTTTTTCATGTAGACAGTAGGCTGGTGCCAATTCATCTTTTAAACAGAGGCTGACCTGTGCCCTCAAAACTGGGACCAGTGAATTTGAGAATGTGAGTTCTTCCCCAAAGGTGACACATGTTCACAGTGATCTGGAAATCCTACTCCCAAGGTTTGCTCAAGCCACAGAAACCGTTTTCTGTAGGACATATTGATACATATTAGTTTGATGCATGGTCTGGCAATGGAACAGTCAGGAATCTCAGAAAATCCCTCCCCATGGATGTAGGGAAGCTATGGGAATAGGAAGGCTATGGGAGCAGGGGCAGGCAGCCACTTCTCACTGTTTGGCAAAGTGTGTTCAACTTAAGTGCACACGCACACAAACACACATGCACAGAAGCACCCATGCACCTCCATGGCCCCTTGCCTTTCCCTCCAGGAAGTACCAATGTGTCATATGAATAGTAAGGTTCATTCATTCACTGAACAAAATGTTTGCTCATCACCTGCTTTGGGCCAGGCACTGTTCTAAGCTCCAAGGATATAAATGTAACAGATGGGTTCCTTCTCCCATGGCCTCACATTCTGGCGAGGGCAAGCAGACAATAAGCAAAGAAGTAATTATTCTTTTTTTTTTTTTTTTGAGACGGAGTCTCGCTCTGTCGCCCAGGCTGGAGTGCAGTGGCGCGATCTCGGCTCACTGCAAGCTCCGCCTCCCGGGTTCACGCCATTCTCCTGCCTCAGCCTCCCGAGTAGCTGGGACTACAGGCGCCCGCTACCACACCCGGCTAATTTTTTGTATTTTTAGTAGAGACGGGGTTTCACCGTGTTAGCCAGGATGGTCTCGATCTCCTGACCTCGTGATCCGCCCGCCTCGGCCTCCCAAAGTGCTGGGATTACAGGCGTGAGCCACCGCGCCCGGCCAGAAGTAATTATTCTTTGAGAGTAATGAGGGATAGAGCGGTGGCCAGGGGAGATGTGAGGCCTGAAGGAGCTGAAGGGGTGAGCTCCACTGACGTCTGCCAAAGAACCTGCGGACGGACAGCAGCATGGCCTTGGTCAGGCAGGAGCATGTGTAGGAGTTGGAGAAAGTGAGGGGGCCCGAGGAAGGGGAGTGCAGCTGGCTGGTCCCTGAGGCTCTGGGCCCAGAATCTACAGCCTCTGCTAGGCCTTTGGGAGGACTCTGGCTTTGACCCAGAGGAGAAGGGGAGGTGACTGAAGCAAGACTGAGGCTTCGTGGGCCTCACCTCATAGCAACACCCGCTGCTGCTGCAGCTTGGACATCAGCTGCCCGGAGCGGGGGTCCAGGCAGTGAGGATGAGGAGGCGGTGGGAAGTGGCCAAAGTCAGGACTCATTTTGAAGATGGCGCAGAAGGATTTGCTGATGCAGAGTGTGAGAGAGCCAGGAAGATGACTCCGAGGACTTTGCCTTGAGCCAAAAGCTATGGTTCTCATTTCCTTGAGACGGGGAAGGTGATGGGTGGGAAGCAGGAGCTCCATCAGAGCACGAACCCGGTGTTGTGCAGCTTGGACTTTCCCAGACGCCCCAGGGGTTGAGGGAGGCAGGGGCGGCAGGGAGAGTGGGCAGAGGGTGCTCCTCCAGACACAGCTCTGTGTCCCTGCCCACGTCCTTGCCTTTGGCCTTCGCTCTAGGAGATCCCTGCTAGTTTCCATGCTCCATCTCTGCCTTCCCAGGAGTGTTCTCCCCTCTTAGAGACTGGATCTGTTCCTGGGCCACAGCCTCCTCCTCCCTGGAGCCCCAAGCATTCTGAGGGGCTCCCAGGTCAGGAGGGCCCCCCCACCTCACCATCCCTCTCTGCTCCTCATCTGGGGCCTCCCCCAGACTTTCTTGCTGACGGCACCTGGCCCTCTCCCTCTGCAGCCATGACCTGCTTGTCAGGCTCCCGTTGGTCCCCATGGCTGTCAGACATACCTGGGTCTCAGGTATAATCCCAGTTGCAGTTATTTCCCACATGCCTCTTTACTTCATGAAAACGAAGGCTCCAACCTTCCATGACCATTAAGGCTTTTCCAGAATCTTCCATGACAGTTGAGCGCACAGAGGATCTCTAGAGGATTTGTGACTTCAGTGCACATGCGGACACTCTTCCCTCGGATACAGCTGGAAATTCTTGTTATAAATATGCTTAAAGTTGCTGGTTCCCAACTCCCAGTGTATTGGCAGGTGTTGGACTGGTCGCCTGAGGATTACCCCAGCCCCAGAGTCAGCCCCAGAGTCAGAGATTAGGGTTTCATGGTGCAAGGGAGGGACCTGGGAATCAGGATTTAGGAAATGCTAACACACCCCTACTGGTATTGTTGTTGTTCTATTATTAATTAATTAATTAATATTTTAGGACAGGGTCTCACTCCGTCACCCAGGATGAAGGGCAATGGTGCAAACATAGCTCACTGCAGCCTCAAACTCCTGGGCTCAAGTGATCCTTCCATCTCAGTCTCCCCAGTAGGTGGGACTACAGGCATGCACCACCACACCCAGCTAATTTTTTAATTTTTTAAAGATGAGGTCTCACACTGCTGCCCAAGCTGGTCTCAAACTCCTGGCCTCAAGCAGTCCTCCTGCCTTGACCTCCTAAAGTGACAATCCTCCCAAAGGGGGTTATAGGCATGAGCCACCACCATGCCCAGCCACCTCTACTGATGTTGATCACCGGGCAGGCTTGGGAAAACTGCTTTAGCTGTAAGAGGGGAGGGTGTTCTACCCCCAGAGAGGTTCTCTTACTTTTTCCTTTAAGCAGATCACTACAGCCTCTAGCCTGCAGGGGCTCCAGGCAGTCCATCACACATACTGGGTTGTACAGAATTTATATAAGGACAGAGTTGGGAAGCTGGAGGGGGACAAAACCCTGCAATCTTCTGCCGTCTAAAATTTAGAGCCTATTTTGGTGAGACAAGACTGTATAGAACAGATACAAATAGATGTATATTAATATTCTGCAACAGAGGGGGTATGGCTGGCAGGCAAAATAGAAGTAAGGAAAAGCTGGATTTGTGGAGGCCAAAGGTGCCCTCGAGGCTGCAGGTTGGTAAAGAGTTCATGTTGCCATCCAAACTATGACCCCTCTGCTTCTGTCCCTTGGTGTGGAACCATTCTCTGCAGAGATGAGCCCAGGCTGTGGCTGCAATGGGAGTGGCTTGCATGTCACTCACTGAAGCAGCAAAAGCA
Organism: Homo sapiens; assembly: GCF_000001405.40. Taxonomy (NCBI): domain Eukaryota; kingdom Metazoa; phylum Chordata; class Mammalia; order Primates; family Hominidae; genus Homo; species Homo sapiens. Next base: position 928,547 of record NW_018654718.1, read on the forward strand.
ATCCACTGTCTGGATTGGTGATGAGCTGGGAATCTCTCAAGGGAGTGACCTAGGAGGCAGGTGGGCCAGAGGGGGCCAGAGGGAAATGAGATTGTTCTGTTCTTGCTCTTGCTCCCTCAGGGCCATGTCCTTTTGCCATGGTGCACTTCCTGGTCCTGAGCTGACCCTCACACAGGTGCCCACCCTGCATCCAGCAGTCATTAGTAGGTTCCCCCTCCCACTTTGTCATGAGAAAGGGATTTTCCCAGGATCGCTGTATTTATAGTGGAGAGAGGCCCCAGGACTGTAAGGAGTGGGGACCTCCTCCCCAGGAATCCCACTGAAAGCCCATGTCCCCTCAGGACCGAGCTCCTGCCCACTCAGAGGACTCGTGCTTTGAGCTGCCCCAGTGGGTGTGACAGGTTTGCTATAATCTAGGATTTCCCAGACTCACCTGCTGATCAGAATCCTGTAGGATGCTTGTTAGAAACAAAGATATCTGGGCCCCAAACTACAGCTAATGAATCACAATCTCAAGAGGAAAGGCCCTTAAAGAAACAATTCTTAGGACAGCGTAAACTTGGGAAACCACCAAGCCATGAACTCTCTCTTACCCGTGGGTGACCTAATTCCTGCCTCTGCTAGAAGGCTGCTGCCTATAGGCTGAGCTCAGACTGGCATTCATGGTGGGGGAAAAAAAGCTTTCTTTCTGTTTAGAGACCAACAGTGACAACAATGATTACCAACCTTTATCAACTATGTGCCAGGCACTCTACAGGGGGCTCTTTGGGGAAAGGTGGATCATGTCACGCAATCCTGCCATAGCCTAATGAAGCAAGGGCTACAACAATCTCCATTTTTTTGATGGGGATGCAGAAGGCAGGGAAGTGAAATGTCTTGCCCAGAGGCACATGCAGCAGGTAGCCGGCAGAGCTAGGTCGCGGGCTTCTGACCACTGTCCCCCTCTCTTCCCCAACAGATTAATCATCTTGAGACCTTGAATTAACTCCCTCCAGGGTGGCAACTCACACCACCACCAACACGCATCCCCCACGGGCAGGGAAAAAGAGCATAGAGTGGCAGCTCCTCTGAGAACCTGCAGTGGGCAGTTGTGAGAATGAGGCACGATGGGGAGGACAGCAAGGGGCAGAGTGCTGACCTCCCTCCTGTTGGCTCTCAGGTACTGGAACTCCTTGAGCAACCTGGTGGCATCCTTGCTGAACTCTGTGCGCTCCATCGCCTCCCTGCTCCTTCTCCTCTTCCTCTTCATCATCATCTTCTCCCTCCTGGGGATGCAGCTCTTTGGAGGAAAGTTCAACTTTGATGAGATGCAGACCCGGAGGAGCACATTCGATAACTTCCCCCAGTCCCTCCTCACTGTGTTTCAGGTATGGACTCTTCTCTGCTGGGATTCGGACTCGGGGTGGTTGAGTGGCGGGGTGGTGGGAGGAGTGTGGGAAGCTGCACCCTTTTACCGGGCAGCCACAGCCATCCTAGATCAGCCCTGGAGAGCCCATGCCCGGGAGAGTCTTGAGTTTTTTCTGTAGTTTCCCTGTCCCCATCTGCCATGGAATTCCACTAGTGGGTGGACCATTAGGGGAAACAATATAAGTGGTTTAAAAATGCCTTCTCAGGAGAATCTCTTGAACCCAGGAGGCAGAGGTTGCAGTGAGCCAAGATTGCACCACTGCACACTCTAGCCTAGGTGACGGAGCAAGACTCCGTCTCAAATAAAAAAAAAAAAAATCGTTCTTATCCATGGAATCCTTTACTTAAATTCTCCATGAAAGCCCAAAACATAAAGAAAAGCAGACTGCTCTTACTGGGGGAGGGGAGGGTGACGAAACCCTGGCTTTCCTACCATGCTTGTCTCTTGAAAAAAATATTACTAGCCCATCAAATTTGTGATTTCATAGATATTTTGGCTTAGGGCAAACTCAAAGTGGCATCTATTTAAGTTTAAAAGCAGATCGATTGAGAGGTAAAAATGAATCACATGTAGATGTTGTCAAAGTCTTGAAGATGATGCCCCAGTGACGAATGTTTGGGGAAAGCTGGTGTAGCCTGTGGCTGTCTCAGCAAACACACAACTGCAAAAGGGTCCTGACGCCTTACCCCCAGGAATGGCTGACGGTCAGCTCAAGCATGTGTGGGGAAAGTCAGAGATCTTTGGGCCAAAAAGCCCTTTTAGTCACCCTTCAAATAATATTATGCCAATAGCCAGGCATTTTGTCTAAGGACAGTTCAATAGCTCAGAGCCCCTGGGGAGGAGAATTGGGGGCCAGGAGGAGGGAAAGAAGTGAAAGGGAAATTTTGGACAATTTTGTTGACGTAGTGGGGCAGGGCAGGGTGGTTTTGGGTTTGCTGTTGGTCTAACGCTGTGTCCCTTATTGGTGGGAATGTGTCATTCAGATCCTGACCGGGGAGGACTGGAATTCGGTGATGTATGATGGGATCATGGCTTATGGCGGCCCCTCTTTTCCAGGGATGTTAGTCTGTATTTACTTCATCATCCTCTTCATCTGTGGAAACTGTATCCTTTGCTGCTGCCCCCCACCCCTGCGGCCCCCAGCCCCCAGCCTGCAGCACAGTGCCAAACGGGCACGCCCCTCAGGTCCGGGCGGTCCTGCTCGGGCTCACACCACCCAGCCTAGAACCCCATGGCGGCGGAGGTGGGTCTGGGTGGAAACCTGCAGCTTTGGCATGGGTGAGGTTCACCTTCCTGAACCCTCCGGGCCCGCAGCGGCGCCGCGCTCCGGGCGGGCTGTCGCCGTAATCTGGGTGAGCGGCGCCCCCTGGCGTTGCGGCGTGTGCGGCCACTCACACCGCCTGCGATAGGGACGCGCGGGAGCGGGCCGGCTGCCCTGGGGCCGCGGCGTCTGCTCAGAGGCGGGACGCTCCGGGAGGGAGGATGAGCCGTTGTCCTTCAAGTGACCTTCAGCTCTCCTCCTGCTTTTTGGTCAGCAGCCCTCTCTCTGATGCTGCTCTCCAGGACTTTAGTCACGGGCAGAGCTGCACAGACTTCAAACAGCCCCAAAAGCTCCTTCCTGATCCCGGCTGGGGCAGGTTTCCAGGGCACAAGCCACGGGTGCTGCTTCTCTTCCCCAGCTCATAACCCCGAGAGAGTCACGTCCAGAGCCAGGGGTAACATAGGAACAGCTCTGGGCCAAGTCCCAGCTAAGGCAGTGCAGAAAACACAGTCATGGAAGCCTGCAGACAAGGTTTCCTCTTTTCCCAGCTGGATGACCTCTTGCAGATTGAAGGTCCTCTACCTCAGTGTCTGTAAAATGTGGCAATGGAATCATAGAACCTACTACATAAAGGGTCGTTGGGAGTTTTCATGGGATCATGCATGCAAGGCCTCTGCCACATTCAGAAGCCACCCTGGACAAAGCCCCTCTTCCCCAGCCTGGGTTGCTGCGGCTTCCCTGTGTGTGAAATGATATGAATGTCTGGGTGCCTGGGGCCGGGGGTCAGACTTCACAGACTTAAAGCCCCCTTCCAGCTATGCTTTCGTTGATTCTGCAGTTCTCTGACCCACAGTGTTTCTGTTGGTGGAGTGGGGAGGAGAAAGGGCAAAGAACTGTCTCCACTGGGAACTCCCAAGCCTTGGCTGGCTCCAGATGGACCCTCCAAGGGTCTTCGTGGGTGCAGGCTCACATTAAGAGTTGGCAGAGATACCAAGCCACCCCCTCAGCGCCCAGTTATAATAAACCGCTCTTAAGAGCGTTCTGCATCCTGCTAGAGACAATGCTGTTTATAATGTCAATTACAGCCAGTCATCTCAGCAGGGAAAGCAATCATGAAACCCAGCAATTAAAGTGCAAGGCAGGGCTTGCTGCCTCCCTCCCGCCTGCTCCAGTGTGCAGGCTAGCCTGTTCTCATCCCTCTTGATAGCTCCAGGTAGCTAGGAGGGTGATGGGGAGGAAGGGGAGGGGAGGAACACTGTTGGGGTCTGACTCCCTCAAATTGCTTCCCCCTCAAGCTCTCTCTGCTGAGGAGCTCTACCCTGCACGCCCCACATCCCCCGTGCCCCTGTGCCCACCAAAACCCCAAACCAAGGGTCATTTTCTTTAAGAATGGACACAAACAGATATCCTACTGAATGTGTTCTTGGCCATTGCTGTGGACAACCTGGCTGATGCTGAGAGCCTCACATCTGCCCAAAAGGAGGAGGAAGAGGAGAAGGAGAGAAAGAAGCTGGCCAGGTAACCCTCTAAGCTTGCCCAGGCCTGGGGCTCCAGGGCTCCCATTGTGGAATGTCTTCCCACTGGTGGCAGAGAGAGGCTTGACTGCTAGCCTCTGTTGGCTCTCCCTCCTAGGAGGACTCTGGGTTTGGGGCTTCCTAAGTTGGGCCTCTCTCCTAATTCCTAAGCATCACTCTGGTAGGGACCATCATGAATTATAATAATCTCTGCAATGGTGTCATATTCTCCACCTGCTGGGATTATCTTTTGAGAAGCTGTGATAGGTGGCAGGAGTGTAGGGTGGGGAGAGAGAAAGGTAACCACTCAGTTGGGAAACGCAGCTCCAGCTTACAGAGGGAGTCCTCCTCACTACTTTATAATTCATCTCCAGTGTTAGGAAGGCAAGACGGGGCCCTATGTTGTATCCTATCATTATCTAGACGGGACAGTTCCAGGCCACACAGCTGCCGGGCACTGAGCAGAGCTCCTCCAGGAGCCAATCCTAGATGAGATCCACCATCCTTTTCTGCTTTGGCGACCCAGGCATCTCTGGAGCTGCAAGAGGCCAATTGCGTGTCAGGCAGAGCAGGTGTAGCTCAGCCCCATAGCACTTGTGACTGAGCTGCACACGAGAAGCGTCCTGGAGAAAGGAAGATGGACTCAGACCCAGGGGATCTGTCCCCTCTGGCCCCAACAGGCCACAGGGCGGTTCCCTCCTACACTGTTCCCTATCACTCCAGTAAACAGCCATTTATTTTTTTCTGCTGCTGACTGGCCAGGACTGCCAGCCCAGAGAAGAAACAAGAGTTGGTGGAGAAGCCGGCAGTGGGGGAATCCAAGGAGGAGAAGATTGAGCTGAAATCCATCACGGCTGACGGAGAGTCTCCACCCGCCACCAAGGTGAGGAGCTGTCTCCTTCCTGGAGCTGTGAGGCCGGTGCTGGGGAGGGAGGGCCACAGCCTTCCCAGGCCAGAACCCTGTGGAGAAGAGGAGAGAAAGAAAGACACCCAGTGGAAAGAAAGCCAGTGGGGATGAACAGGAGAGCTGGGAGGGGGAAGATAAGGCAGATTGGCTGGATCCCAGCCATCTGCTGATGTCTTGAAGGAGATATGCAAAGTGACAAGTACCTATTTTTGAGCTAAGTCACTGACTAAAATGCAACTTCAAGGCTACTGCAAGCCTCTTAACTTGGGGACGTATCTAACTATTCTTCCCCCTTCTCCCCTGTGACTGTCTAGATCAACATGGATGACCTCCAGCCCAATGAAAATGAGGATAAGAGCCCCTACCCCAACCCAGAAACTACAGGTACCAGTCCCACTGCCTAACCTGGGATTGGGAGATTGGGGGCAGAGATCTAAATTCTAAAGCCACGTGGGAGTGGCCATATATTAGGGACCATGGTTCCAGTGTCCCTCTGTAAGTACCTTCCACTGCTGAGTGTCTTCTATCTCTATATTTAAGCATCATCAGTCAGCATCTGGGAGGCAGGTTTGTTTCTGGTTTCCTCATAATGAGATCACATTTGAGCAGTGCTTTTGTGTCCTTTCCAAGTTGGATTCAGTGTACATTTAAATTTTTGTTACATTACATGTTGTAAAATCATCATTAATTTATATAATGTATTAGTATGGCATATGTTGCAACATTATGCTCACTTAATATTAATAGTCAATCCCAAGTCTGCCTTGCCCCTACTCAGGAGGCAGTGCCGAGTGCAGGGACAGCTGCCACCACAGATGTCCCACTTGTTGCTTTAGGCAATGATTTCAGGTCTCATTATAAAAGGCGCGCTTACTGACTCCATCTTTTTATGCTTCTATCTGATACCTAAATTGGCAGGCAGTCTGCTTCTCAAGAGCTTTAATGTCAGAGATCAGAGGTCCTCCCTCCAGGCTTCACTTCCCTGCTCCCTGAAATCCCATACCCTGTGCAAGGCCTGGGCTTGCCTTCCTCTGACCTAGGATTGCAGATATTATCGCCAGTTTCAAGCTTGAAGTCAATAACATGCTATCAAGGGACTGTTGATTTTACTGACATTTCCTTGTTCCTGTAGGTTAGGCTATATTTGGGTTGTTCACCAAGTTAGGTGGCTGAGAACCTCCTACATTTATGAGCAAAGCTCGGTTTCCCTTTTTGCTTTCCCTCCGCTGGTTCTCTGCTTAGAACACTCACAGGCATCCTTGGGAACCAGACTCCCTGTGGTCACACCATCCTCACTCCCCTCCTCCTGCAAGGGAATAGGATGTGGTTTCCTGGAGCTTGGATAGAAAGAACAGGAAGGGCGTTTTCATATGCCCGGCATTAAGGCTTTGAAGTTCTTAAAACCCCTTCTAGGGTGAAACCGTTAGGGAATTTCAACGACGTACTAGAATTATTGAACAAATGCAATGGGAGGATCTTGCCTTGATCCTGAAGCAACAAATACACTTTAAAATGACGTTTTAGAGGGAAATGGGGGAAATTGAATATGGACTGGGAACTAAATGATTGAAAGTAGTTTTGTTAATCTTGTTGGTATAATATTTTGTAGTTCTGTTTTTAAACTGCTGCAGTGTTTATGGCCAGAGTCTAAATGTTTACGAGTTGCTTTGCTTTTAAAATATTCCAACAAAAAAAAAATGGGGACAGAGAAGATAAATGGAACAAGATTAGCAAAATGTCCAAAGTTGTTGAAGCTGGTTATATATATGAGGTTTAGTATGTGAGACTGTACTCTTGTGTAAATCTTTAAGGTTTAAAATGAAAGACAGTAATAAAACAAATTCCTTAGAGCCCTGAGAAGAGCCCTCCCATGGGGCCAGCCTCCAGGATGGGCCTCCCTGCACACACAACAGGGCAGATCTAGCATGAGGGTCTTTTCACACAGGCACCCAGCTGCAGCCAGGCCTGTACGGCAGATACACCTCTTGCATCTTCAACAAAAATCTCAAATTCTATTAATCTATACTCTTGGCTTTTCTTTTCTTTGTTGCTCTAATGAAATCAAAGAGAAGAATGTTAATTTTAAAAAAAAAGGGCTAATGAGGATTTTGTCACCAGGTCGGCCATCCTAGAAATGCCTCTCACGTAGCTACCCAGTGGCTCTGAGGACTGGGGGATGCTTACGCTTTCCAGCTGAAAAGCTCTTCCCACCCTCTGCTGAGGCCTCAGGATTCTTGAGATTTTTGAGTGTACGGCCCGCTCCCCGTCATTTCTGTTGGTTACATGTGTCTCTTTACTTTCGTGTTGAGACCTCTGGTCCATACCCTGAGGCTGCCCTGACTGCCCCACCACGTACACCAGCCACCACTCCGGCCTCTGAAGCCAGCCCCAAGCATGCCCATTTGTGCACTATCCCTGGTTTCCAGGTCCTCATCCAGGAGGTCCAAAGGGCAGCATGCTCTTAAAGCTGGTGGCCCCACACATCACTCTGCCCCCAAAGGCTAAGTTAGCTTGTGCTTCCCAGCTCTTCCTGCCTTCCCATTTCCTCCCTTCCCTGCCTCCACAGTCAGCTCCTGGATCCTTTAGTGCCAGGTGCAGCAGAAGTTCCCAGAGACTCCTCCGAAGATCACGTGGCCTGTTGTCTCTGTTCTGGTCAATCTCTGGTTCCTTCCTGCTTCTTGTTCTCCCGAACCACGAATGGCAAAGATCCTGATCTACCATTGTGCTCCCAACCGCTGCCCCTTCCAGGCCGCTGGCCCCTGCCATGCCTGGTTCATGCAGGTACCCCTTAGCAGGCAGCACTGGTGAGTGTCCCTCCTGCTCTGCCTTCAGCCAGACCACTAGGGAGAAAGGGCCGGTGTCAGGGAGCACACTGCCATGCTCTCCTGCTCCCTCCCTGTCTCTCTCTTGCCCTGTCTCCTAGGCTTGCCCCCTGCCCTCTCCCTCTCTCCTGGGCTGTCCAGATTGCACCCAAAGTGATGTATCAGAGTGGCCAAGTGGGAGCTGGACTCCAGAGTGCACTCTGCTGGCTGCAGCTTCAATTACCCTCGCATGACCGCGAATACTCAGAGGAGGGGCCTGTTTCTAATTCAACAAGGGGCCATCGAGGCCAGCCATGGCCCTAGAATCCTTCCCTCTCTGTTTCATCTGAAAAGCTCGCCAGCTGCTTTCAACCTCCCAGATCGGTATACCCTAATTATAGAGAAAAACCCAACTCACTGAAAAGGAAAGCATTGTGCCCAGATGAGTGGAAGCTAATTCTACTTTTGTTTAATTTATTAATTTATTTGAGTGAGCATGCAGATGTTTGCAAGAGCCACTAAGGACTTAAAGTTAACAGGTACACACTAAAAAAAAAGGAGTGCCACCAGACACTGAGTAGTCAGCACCGCCTGTGCTGGGGGAGGCTTTCATTGCTGCAGAGGGTTCAAGGACAAGGAGAGCCATGAGGTGGTGGAGTCTGGGGGCTTCATGCAGAAGGGTGGTCTTGACTGAGCTTTGAGTCAGGGAGTTGGAGAGGCTGAAGGAGTTTTTTCAGGATCGTACAATCATCAGAGATGCTGAGAGTTGGGAGGAACCTTGTAGATATTCATGAACTACTCATGAAGCATTTAATGTGTGCCAGGCACTGTGCTAGGTACCAGGGACATGGGGGTCCTTGTTGTGGGCAAACAGGGAAGACCCCCACCCTCCTGGAACTGACATATCAGTGGGGAGACAGGCAGCAGACAAACCAACCAAAAAGGTGACATCACATGATGTGAAGATAGTAAAATCAAGGATTGTGTTAGGGGATACTCAGGGGTCAGGCTGCTTTGACTGTGTGGTCAGCAAAGGCTTCTCTGAGGACACAGCATTTGACTGGAACCTGAAGGATTCAAAAGAACTAGACATGGAATCGGAGCGAAGAGCTCTCTAGGTGGAGACCCTGAGTGCAGAGTCTCTTACAGGGATGCACTTGGCTGTGGGGACTCCAAAGAGGGCCAGTGTGCCTGCAGCAGAGAGAACCAAGGGATAGTGCCCTGAGGCGAGAGGCCGGGGCAGGGCAGGAGGGCAGGGCAGAAGGCGCAGGGCCATGCGGGAGGCTGGGTCTGATCCAGTGCCCTAGAGGGCCACCAGAACGTCTGAGCAGAGGAGGCCCTGACCTGATGTCCGACTCACCCTTTCAGAGATTCCCTCTGAGCGGTGTGAATAAAGAGCAGTGGTGTTCGAGAGCAGAATGGGGGCAGGGAGGATACTTGCGCAGTATCCAGGCAGAGAGGATGGCAGCTTGGACAGGGGATGGTGCCGGAGATGCAGAGAAGTGGTCAGGCTTGGGGTACATTTTGCAGGTAGGACCAGCTGGATTCACTCACAGCTTAGATGTTGGAGAGAGGGAAAGAGAAATGTAGGGTGATTCTGAGGTTTTCTAATTGAGCCAGCGAAGAGAAAATCCCCAATGCAGAAACTGTATCCACCACCTGTGCTCCTTGTGCCCCAAGGCACTGCTCCGGGTGTCTGGCCCTTACCAACCAGGCACTCCCTTCAGCTGGTAGCAGACTCTTGCGCCCTGCTAGAAACTAAGCTCCTTGAGGACAAGAACCATGGCTTTGTCTTCTCAGCCTTGGGCTCAATACTCTGTAGGCACTAGATCCTACAAATGTCTTTACTTTATGTGGCCAAGAGCAAAATCACAGAAGTGAGGATGAGCATCAGATGGAGGGGGGCAAGGGTTGCCAAGGACCAAGGGTGGGGCTTTGAGTGCTACCCTGGTTTTACTTTGGAATCCTCTGACCTGCCTTCTGAAATGCAGCAGCAACTCCAGCGTGCAGCAGCACCTCACTTCCGATGCTTTTTTCCAAACCTCCAAGAACAAAAATTAGAAAAGAAAGATCCCTAATGTATTCTACTGGCATTTGGGAGTAGGAGGCTAGGTGGTTCAGTTGCCAACCCCAAAATGAGCCTTGCCTGACTTTCCCTGATCTGTCAGCATCCCTCCTCATCCATAATACCTGCTAAGCATCACGTGCTGTCAAAGTTGTGTTCCTTTACAAATCTGAGTTTGTCCTTCAGAAATCGTTTCCTCTTAAGTACTGTGCCTGAGGTTCAGCTGCTGTGTGTCTGAATGGACCAGCTAACTTGCTTCTCCCCAGGAATGGAGCTCAGCATGGAGCTTCATAAACGGGGGGGAGCTCGTGCAGATGTAAGAGCCTGCACCGTTTTCCATTAGGAAGTTCGAATGGCACAAAGCTATAGTAAATATGGGTTTCTGTAAACACAAATGATTAAAATAAGCATAAAATTACCTGTTATCAAATTATCATGAAGAAGAAAGTGTTGGGTCATTTCGAGCAAAACTGAAAAGAATACAAACACCTAGGCAGGAATTTAAGATCCTTCTCAATTAAATTTCACTTGAAATACCATGATTTAGGCCAATTCTGGTTTTACTTATTCGACTTTAAGTAGAAGACTTTTCTTTTACATACCAAGGGTTGGGTGTCACAAGAACTCCAACTCTTGTCCTGTAGACAGTTTTTCATCTTGGGCCTCTCTTCTGCTGAAAAAATATTAATTGTCTTGCTGGTCAGCTCTAATTACCCTAGGGAAAGAATCTGATTGATGTCTGTATGGTACTGGCCCTCCAAAAAAGCCTTGGGTCCCTAAATGCTTGAATGCTTTTTGCTTGATAAAGAATTGCTTTCTGTGCCAGGCATTTTTTTTTTCTTTGCAGTACCTGGCTTTGTTTGAACCAGAAGAGGGAGAACATGCAGAGGCACAGCTGTGTCCATGAGACGAGCATCCCATAACTATCTTTCTCCAGCCAGACTAGTATCCCCTTCACCTTCATCTTATACAGAGTCCCCTTCCTTCTGACCGGTGTGGAAGTTCAATCATCATCAAGAAATAAGGGCTTCTAGTGCCAGGCAAAGCTTTTCTTTCCAGGGTTTTCAGCACATAGGGAGAAGGGACAGACATTTAAAATCAGTCATCAAGGTACTGGAGGCAGAGGTTCTGCTGGGATCCATGGAAAGGTCATTCCCTGGAGCGTGAGTACTCAGGAAAGTTGGAAGGAGGATGCTATCTGGATTGGGGGTCCTTGTGTGCTCTGCAGAGAGGGAGATGAAGCGCAGCTCAAACAGAGAGAGAGAGAGCATGAGGAAGGACGGAGCACACAGTGAGCTTGTCAGCTCACTAGGGCTGCCATAACCAGTGACCACACACTGGGCAGCTTAAACAGCAGAAATGCATCCTTTTACAGTTCTAGAGGCTGGAAGTCCAAAATCAAGGGGTCTGCAGGGCCAAGCGCCTTCTGAAAGGCTCTTGGGAAGAATCCTCACTTGCCTCTCCTAACTTCTTGTGGTTGCCGGCAGTCCTTGGCTTGTAGATGCATCCCTCCAATCTCTGCCTCTGTCTTCACATGGCCTTCTTCCCTAAGTGTGTTTTTGTGTCTCTGTGCCTGTCTTGATGAGGATAACAGTCATTACATTTAGGGCCCATCCTAGCGCAGAATAACTTCTTCATAACCAATTACATCTGCAAAGGCCATATTTCCAAATAAGGTCACATTGCAAAGTTCTAGGTAGGCATGAGTTTGCGGGGGAAACTGTTCAACCCACTGTAGTGAAGTGCTCAGAAAATAGTTTCGTGTGAGTGGACAGTTTGTTAGGGAATAATAGGTGGTAAGGATCTGACTGAGAAAGATGTTGAGCATTAATTTACAGGCTTCGAGTCTGTCCCATAGGTAGAGGTTGTAATAAAAGCAGCAAACACTTACTTACAGAGCGGCTGCTATGTGCCAGGCACCGTTCTGAGGTATAGAGGTACTGTTATTATTATTCCACCTTAGATGGAGAAACTGAGGCACAGAGAGACTCAATAAAATGCCCACGGCTAGAAAGAAACAGAGCCAGGATTCTGGTCCAGGCGATTGGCTGGAGAGTCTGCTCTTCACTCCCATGTTGTTACTTTCCCCTCTGAGCATCTTCAACACATTTGAGCAGCCCAGGATGGGCAGTGCTTCCCGTCATGAGCGTTGTGCTGGCAAGCACAGGAATAAGCTGTCTGACTTTGGTCCACATTAAATGTGGCCACTGGCTGGGAGAACGAAGGCGCTTCTTTAATTGGTGTCAGTGTCTAAACCTTTGCATGAAGGGCCTGCTGTGGTCAGTAGTATTGCCCTGTTATCTCGACAGCACATGAATTTTTTTTTTTTTTTTTTTTTAGTTGCAGAAATTGGGAAAGTGTTGGTTTCTAATTCCTGGAACTTCCAAGAGTGAGGTTATTTGCAAGGGATTCCACAAGCCAACTCAGCCATACCCTTTCCCCAACCTGCGGCCTAGATAGATGAGTAACACCTGGCAGTGCCCTGTCCTACCTGGTCACCTTTTTTCATACCTTACAACTAGGATGACCAACGACCCCAGTTTGCCCAGAACTAGGGGGTTTCCTGGGATGTGGGAATTTTAGTTTTAAAACCAGAACAAGTTGGTCGCCCTACTTACAATCCCCCTTATTGTGCACTGCCAGATACGACTTCTCCAGCAGAGATGAGCTGCAGCAGCACCCACAGGGAGACAGCAGAATGTCTGTCTTGGTTGGTACCCTACATTTTCAGAGCCATAATCATGTCTGCCAGTAGGAAGGTCTCTGAAAGTGGTAAAATAAGTGGGAGTGCTGGAGTTATTTAGAATGGTGCTGTTCTTCTTACAGGAGAAGAGGATGAGGAGGAGCCAGAGATGCCTGTCGGCCCTCGCCCACGACCACTCTCTGAGCTTCACCTTAAGGAAAAGGCAGTGCCCATGCCAGAAGCCAGCGCGTTTTTCATCTTCAGCTCTAACAACAGGTGTGCAGCAATGGTGGGGAAGGTGGGGTCCTGCTCTCTCTAGTACCAGCCTGGCAGTTGCCTGTATTTTACCTGAACCTCTGGATGGAGACTGAGACTCTCCCAGCTCCTTGCAAATTGTATAAACAGGCACTCATTTAGGGAAGAGTCCTGGATTTTGAATCAGAAGACTTGTGTTTATTTTTCTCTCCACTTTTTGAAATGTTTAAACTCTATTTCTATTCTTTGGGTGATTACCCTTGATAATTTACTAATTCTATTTAACTTAACAAAATGTGATGTTAAACAATATCAAGAACCTCCTCCTGTATAATAGAGTGACCTTAGACTATTTTAACTCACTCATCTGCTCCTTACTTACATGGAATTGTCGTTAGTATTTTAGTCCAACTTTTATTTTTAATCCAACAAGTTAGTGAGTCTTACTGTTATATAGATACTGTGTGTTTGGATATATGTACACCTTACCATTTTATTTGTTCACCATTTTTTTACTCATTTCAGTCCATCCTTTAGCTAGCATTTTCTTTCTTCCTAAAGTACATTCTTTAGAGGCTCCTTTAGTTCCGTAATGGCAAATTCAGTGGGCCTCTACTTACCTATAACTGTTTCACTTCTTGCTCTTGAAAGATAGTTTTGCTGTGTACACGATTTTAGACAGACAATTTTTGTCCTGCAGCACAAGAAAGGTGTTATTCCACTGTAAAGTCAGCTGTCATTCCAACTATGGTTTCTTTGTGAGTAACCTAACGTTTATTTGTAGCTGCTTTTAACATATTCTGTTGCCTTTGTGGTTGTACAGATTTACTACCATGTGTCAAGGTGTGGATTTCTTTCCATTTGTCTTGCTTAGAATACATTCTGCTTCCTAAGCCTATGTATTTAGATTTTTATTCAGTTATTGAAAAAGTACAGCCATAATGTTTAAATATTGCTTCTTTTTAATTCTATATTTCTTCCTTCTGACACTCCAATTGGACATCTGTTAGACATTTTCATTCTGTCCTCCCTGTTTCTTAGAGGGTCTTACATATCTTTCATCTCCTTGTCTTTCTGTATTCTGGGAAATTTCTTCAACTGTATCTTCCAGTTTCTTAATTCTATTTTCAACTTAATCTATATTACTGTTTAAACCAATTTTTTATCTTGACCATTATATGTTTTTGTTTCAGTCAGTTCCATTTGTTGCTTGATTTTCCAGATCCATCTCTAAATCTAGTAGTTTCTATCAATTCCTCATCTTTGTGATTTAGTCCTTTATTTCATTAAATATTTCAAATATAGTTGTTTTATAGTCTATATCTAATATTTCCAATACCTCCAGTCTTTGGAATCTAAATCACTTATCCAGTGTTTCTTCAGATTTCCCATCTTAGGGGCTTGTCCTTTTGTGCATCTGATGATCTTTGATTGTGACCCCAACACTTCCTCTTCATTTGTGAGAGTCCTGAAGACCTAAAGTAGGTCTGGGGAGACTTTCTTCCAGATGCCCCTTGGAGGTGTTGGCTTGGCCTAAAATTCCCAGGCTTTCCTGCCCCACCTCAAGACTGGCTTAACCTGCAATTTCTTGACAGCACTGCTGTTATTGGCTTCCATCTTCAAGCAATTCTGCCCTCCTGGCTGGCTCTCTCTCCATACGTAGCCTCAGCTCAGTGGAGGTTGGTGGGAGGGGTTGTTGGTTTGAAGCAGATGATTCTTACAGCCATCTCCTAACTCTTATAAACCAGAATTGTCTGAGAGAGTTTGGCCCTTCGAGGGTTTGGTGCTTCTGCAGCAGGAGGGCTTCTCAGAGCATTTAGTCAACCATAATGCCAGGAGCAGAAGTCTGAAGGCCTGGGTTGAAGCCCTGACTCTCCCACACTAAGGCTGTGTTTCTGGGCAAGCCTCTCCTACTTGGGTTTCAGTGTTCTTACCTGTGAAATGAAGATGATGACACCCATCCCTTCCTTCCTACATTGCTGTCAAGATGAGATGGTGTACAAGACACTTTGGCATTTAGGAACCTAGCATTTTTGGTGCTATCACTGAGTGCCTAGAAGCTCAGTTGGGTAATTGTGCTGGGGCATGGAAGTGAATTGCACATTTAAAGCTATTACACAGGAGCAGATCACCTACAGAGAGCCGGTTTGGCTGGCCTCTCAGCATACCCAGCTCCGGGTAGTCCTATTGTGCCTTATGCATAAGCATAGAGTTGATCTCATAAAGTGATTTCTTTTCAATGATAGGGAAAATAAGTCCCCAAACAAAAGCCAGTTATGAATGTCAGAGCAGGATTTGGGAATTCAGAGATTCTCAAAGGTCTCAGATGTAACCTTCTAAAATATCAAAGATGATATGTGCACCATGGGGGTGAGCAGTTGTCATTACCAAGCAGCAGTAAGACTTCAGAATGAAGAGGTCACTTCAGGCCAACAAGCACCTGTTGCCAGCTGCTGGGGAGAGCTGAGGAGAGGGGCTCCCAAGAGCCGACTGGTGCTTCCCCTTGTCTGCCTTGACTTGTCTCTCCTCCTGTCCCCTCTCCCGTACAGGTTTCGCCTCCAGTGCCACCGCATTGTCAATGACACGATCTTCACCAACCTGATCCTCTTCTTCATTCTGCTCAGCAGCATTTCCCTGGCTGCTGAGGACCCGGTCCAGCACACCTCCTTCAGGAACCATGTATGCATCGCCTGTGTCTTCTGCACTCCTTCCCCCTGGGGCTGTGCCAGGCCCACAGCTTCTGTTGCTGACATCATTGTTCAATCAGGAGCCCAATTCTAGGTGTCATAATTAGATCCACAACTAACATTTCATTAAGAGAGTAGGGCTTTGATAGAAAACCACCCTAGGACCACAAGCAAATAAAAGAGCATGTACCCAAATGCTCAGGCTGGTTTGATAATTGGCAAAGATCAGGACTTTCATTGCCTGTGGATGTTCCCCAGGAAGCTCTAGTTCCCTGCAAACTTAGTAAAATGTGGCCACTGACTACATGCCCTCCCTTGCTCCCAGCATGCTCTGACCAGAAGGGGAGCATTGGCAAATAGGTGCCAATGATATGGCTGACCTTACCTAAAAGAGAGTCTTGGTACCTTTGGTAGAGTAGAACCAAATGTGAGGACCCACCCAAGGCTCTGGTGAACAATATTAAAGGCCAGTTTAAGAATTGCTCTATCTCAAAACCTCAAAACTTTGTCAAGTCCCAACCAAGTGGGCATGAAGACAGCCCGCTGATCTAAAGCCATACCCATGCCAAACCACTCTGCGCTCCTGGGGCCTGCTTGGTCCAGGGCTGTCTTACCGAGGTTAGCAGGTGTTGGCCCCATCCCTGATCCATCACCTGAAATATAATAAGTATGCAGTCCTGGAGCCGGTCCTCAGCCTGTGCAGACCTCACCTGAAGGATGCACCTCCCTTGCCCCAGAGGACATAACCCAGGAATAGATGTCCACCATCACAGGAAGCTGGCCAGCTCAGTCCCACCAACGTGAGCGAAGCATTTTGAATCTCCCTGCAAAAAGACAAACCCCATTCTCTGTCCTTTTGACAAGTATCTTAGTGGTCTGATTTGGGTTTGTAAGTAAATTGGATTAATGGGAAAAGCATCCAACCAGATGCTGCTCAGATCCAGTACCAGCTGAGGCATGCCCTGGAAGCTCACCTCACTTATCTGGGGGCTTCAAGGGAAGCCGCTGTGCTGCCTGAGGCTAGCCCCGCCTCAGGATGTCTGTGTGTGTGCCGCTTGCCCCCCATGTCCATCTGTGTCCCTGTGCAAAGGCTTAAGTGCCAGGCATCTCATTTTGAAGTGTGGCCCCTTTTCTGGTGAACATCCACTGACCTCTCTTCCCGTCCTGCTTTTCTCCCTTCCCCATCCCATCCCCACCCTGTTCCTTTTTGTTTTGCAGATTCTGTTTTATTTTGATATTGTTTTTACCACCATTTTCACCATTGAAATTGCTCTGAAGGTAAAGCCCCCATCCCCTTCTGCTCCTCCTGTCCCCCTTGTGCCAGCACCAGGTCTCTGCCGCTGTCTGTCGCTAACACACATGCTCCTTCCTGTTGGTGTGGGGTTCACTCTCAGAGCCACTAATCCAATTATGCTTATTTTTCAGATCCTAGGCAATGCAGACTATGTCTTCACTAGTATCTTTACATTAGAAATTATCCTTAAGGTAATGCAACCTGGGCAATGCATCCTCTGTCGCTTTCTTTGTCTATCTCTGCTCTGTGTGGCTGGATCTTTTGTCTTTTCTGTTTCTTTCACTCTCTCTTTTCTTTACTCCCAAGCCTGAAATTGGAAAAATGAGTGCCCCTCACTTTGTGTGATGCACTTTGCCCAGACTTAGAAGCCAGGAGCAGCCTACCCCACCACAGCTCCTCCCTCCAGCCACCCCTAAGCAGTCCGTGGCCTGGAAGGGACACGTGTTGGCTGTGCCAACATTAAGGCTGCCATTTCACTGGTTGGGGCTGCAGCCGTCAGCAGCGCCAGACATACATGCCCACATGCACCAGCTCCGGTTAACTGATACCTGAGCCCACGTAGGACTCTCCTTCCCTCCTCCTGCTTCATACACTCTGAAAGTGGGAAACCTCCTGGGGCGTGAAAGAATCACTTGAGCTACTCTCTTTGGATGCCCATCCTTAGCACCTTCCTCAGTACTTGCAGCAGATATTGGGTCTAAGCTGGAGTTGGGGCTGTGTCACAGTGATCACAGGCCTACTGTGAGATGTGGAGCTGGTCTCCCAGCTGAGGGCTTTTAGCAGGGCCATTACAGACTACTGCCGACCCTCAGTCACCTGCTGCAAAGCTTTGTCACAGTGCCCCTTGCCCTGAGCGTGGGGGAGGGAGAATTGTGCTGGAGAGCTGAGTACAGCAGGATGAGAGCAGGTGCCGCAAGGAACCTGAGCACCCAGCCCCCAGCCCCCAGCCCTTGCCTGCTGCTGGCCCAGCTCAGTTCTGCTAAGGGAACTGCTGCAACATTGCTACCCTCAGAACAGGCAGAGCCCACCTCAGGGCAACACTGGGATGAGAGAAAGAGTATTCCTCCATTTTTCGGGTATATTTCTGAGTCTCTAAACCAATGCGTGGCAAGCCAGTTCATCTGAGAGTCAGGGTGTGAGTTCCATGACCTCAGGGAACGTGTGCTCCTCTCTGAGCAAGGGGGTAGATTCTACCCTTTCCCCAAACAGAAGGACTAAGGCTCTGAAGCCCATGCTTCAGCTTTAGCTTCTTCCTGGGAGACTAGCCTGGGACTCCCCCTCCCAAGGAGTCCAGGCTCCCTTGTCATCCTATCGCTGTGGCCAATGCAAGCTGAAGTCCACACCTAACCGATGCCACTGCCAGCTGCAGGCCTCTCCTTCCCTGATGAGACTCCCTCATCATGGCCCAGCCTGTTGATGGACAGGACAGTTCAGTCACATCCAGATACAAATTGAATGGGGCAGTTTTTATGTGCCTTCCCCTGTGTCCTTGTCCCCAGGACACTCAGGTGCCCCCAGCTGCCATCCCTGGTTCCTGCTAACCAAGTATGTGGCTCAGATTTTTCTTTTCTGCTCGTGGAGAGTAGATCTGACCAGGCCTTGGTTCCTGGAGGTCGGGAGAGGGAACCGAAAGTTGCGTGGCTGCACTAAGATGCACCGCGGCAAAACCTGCTTTCCATGGTGAGCTGCTTTGCTTCCCGGACTTCAGATGCAGGGAGGCACACAGACCCCAGAGTTCTTTCCCAGGACAAGAGACGCTCTGAGGCCCAATTCTCAGTGCCCTTCTACAGAGCTGCCCTTGTGGATTTCAATGGTGCTATTTCTCCTTCGGGATTGCCATACAAGCTGAAGTGAAAGGTCTCTTTGCAAGCATTGTCATGGCAAGGTCCTTCCATCCCCTCCCTCTTCTACTTTCTTCTATGCTCAGCATGCTTCTGAATAGAAACCCCAATGCCGGAACACTCCCCTGTACCTCCTTCCCACTGGGTCCCTCTTCCCGGCCTAAGGCCCGGTGTCATGTCATGGCACAGATGACCGTGGCTGTCCAAGGGGGACATTTAGCACAAGGAACAGTGGAAGGGCCTGGAAATGTTTGGCCTTAAAAAGGAAAGGCTTGTAGGCTCACAACAGTTGGCCTGAGTCATACAAAGGACCGTCACATAGAAGAGGAAGAAGGCAGAATCAAGACCAATGAGTAGAAATCACAAAAAAAGACAGGTTTCATAGCTAGAAGAGCTGCCTGGAGAGGCAGGGATGGCCCGTGGTTGAACAGAGAGCTTTCCTACCCTTCCAGGCAGAGCTAGCGAGCCACGTCCCATTCCTTTCCTTCCTCAGGATGGAAACACCCCAGCAAGGGCCCCTTCCCAAGTAATGGTGTAGAATTAGGAAAGCAGGACCGAGGTGGCTGGCAATCAGAAAAAAAGGGTCAAAGAGGAACAATTAGCACTGGGTACCTGAGTCTGGCTTTTCCTGATGCCCTGAACACCACAGATGACTTTCAAGTAAATGCTACGTTTTCCCCATGTCCATTTGCCCTTTCTTGTACAGCCACTCTTCCTCTGGCCCTGCCTGGATGCATGTTCCCACCGCCCCCACATGCACACACATGCACTTGCTCAAGTGTTGGTCTCATTTGAGGGTCCCTAAACAAAACAGGAGCCCAAAACCAGAGGACAGAGTTGGCACTCTGAGCCTTATTAGTCCACCCATCTGAGGAATGCAGAGTGTTCTGTTAGAGCTCAGTAGTAGCCTCAGAAGATCCAAGCCAGGAGCAAGAAGGGATCAGACCCAGTGCCTTCCTAACACTAAAAGCAAGGTGGCTGGGGAAGTACTGGGCTTTCTGCAGGCACAATTAATATGAATTATGGGAGCCTCCTGAGTCCAGTCTGTGGGGGTCCCAGCTCTTCACCAAGAGGCAGGGAGGCAAGGCTTCCAGATGGTGGGCCTTCTAGAACTATACTCCCTTGCATCTTTTATGTAATCTACCCACTTCTAAAAACCATTGCCCAACACAGGTGCCTGAGTCCTTTGGGACCCCCTGCTGCAAGAGATAAATGGAAAGAATTAGGTTGCAAGAGCTATTTTTGCCCATTTCCCTCTGTGTTTGCTTTTGAATGGCTCTGCGGACACTCTGCCCTGGGCATGCTCTGATTCCAAAGAGATGAACTGGACCCCAGATGACCGGGGAGCCTTGCTCCACCTCTCCACTGTCGGCTCCACATTTTCCCTTTGGCCGATGCTTCCTGTCCGCTGCCTGTCACAGCCCTTATCCTGGATAACCACTGGCCCTTACGCAAGTCGGCAAAATGAGAAAGGCTGTAAAGGTGATTTGTTGAGCACCTGCAGTGCGCAGCTTTACACCAGGCTCAGAGGGTGGTAATAATGGCCAAGTCCTGTAGCAGTCATCGTCATCTTGTGTGTTCTCTTTTTAAAAGTTTCCAAAGGGCTTTCACAAAGCCAGGGGATAGTTTCCTCACCTTTTGATGAGAAAACAGAACTTTTCTCATCCAGGAAGCATCCAGAATTCAAATCCAGGCTGTAGTGACAGCTCACCCTTTTATGGGGCTCACCGTGTGCAGGGTGGCATCCTAAGTATTTTACATAGAGGTACCCACTTGATGCTTACAACCCTGTAGGGTAGACCTTATCCTCATTTTTCCAATGAGGAAACAGAGGCACTAAGAGAATTTGAGTTTCTTGCTCCAGGCCACAAAAATAAAATACCACAGGTCTGGGATTCCAGCCCAGGCCGTCTGGCCTCAGAGCCTGTGCTCTTAGCCACTGAGCCTCATAGCCCCTCTGATCACACAACTTTTGCCCTTAAAGAACTCCAGATGTAGTCTAGAAGCAGGACAGTAGAATTGAGTTTAGAATATTTGGCATCAATAATAAGCACCCTTTGAGGCCAGGAAGGGGAGGTATGCTAATTGCCAGGGTCACCACTGGAACTTCTCACCAGGCACCAGGGTGACCAGCTGGCCTAGTTTGCCTAAGACTGAGGAGTTTTCTGGGATGCAGGATTTCTGATGATAAAGCAAATCTGGGCAAACCAGGATGGCTGGTCACCCTGCTGGGCATGCCCCGCCCCCCAACCCACCCACTCACGGCAGATGTCTGGTGCTCTCAGCTGGCCTAAGGACTCAAGCATTTGGAGAGGCAGTCGGGATGTGTGCTCCCAACCCGACAGCATCAGGAAAGGACCCTGCAGGCCCAAAGCCATGGACTTGGGATGTGGAACAGTGCGAAATTAGAGTGGGATGGTGGGGCCCACTTGAAAGGGCTTTGAATGGAGGACTAAAGAGCCTGGCTTGGCCTGGCAGGTGCAAGGAGCCACCCAGCAGTCCTGGGCTGCGAGAGTCTTGGGTGGTTGTGTGCATGGTAGCAGAACTCTTTTCTTGGCACCATAGCGCCGTCTTTGTCCTTCCTGTTCCCCATGGATGGTGCTTGGGACTTGCCCAAGGGATGCTGTGGGAGGAAGGGGTGGTGTGAGGGGTCTCTGGGCTAGGGCTAGGGCCACTCACACTGGTGTTCCTTTGTCCCTCCCTGCAGATGACTGCTTATGGGGCTTTCTTGCACAAGGGTTCTTTCTGCCGGAACTACTTCAACATCCTGGACCTGCTGGTGGTCAGCGTGTCCCTCATCTCCTTTGGCATCCAGTGAGTGGGAGCCCCTCAGCCCACGATGGGCCATGCAGCTAGCAAGGGGTGCCAGAGAGGACAACCAGACCCTGGAGGGCCTGCCTGCAGGGCCACCGCAGTGTGATGAGAGTGGGGTGGGGCCTCCAAAGCTGTGCATGGTGGCTTTGGGTTCTTGGTTCTGTGTCCTCAGTGGTCTGATACTTGGGGCACGTTGATCAGGTGAGAATATGTTTAATTATCTGGGTTTTGCCATGACAGGCAGGGCCAGGCTCAGCTATTAAGAAACGGTTGTCTCCAGGACCTTCCTGCCTCCTCCACCACGGCCCCAGTGCCCTAGGCTGACCTTCAGCAACCCACAGTCTGCCACTGCCGTGACCTCCCCTGACCTGGACCCTCCTTCTCCCTTTCTCTCCCCTCTCTCTCCAGCCAAAGCACCTCATGTATGAGTGTATGTGTGAATGTGTGTATATATATGTCTGTGTAAGTGTGGGGTGTATGTGTGCACGTGTGTGGATGTGTGGGGTGTGTGTATATGTGGATGTGTGTTTGTGGCTGTGTGTATGTGTGTGTATGTATGTGTTTGTGTTTGTGTCTGCATATGTGTCTATGGACGTGAATGTATATGTGTATGTATGTGCATATGTATGTGTGAGTGCATGTATGTGTGTGACTGTGTATATTTGTGTCTTGTGTGTGTGTGTGTGTGTGTGTGTGTGTGTGTGTGTGTGAGTTTTTCATTTCACTGGTCTGGGGTACAGTCTGGGTGTGAGTTCTAAGAGCTTTCCAGGTGACTCCCCTGTACAGCCAAGCTTGCAGTCCTCGTTCAGGTGTGGAGGATCTGATTACCAGTTTCTACCAAGTTCTAACAGCTGATAGTGTGAATCCTACACTTTAACTTTCAAAGCACTTCCACATACACATTCTTCTGTGGTCCTCACACACACAAAACGATGGGGGAGACGGGGCAAGTGTTATCATGATTGTATAGATGGGAAATTTGGAGTTCAGGACATCATGACACTTGCTCAAGGTCACACCTGTGGTAGAGAAAGGCCTAAGTCCCAGCGTTCCTGGGTCTCTCCTCCCAAGAGTGTTTTCATGGTTGGCTGAGATCATGCAGGGACCAGGACCTTGGGAGAGACCCTTTTCTGTGATCATCAGTTATATTACCCCATATTTTCTGCCTGGGAGCCTACAAGTCCAGATTTGAATCCCAGCATGGCCACTCAGTCACTATTTAACCTTGAATGAGGAATTCCTCCTCTTTAGCCTGTGTTTTTCCCATCTGACCTTTAAATCCCTTCCATTGTGATTCGGTGCAAACTGACTCCCTCCCAGAGAGACTGTAGGAGAGACACAGTGATAGATAGGAATGGCCTTTGCATCTCTTGGAATAAAAGAGTCATGCACCAGAGAAATCGGATCTTTCCACCAGCCCCTTGAGCACATCATCCTGACCACACAAAGCATGAAATCAGCGCTTGCTGGCCTGTCATTCATTGTTTAGGTCCCAAGACAAGTATGAGGCTCTCCAAAAGCTTGAGAGGCTATCTCAGGTAGTTAGCCCGTGAGGGTTAGGATGTGCTCCATAGCTGCTCACCAAGGTGGTATGGTTAATGAGCCCCACCTGGGTAGGATGGACAGCTCCAAAAACCATCCAGGCATCTTGCTTAGGGACCTGTCTCCTGCTGTCTCCATTGCACTAGGGAAAAGCCGTAGCCCGAGACTCCGAGAAGCTCTGGCTTGGCCTCAGCATCCCAGGTGTATGGAACCTGTAGTGCCACGTAGGAGCCAAAGGGACTGGCCTTCTGAAGGGTCACTGAAAAATCAACTGACAAAAGAAAGGTTAATTGGAGACAAAGCATTCACATTTATTTAACGTGTATACACAGAGCCTATAGAATGCAGACCCAAAGATACAGGGGAAACTGACCATTTTTCTGCTTAGGTTCAAAAAAGTATGGACAGCCATGTAGAAATGTGATTGGACAAGAAGCGTAGGATCTAACGTGAATGGACCGAGTGGGGAACCCAGCAAGGCCTGTCTCTAGGTTCTTCTTGTGCTCTCTGTGAAGCTTTCCCTCCTTCTGGGTCGGGGCAGGATCCCGTCTGCAACAGGAGTCTGAGGATCTACACTCCCACATGGTGGATCTGGTCATTTTTTATGGCCAGTTTTTATACAGAAAAGGAGAGGGAAATTTTGAATAATATTTTAGGTTGTGTGGCTGGCTTTGAGGAAACGGGGTTCTGGGTTCTGGTTTCTGTGACCCATCTTGGGGAAGAGGGATTCTAGTGTCTATGGCTAGCCTGAGAGGAGAAGGGGACTGAGACAGGAGGGCAAGAGAAGGTCAGAGAAAAACTTTTGCTTCTGAGACTGCTTCTAAGGCCGTCGTTTCGGGGTGTTGTTTCCTGAGCCCCAACAGCGAAGCCCATCCTTCCTTGGAGTCCTGAGTGTGCTCTGGGTGGGTTTTATGTTTAGGTGTCAGGGGCAATATGTGTTTGGAGATAAACACTAAGAAATCTCCTCCCCATGACATCACCTCCAGCCACAAGGCCCGAGATCCCACCGTTAGTACGGCATTCCTTTAAGTGTAGTAACGTCTTCAGCAGGCCTCATGAGCAGGTACCATTCAGGCAGTTTCTCAAGCACATGGCTGGGTGATTTACATAGAATTCTTATTTAACCCTTGCAAAGACCTTCTGAGCTGATTACAGACCCATTTTACAGATAAAGAAACTAGAGCTCAGAAAATTTAGGAAATTTGTCCTCAGTGCCTTGGCTAGCAAGTGCCTGCACTGGGGTCTGAATTCCCATGGCCTTGCTCTGAATTTCTTTCTGTGACACTGTGAATGCCCCTGTGAGTAGCACAGTACATTGCTAATGACCTGCCATGAGCCACCTTGCATATTATTTAGTCACCCACAGGAAAGCCCCAGGGTTACAGGCAAGCTCCAGGCTCTCACGGGATGGGAGACAGGAGTAGAGAGTGGTCCCAGAATGCGAACATCCCCAAGATGGGCTTTATGTTTTCTCAGGTTTGCCTCGGATTCACCTGTCAGGACATTCCCTTACCACATTATTTTTGCTCCCCCCAGAAACAGGAGGAGCTTACTACCCTGCCTGTTTCCCTCTCCCAGGTCCAGTGCAATCAATGTCGTGAAGATCTTGCGAGTCCTGCGAGTACTCAGGCCCCTGAGGGCCATCAACAGGGCCAAGGGGCTAAAGGTGAGTTGAGGGCTTGGGTAGGGAGTCTCCAGCCAGCCCATTGGGGAGTGGGAGCTCCACAGAGGTGAGGGGTGGGTTGGAAGGAGATGATGGTCAGACCAAGTGGCTGCCATGTGGGGTCCCGGACACTGGTCCCACTGCATGTCCCGGTTCCGTAATGAACAGAATAGTAACAGAGGCAGCCATCCCAAGTGTCTGCCCTAAGCAGAATGTGCCAAAGGGAGATCCCACACAAACCCTGTGCCCCTGTGGTGCCACCATCCCTATATTCCTTCCACTGTAAGATGGGAGGTTGGCAGGACTTTTGTCCTTGTAGTCACGGAGAGTCCAGTGGGGGCCTTTGCATCCCATTAGGGTCCATCACTTCCCATGTGACTTTGGGAGCGTGGCTTTGCCCCTCTCAGCCCAATTACTCCCCGTTGTGGCAAACGGGCTGCCCCTGCTACCTCCTGGAAAGGCTCCTGGCATCTCCTGAAGCCACGTCCCTCTCCCCGTCCCTTCCCACTGCAGCATGTGGTTCAGTGTGTGTTTGTCGCCATCCGGACCATCGGGAACATCGTGATTGTCACCACCCTGCTGCAGTTCATGTTTGCCTGCATCGGGGTCCAGCTCTTCAAGGTAAAGTCTGGGCTCCGTTGTGGTCCTCCTACCTCCCCTCCCATCAGCATTCCTGGGGAAGGGAACTGGCAGATATAGTACAAACGAGACAGTGTCCTGAGCCAGACTTGGCTTGGATATAACCTCCACCTGCAGCCCGACTCAACCTTCAGACCAGGGTAGGGAGGCGCTAGAAGGAGGCATCGGGCCACCAGGCCAGAGGCCCCTCACCCTCTCCACTTCACCTGCCCTTGAGGTCACTGCCCTTCCTTCTAGAAAGAGAGAGAGAGGGACTTTCATCCTGTGGAACCTCTGTGTCAGTCAGTTGCTTAAAGCCTGCAGCGGTGACCTATTATCAACAGCATCACGTCCCCACTGCACCACCCAGCTTTCAGAGCCCTGCACCTGTCAAAGTCAGCTCCTGCTGCTTCCTGCAGCACCCCTCGTGTCCTCCTTGGATTCTGGTCTTTTTTGCCCTCACCCTTTTAGTTCTGCTATTCTCCCACCTAGAGCATTCGCCCCCGCTCCCCTCCACTGTGTAAACGCCCATCTAATTCATCCCTCTGAGCCCAGCTCCACTTCTCCCTCCCTGGCGAGACCTCCCCGGAGAGTACAGCTCCCATGGACCCGAGCTCCTGTTTTTGCATTGCAGTGCTACTTGCAGCACTGGCGTCTGTATTCGCCACCGTTCTGTGCGTGTGAGTCAGGTCCTGCCCATCTGGATTCTGCACTTTTTATCCCACTGTCCCTAGCACAGTGCTGGGCTATGGAGATGCTCACTAATTGCTTTTGGATTGACTCATTGATTACTGAACATCTCTGATACTCTGTTCTCTGCCTTCCAGGGAAAGCTGTACACCTGTTCAGACAGTTCCAAGCAGACAGAGGCGGAATGCAAGTGAGTAGAGGTGGGAGGGCAGCCAGGGCCACGGCCGGTCAGCCCCAGGAGGCTGGAGGCTTGACCAGAAAGGAGGGACAGCTCATTTTCTAAGACTGCAGTGGCACCTGCGCTCTGCCTGTGTGTCATCTGGCCTCACGGACACAATGTGTAGCATTTTTTGTTCCTGAAGTTTCTGCCCACTGAAGCTCCTCCCATGGCTAGAACGGTGAAGTTCAAGCCAGGCAGTCCCATCCCACCCAGCATTCAAGGTCACTGGCAGGCCAGGCGTGAAGGAAGATGGGAGATCCCAGAGTAAACTCCTTCTCCTCCTCTCTCAGGGGCAACTACATCACGTACAAAGACGGGGAGGTTGACCACCCCATCATCCAACCCCGCAGCTGGGAGAACAGCAAGTTTGACTTTGACAATGTTCTGGCAGCCATGATGGCCCTCTTCACCGTCTCCACCTTCGAAGGGTGGCCAGAGTGAGTATGCAAAGCAAGGCCCCACGAGCCCTGACATTCAAGGGCCAGTACTGACTTTCCAGCCCATCCCCAAGTTTTGTTAATGTCCCGCACTCCCTCTGGAGGTCATATTTACCTGGGTCCTCCCCAGGCAGTGAGGTGTATTTCTAGAACTTACAGTCCACTGTCACTGCTGAAACCGACTCTTCTTTCTCTAGAAGGTGTCAAGAAACTCCCACCAAAAGTGACCTTTTTTTAGCCCTCTTTCCAACCTCAGCATGAGCCACGATGTCAGAGATCTCTGTCATTACCCTTATGGCATCTGGGAGTTGGGTGTGGGGAGAGCTTCTCCAGGTGTGGGCCCTGTGGTCACCATAGGATTCAAGATTGCCACTCCCAGCATGCCCTTCATTGGGTAAAGATGGCTGAGATGTCTTTGTTTTATTTGACTGGATCCCGGTCTCCTTAGAAAAAGCCTTGCCTGTATTTACAGTGGAAAGTAGGAAAGGGATGGAAGCCCGGGCCCCACTTCCTCTGCAGAGGCAATGCGTTTGTGCGTAGAGCAGCCCGTGGGCCTTGCACGCTGCATCACCTCTACCAGGCAGCTTCCCATCAGATCCTTATATCTTTGTATAGATACCTGCTTTTCCCCCAATATGTATTCCAGTGAAATTAGAATCTGAAAGTCAGAAAATTCTAAATGTTTCTAAGTCAACAGCAATGCATGGATCTTAGGTAAGAGTCACATTATTATGTGGTAAGATATAGGTGATAGCTGGAGAATAACCAAGTGCTGTGCAGGGCTACAGAGGAAGGGGAAGAGATAATCCCTGTCCATGAAAAATAACAAGCTTCATGGGGCACACAGCCCAGGCTCAAATGAATGGCATATGTATGTAAACTGCTTATGTCTAAAACCAGGCCATTGGTGATGATCGGAGTAGCATGGGTCATGTGAGTGTTTTTATCTAAGTGGATATTTGCTCTCGGAGAGATTTATTTTACATTCCTTCTAACATTCTCTGAGCTCATGCCAGTTTGCAAAGCTGTCTCAATATTTACCAATATTTCCAGTGTTTTAAATCAATGTCCATGACTCATGTTACATTTAAATAGCTCTTCACAGTTTCAAAACACCTTCCTATACATTATTCTAACTACCCTGCAAGGTAGGAAAGTCAGGAATTATTGTCTCCAATTTACAGATGAAGAATCTGAGTCTCAGAGAGGTTAAACGCTTTGCCCAAGGTCACACAGCCAGTAAGAGGCCGAGCTGGGACTCCAGCCCAGAGCTGTCTCCTGCACCCTGATCCCTGGGATCCCTGGAGCAGTGGTGCCGTCCTTCCGCAGAGGGGACCCTGCTTCTCCAGTTCCCTCTGTGGGACCTGTCTCCTCCTGCAGGCTGCTGTACCGCTCCATCGACTCCCACACGGAAGACAAGGGCCCCATCTACAACTACCGTGTGGAGATCTCCATCTTCTTCATCATCTACATCATCATCATCGCCTTCTTCATGATGAACATCTTCGTGGGCTTCGTCATCGTCACCTTTCAGGAGCAGGGGGAGCAGGAGTACAAGAACTGTGAGCTGGACAAGAACCAGGTAGCTTCCTAGGAAGGAGCGGAGGGAAGCGGGGCCCACGGAGGGAATGGCAGCCTGCGGCCCACCCCGCAGAGGGGCTGCGACAGGGAGAGGCCGTGCAGATACTGAGATCGTCTCTCTATTCCTCAACCAGAGTGGGCTGTCAGTCTTTTTGAGGGACCTGTGCAAAAGAAATGCAAATTCCTGCAAACCCCAGATCTGGCAAATGTACTCAGCCAACAAATATCTATGAAGCTTCTACTTAAGGATACTCTATGATAGGTTTTGTCAAATCTCATGCCCTATATAGAAGTTAACAAGTTAGAGGGACCCAAGTGGGTCGGCACCATGATACGGAGGAGAGAAACTAGAACTGTGAGGGAGTGAGGGCTTTTGGGGTGGGGAACAGAACGGCTTCAGGAAACCACTCTTACATGGTTTCTTAAGTAAAACCCAGAGGCTTGTGTGGGAGGTGGGGGCAGGAAAGAGGCTTAAGTGGGAGTGAGATGGTGATGCCAAGTATCGTGACAGGTTCTGTTAGCCGTGAAGAGCTGGCAGTGCCGTGGCTGAGTCAGGAAGCTGTCGTGGTGGGAGGTAGATGTAGTGCCTCAGGTCTGTTCCCTAGCTCGGCTCCCACTGGGAGGAGTCCGTGGGGAAACACATCCCTGTCTGTGAATAAGGAGTGCCCACGGGCAGGAGCGCAGCGTGGTGTGCTCCTTGTGACCCTCGCCAGGCCAGCCAGTCCCCTGTGGGTTTTCAAGTCTACATCTCAGGCATAGACTCACTCTGCTGGCTGCTGTGTGGACCCTGGATTGAAAGAAGACAGGAAAGAGAGGAGGCCAGTTAGAAAGTGGAAATGAGAGAGGATTAGACCCCGATCTAGTATCCGGTTAATGATGGTAGCGATGGAAAGAATAGGAGGAGGTAAAAGCGTTAAGACTCAGGCGTTGGACACCGGGGCTGAGGGTTTGAGAAGAAGCTGGGGACATTCCCCAGTTCCTGATCTGGAAGCCTGGGCAAAGTACAGAGAAATGGACTGGCTCTTTGCCAGAGTCCCAAGAATCTAGTTAGCCCAGAATCTCCTTCCCTCTCAGTGAACTGTGTTTTTCCATCTTATGGACACTGGCAAATAAGAAAGATTGATTTAGTTGGCCAGGCACAGTGGCTCATGCCTGTAATCCCAGCACTTTGGGAGGCCAAGGTGGGCGGATCACTTGAGGCCAGGAGTTTGAGACCAGCCTGGCCAACATGGTGAAACCCCGTCTCTACTAAAAATACAAAAAATTAGCTGGGCGTTGTGGCGTGTGCCTGTAATCACAGCTACTTGGGAGGCTGAGGCAGGAGAATCGCTTGAGCCCAGGAGATGGAGGTTGCAGTGAGCCAAGATCACACCACTGCACTCCAGCCTGCTGGATTTAGGACAGGAAAGAAAAACTGAGGAGAGAAGTACCCAAGGAGGGTCTGTGGCATGGGAAGTAATCAGTGAGAAGCACAGCTGTCAGTCGGTCAGGAAGCACATTCTTAGCGATGCCGACTCCCTGCCGAGGCACATGCCAGGCATCACCAGGGTGAGGAAAGGAGGTGTATGGTCCCTGCCTAGGACCTTGTTACGGGGATTTGACAAGAAGGGGCTCTCTCCTTGATTAAGGGGGCCATGGAAAAATCAAGACATTTTCCAAATAACACCTCCCACCTGTAAGTGAGCCGGAGCGGCCAATGATTTCTCAGACTTCCGGAGAACCCCACCCCACAGTGTGTGGTCTCATCACATCCCACACTTCTCTGCCAGCTCCCCCCACACCCTCCAGTTAACTAACCCCACTCTCCCCATCCTCCACCACCCTCCCAGCGACAGTGCGTGGAATACGCCCTCAAGGCCCGGCCCCTGCGGAGGTACATCCCCAAGAACCAGCACCAGTACAAAGTGTGGTACGTGGTCAACTCCACCTACTTCGAGTACCTGATGTTCGTCCTCATCCTGCTCAACACCATCTGCCTGGCCATGCAGGTCAGTCCCAGGAGGAGCACAGCCATGGTGCTGCAGAAGGGAGTGTGCCATGGGGATGGAAAGTGTAACGGAGCGGCAGGCAGCTCAGTGCATCGCTTTCCTGGTCACCAAGGGAGGCATTTGGAGAAAGACGAGTGTTCTCTGTCAAGGATGTGCTCCTCTCTGGGCCTTACGGAAGAATCCATGGCACCCTGGGTTGATCAATGGAGAGAGGGGAGGAGATGGAGAAGGGAGGGTTGAGCTGAATGCATTCATTGTTGGTTGATCAATGGAGAGAGGGGAGGAGATGGAGAACGGAGGGATGAGCTGGATGTGTTCGTTGTTGGTTGATCAATGGAGAGAGGGGAGGAGATGGAGGAGGGAGGGATGAGCTGGATGCATTCCTTGTTGGTTGATCAATGGAGAGAGGGGAGGAGATGGAGAAGGGAGGGATGAGCTGGATGCGTTCGTTTTTGGTTGATCAATGGGGAGAGGGGAGGAGATGGAGAAGGGAGGGATGAGCTGGATGCATTCCTTGTTGGTTGATCAATGGAGAGAGGGGAGGAGATGGAGAAGGGAGGGATGAGCTGGATGCGTTCATTTTTGGTTGATCAATGGAGAGAGGGGAGGAGATGGAGAACGGAGGGATGAGCTGGATGTGTTCGTTGTTGGTTGATCAATGGAGAGGGGAGGAGATGGAGGAGGGAGGGATGAGCTGGATGCATTCCTTGTTGGTTGATCAATGGGGAGAGGGGAGGAGATGGAGAAGGGAGGGGAGGAGATGGAGAAGGGAGGGATGAGCTGGATGCATTCATTGTTGGTTGATAAGTGGGGAGAGGGGAGGAGATGGAGAAGGGAGGGATGAGCTGGACGCATTCGTTGTCGGTAAGGTGTGGCGTGTGGAGGGAGGTGGGTTCTGCATCCACCTGTCTTCAGGGACAGAGCTTGTTCCCAAGCTCTCTTGAGTGCCAGAGTCTCCATAAAGTTGTCACGGCCAACCAGGGAAATGAACACAGATGTGTTCAGAGATGGCAGAGCAGGGAAGATCTTGGAGGTTCTCCTGAGTCCTCCTGACTGCCCACGGAGAGGTGGGCGGCCCTCTGGGGGTTTGGTTCAAGGAAGGTCTTGCTGAGGCGAGGGCCTTCGAGAAGGCTGGGCAAAAGGTGGGGAGGAGGAGCGACCTCCCTGCCCCGTGTTCACAGCTCCTCCCCTCTCCTGATGCAGCACTACGGCCAGAGCTGCCTGTTCAAAATCGCCATGAACATCCTCAACATGCTCTTCACTGGCCTCTTCACCGTGGAGATGATCCTGAAGCTCATTGCCTTCAAACCCAAGGTAGGCCTCTGAGAAAGACCTTTGATTCCCAGGCATCAGGGGTGGACAGAACGGGGAGGTGGGGTGCAGGTATTGAAGGCAGAATGAGGGGAAGAGGGAAAAAGGCATCGGTGAAGGACCATCCCTGCTCCGATGGTCAGTGCCCCAACTCCTACACCTGCCCAGAGCTGAACCAGGCCAACTCCAGGAAACACTCTCAGCTCTCAGTGTTGACCCTGGCTGGCATGCACAAGCTGCAGATTCCTCGCTGAGCTGAACCTCTGAGCCTCTCCTAGGAGAGGCAGGTGATGGTCTTTCTCCTATGTCCCATCCTCTAGTACATAACCTGTTAATAGAAGAAACTATGCTCATAGACTGGCAGACCAAACCTCTCCAGGCCCAGCCCCCCAGATCCACTCAGGCCTCTGTTCCACCCTCCTCCCATTTCATCAGCCACACAGACCAACCTCATATAAAACATTCAGCCAGGGCTGGATTTGCTCAGGGCTCAGGACTGAGGGCTCCAGCCCATGGGCACTCCTGTTCCCTGCCTAAGAGGCTATGGCATTGCTCCTTACATGCTCTGGGGCAGGAAGAACAATTACCAGCAAATTTCTCTGCTTTGTTCCTTGTGTAAGGGCAAGAAGATTAGGCCTGCTGCTGAATGAGGCAGGGTCAGAATTCCTGTTCTTTGGATCATCTGTGCCCTTCCTAGCCAGTCACCCCCATTGTCCTCAGTGGTGGAGGAGCAGACACTGGTATGAGCCACACCTTCCACCCTGGGCCTCTGTAGATGGGTCAGAATCACGGGTATCCACTGGCCGGGATTCACCACCAGGACAGCTGCTTCTGAGGGAGGCTATAAGAGCAACTGAGCAGCCCCCAGGCTACCATAACACCTTTTGGAGAAGGATGAGAAGGAACGAGTTCTAGGAGCATCATGCAGTTACAGACTTGAGACAATCTCTCCAGCTTACTGAGCCTTCCCCTCCCTCCTTTGGTAGTTTTCCCAGAGGCAACACAGATCAACAGGAGGCCAAGAGCAAGAATCCCTGGCCATATCTTCTATTTTCATTCAAGTTTTTACTGGTCTCAAGATTAATTGGGGGTGGGGGAGGGTCCAGCTCGGCCTTTGAATCCATGTTCATTGAGGAGATATCCACAGCCTTCTTTGAATGAATATTCACTCACACTTTGGATTCCATATCATGTGCTACATGTATATCATCGCACGTCATTCTCAAAACGTCCCTTTAAAGTAGGTATTAGCATCCCTCTGTGGAGAAGGGGGAAGGGAGGCTCAAACAATTAAGTGCCCAGGATTAATTGATCCACTGCTAAGAACTGGCAGAACGGAGACTGGAATCCGGCACCTCTGACTTCACTGTATTTTCCACCACACTGAGGTTAACTATCATTTTCCCATGTCAAG
Organism: Homo sapiens; assembly: GCF_000001405.40. NCBI lineage: Eukaryota > Metazoa > Chordata > Mammalia > Primates > Hominidae > Homo > Homo sapiens. Next base: position 961,541 of record NW_018654718.1, read on the forward strand.
TGTTCTGCGGGTATTTTTTAGCAAGAGGGAAACAACCTTGGAGGGACTTAAAAGATAAGACAATATTCCTACAATGCAGATTCTTCTGTCACTCAAAGAATGCCTGGGGATCCCAGCTGATTTTCATAGAGGAAGTCTCCTAAGGGACATCCTTTGGTGATAGAACGGTGGTTTCCTGCCTTCTCCAGAGAAGCAAGTACACTCTTTTTCACCTTCCTGTACAAGTCCCATTTAGGAGGACAGATCTTGTCCTGACCTAGAGAGGACCCCTGCGTTGCCCTGACACCTTCCTTAGGGTACACGGTGTCTGTGCCCACACATGGTCCTATTCCAAGCCCTGCAGCCCAGGAGCTCTGACAGTTCGCCACCCACAGCAGCATGACCAGCTGAGGCCAGGAGTGCAGTCACTGCCTAGCCGAGCCTCAGTCTCGGATGACTCCTCTCAGTGGGGAAACTGGCATCATTTTCATACAGTGTCACGAGACATATGGTTTAAATATTTCAAAGCCTTGAGTCATTCCACAGTTGACTCAGATGTGTTTCTGACGATGTCTGAGGCAGTCTGGAGAGCCTGCAGTGGACTTTCTGAATCATGCCTCCTGAGCACGGGAGACATACAGACAACCTTCCCTGGGAAGTGCATGAAATTGACACCTGCAGGAGCCTCCGTCCTCCGTCTAAAAGACACTCCACCTAAATCCTGCCAATCAAGGAACAAGCCAGTTTCCTAGGAAGTAACCATTGCGAGTGGTCTAAACTGTAAAGTGCCTCCTAATTTCCTCTGTCCCTGGTTTTCTATTGTGAGAAGATGGGGCAAGATAACAGAGACTTTTACCCAAGAAGGAAGACAGCCATCCTGGGCCCATTTGCATTTCACATTCCAGGGTACATCTATGGTGTAAAGAGAAAGGAAAATGGATCTTTCCCTGTGAATTTCCCTAAAGGGGCTCTGGCAAGAGGGGGATAAAGGTCACCACCCAGTTAGGAGCATCATGGAGCACAGCTGAGTCCCTGGATTCTTACTGAGCTATGTTCTTCATTCACAAATAGACTCCAGGTAAAGCAGCTCCAAAATTTTCAGGCAGAAAACCAAACTGGAAAAACTTGAAGCTCTGGAAGAATATCCAGCTGGATCTGGCCCAAGAACCAGTGGCTTCTAACCATGACCTGAATCCATGACAACTTTCATTTCCCACCATTAAGTAGGACTCTGTGCTGCACTTTTTATTTCACTGGCATGGTTGTTTGTGTATGACCCAGATGAGCATCAGCATTTGCTGTGAAAGGATGGCTAGGAACCAAGGATGTTGAAGACAGTCTGAAGTTGTCACTGCTTATGTTTCGTCTCTGCAACTGGCTGGTTGGTTGGTCCATCAGCCGGTCAACTTGTATTCTTGCTTCATTCTTTCATTGTTTTCATGGTCATGGATGTTCCCAATTTCTTCATTTCTGTGTGTTCTCCTCACCACTCCATGGAAAATAAATTTACTCAAGTAAGTCCCTGCCTTAAATCTAACCATCCCACTCCTTAAATTCATACTCTGTTCAAAAAAAAAAAAAAAATCACACAAAGAAACTAGGAATCAACATAAACCAGTTTAGATTGAGTCGGTCCCTGACAAAGCCTCAGGAACCTGCAGGCATGGTTTGAAGAGAGTGAGGTGGATCATGCCAGCATTGATTTGAACAGTGAACAGTGACCCAGAAGGATCTCCTTCCCTAGAAGTGAGAGGCCATGACCTGGAGATAACTGGATGGCCCCTGCACCCCACACGAAGGTGCAGGACCAGGCTGGGCAGCACGAAAAGTGCTGGCTGGAATATTCTGAAGGTAATTAAATAACTGGATAGTCCTATCATGAACTGAAGCTTGTCAGCAAAGACAGGAAAATAAATTTTGAAGATACTCTTATAGATTTGATAAACTGAAAAATATGCAATGCCTGGGGAAAAAGTCTAACAGAAATGGCTAAGATCTCTACAGAGAAAATGATAAAATTGAAAGGAATTCAAGAAAAGCTGATAACTGAAGACATCTATCATGTTCCTGAATTGGAAAGCTCAATATTATTAGGATATCATTTCTCCTCAAACTGATCCATAGGCTCAATACCATTCCAGTTAAAACTCCCAATTGCACTTTGCTGGAGGTGAGGATGGCAGGAGAGGGAGCCACACGTAAATCCTTTACGGCCAACAGGATGAGGCTGGGTGGTCCTGAGGCTTCAGCCCCTTCGGGCAGCTCTGAGGTCACCAAGGAGGGAATGCACAGGAGCCTGGCGCGGGAAGCAGTGTCTGTCTCAGCTACTCCAGTGTCGGCTGCTGGTTTGGTAGTGGGAGTGATGATGTCACTTAGTTGCCTGAGGTTTGCTGTCGAGGATGTCTCAGCAAGGGTACTGGGGGGGAGGAGCTGCAGGAGGCGATGAGTGAGAGGCTGCGCTCCAAGCTTCTCCTCCTCAGTGGAATGTGGTATGCCAGGAAGGCAGGGGTTCACCCCGTGGAAGGCTCCTAACTCCTCCCCTCCACACAGGCTCCACCTGGGCCGCAGAGGGGTGAAGCAGCTGAGACTCACCTCTGCCCCTCAGCTGAAGCCATCCCACTCAGGGAGTAGCCAGTGATCACCTCCCCAAGAGGAGGACGCTGGAAGGGCCTTGACCCTGGCAGCTCTCTGGAATCCAAGTCTCGGTCTCCCTTTTTGGCTTTCCCCCAGCCTGAGAATGGTCCAGAGGGGAGAATGGACCCAGAGTGAAAGCACTCATTGGCCCCTCTGACCCCCTGCTTTCTTGAATAAGCAGCTGAAACCTCGGGAGGCCTGGCCCCTTTCCCACACGTTCCCAGTCTCCGCTCTCTTTCTGTCTGGGCCTCCTCAGCCCAGCTGCTCCAGCTTCACAAAGCCAGATGGTTTCTCTCATCCCCCTACCCTTTCTTCTGGTGATTTTCAGCCAGAAGTTGACGCATATATAGTGGAGCCCCTCTTGACTGGGTTAGACAGTCTCTCGCCCTGGCCGAGTGAGTTTCTCCCACTGTCAGTTGCCCCAGCCCTCCCTGGCCTTCCCCAGCCAGTGGCAGCTGCAAGCACCCAGCCCTTTCCCTGCAGACTCTTTCCCACCCAGTCCTGAGCTGGCCCTAAGAAGGCAGCAAGCGCAGGTGAGGTCTGGAGTTAGTCGCTGCTGCGAGCCCCCATAGGGCGTGTCCCGTGAGCCATGGGGCACCCAGACACTCTTTTCCACAGTCGATTGGACTTCTGTCTAGACTTCCCCATCAGCATTTTATTGCCCTAGTGACAGAAATCTAACAGCCGTGAGCCCCTCTGGGTTCTTAGCTGACCCCCTCTGGGGTGCAGAGCCTTGTCCAGCTGCTGGCCAGACTTGCCGCCTCATGGCCTCCATGCCACTTCCGAAGTGGAGGCAGCCTCCTCACCACGGCTCCTCTCCAGACTTCCTGCCGGCGCCCTTGCCCTGCACGCTGGTCTCTGCTGGGCCCGACAGGCCTTACCACAGCCATCTGGGGCTGTGGCTCCTGTCTGCCACCACACACAAAGGACGTGGCTGGCATTTTCAGAGGATCAGCTAAGAATGGGGCAGCAGTTCAGTTGCCACAGTCTTGTCTGCTTTGAAGCCCCTGTTATCTTTCAGGAAAGAGGAAATGAAGGCAGTGAAGCCTTGGCCTTGTCTGCTTCTCAGAGAGTAGAGAGGCAGAAAGAGGAGCGGTTTCTCCGGTCCCCCACCTGTTGTCCTGAGGAATCCATCAACGAGGCCCTGGGCACTTCCTTTATCGAGAGTGAGGGATGAGTCAGGACTAGTCGGTAGCCTGGTGAATGAGATGCTACCAGAACCAGAGCTGCTCGGGACCCTGGAGGTCAAATGCTGGCTCTCTCTTGGGGCCACTCTTCATAGCACAGCTCTGGGCCCAGCCTTGCCCCGGTCTCACTGACACATATGCCAGCTAAGCTATAGGGAGGGCCAGGGGGCTCTGGAATGGTCGTCCTAGTGGCGAGCACCTGGAGTTCGTGTGCCAAAACCAGCCCACTCTGCATCGTGAAGGCTCTGAGCTGACAGAGGCTGTTGCTGGCCTTGGACTTTCCACACTCAGGGGCAGCCGTCCTCGTATCCAGTGTGCCCATGTGGGGGCAGGGATCCTGTGGCTTCCAGAGCAGTCTTTTCTCTGCAGGCTCTGCTGTTCTTAGGACTGGTTTCTGCTCTTACAAATGATTCTTGGCCCTGACATGGGTGGCCACAGGCCCTGCGGAGGGGAGAAATCTTTGGGGATACCCTGAGGATGTGGCTCAAATGGAAGGGTCATCACCAGCTGCCTTGTTTTCACTGGGCTTGTGTCGAAAGGCACAGATGAGGGCTGAGTTGGGGCTGTAGGTTCGCATATGGATGGGCAGAGGGAAAGTTGGAATGAGGAGGTGGGTGCATGGGGAAGTTCACTTGCTTCCATAGAGAAACAACAGCCCAGTTTCTCATCTACTCTGTCAGCTCTGTCCATGTCTAGAAACTTCTGTCCTTTAGATTTAGCATCTGGCCTCTTTGGGCAAATAGCTTTCGTCACATGACCCGAAGATACTGTGGTCCCTCCTCCAGCCAGCTTGGGGTTCTCCAGGGGCATCCATGCCCTGTGCAGATGCAAGGGGACTTTGGAGGCTGAGGGTCCGGATTGCTCAGGTGTGGACCTGCTGTTTTAGGTGTTGGAGTCTGTGGCGCCAGGAGTGAGCTGCTCCCAGGAAAGGGACCAGATTCTGACATTCCCCTGGCAGGTGGAGAAGTTGGGAGGGCACCCTCAGCAGACAACTCAGCCCCCAAGTCAAAGGTCAGATCTGCTTGTCTGAGCAAGGGAAGAGAAACCACCTTTACGAACTGTGGGCCAGGCCTCTTTCCCACCCAGGCCAGGGTGTCAGTCTGGATGGTAATCAGACATGTTCTCTGCCCCCGGGAGGAGGCAAGTGGACGGCACACCAAAGAACAGGCTCCTGAAGGTTGCCAATGGTGACAGAAACAGCCACAGGAGAAGAGAGTGCATGAGCCTGTGTCAGAGCAGCGGCTCATCAGCCTAAGGAGAGGTGTGGCAAAGGCCACGAGGCCCCAAACTGCCCCACCGGTGCCCTGGGGCAGCCAGGGCTGAGGCAGTGGGAAGAATGCCAGGGCCAGAATTCCTCTAAAGACACCAATGTGGCCACCTGAGGGGCCAGGGGAACCCTGCAAGCTAAATCCATCAGGCCTGAGCTGAGCCTGCCCCGGAGGCAGGAGAGACTCCGATGTCCACAGACTCTTCCATGGACTGTTGAGAGACATTTCAGAACGTGTTCTTAAAAGCTCAGTCAAGGACCAGGAGAAGGAAGGGGAAGTGGGATGGCCAGGAGGAAAGGATGCACACTGGAGCCCGTTCCTCTTTTTGAAAGCGGAGAATCTTCTAGGAACTTGGTTTGTTTTTCAGTCATGTTTTCGGCAGCAATGACATTGCTGGCTGAAATGTACTTTCTCTCCAACTTGACCTCTGCCTCCACCTGCACCGCTCACCAGGAATCATCCTCTTCCAACTGTTTTAAATTAGCCATGCACTTCTGTATGATGCAGTAATTTTTGTGAAGTTTTAATTTTTACAAAGCAAATTTTGCTTTATGTCTTCGCTTCATCATCCACTGACCCCAGATCCCACCCAGAGAGGAAATTCTGGTAGATTGAGACCCAGGAAGCCTAGATCCCACCTCAGCATCACCTTGAACCAGCCAGGGCTGAGCAGACGGGACAGGAAGAGCTTCCTACAAGCACTTGTTCCTTCCATGTCTGTTTCTCTGTAAAGTAGGAAGACTGCCTTAGCATACTGTGGTGAGACTGAGTGAGGTCATATCTACAGAGGAATGAAGGCTTCAGGGAAAGTGCCATTCAGATGAAACTCAGCCGGATCCCTACGCCTGGGGAGTTTGCGCCCAGCCCTCTAACTCAGCACCAAAGGAACTTCACCTCCAGCCTGGGTGTGCCCTCTTGTCTGTGACCATTTTAAATGGGCCCTTTTGCAATATTGGTATTCTGTCGTCTTTCATCCTGAGCCCATGTATTCTATCCCTTCAGTCTGATTTCTGTCTCACACCATGAAATAACTTTAAGGCTCATCTTAATGCATCCTTGAAGTTGGGTTGTGCAAGCATCAACGACGCTACCAGCATCTAAACTATCACTCCCCTTTCCTGTGGCTAATGCAACCCATTAGTCGGCTTTTCAAGCCTTCAGCTCAGTTTTTCACCATTCCCTCTCTTTCTCGGTGCCTAGGCCTTGCCATTCTTCGTATTCTTTATTTCAAGAACTCTTTGTTTGTGTGACTTGCTTAGTGTTTTGCTGCAGGCTAAAGTTCACCAACAACCCCCAAAATATTTTGTTGAGCAGCTCACGTGCTAGGCGGTAGGCTTGGTACCAGGGACTCAATCATGAATACAAGCAGGTAGGTAAGGCCACACTTGCCTGGGGCGACTTTGGCCCACTCTTGAGACTTGTAGCATCCCCAGTTCACCCTCTCATTTGTCACTAGGAAAACTCCTGTCAGCTGGCATTCATATTTCAACTTAAAAGAAGCAGTCGATAATCAATGCCTACACCTGAGATCAAGTAACATTTAGAAGCACTGGAGGGAAGCAAACAACATATATTGTCAATGAAGAACCAGACATGAAGCTGGATATTTTACTTGCCTTATCTCATTCAATCCATAAGACGAATATTATGGCCTCCCATTTTACATCTGAAGAAACTGGAGGTCAGAAAAAGGCTAAGTCCAGAGCTGGCTTTTTGTTGTTATTGTCAGTTTGTAACAAACACCATCCTGCTTAGTATGCACCCTAATACTGCTCTAAGCACCTTAATAGGAATGCATTTAATCATTGTAAAAATCCTGGGATTCTATTGCAGGCTTAGGTGACTCAAAAGCCACTCTTTCCACGACAACCCTATTAAAACAAGAAATGTGAATAAGCCATGTTGTTGCTATGCGCTTAGTGAGTCCTCAGTAAATGTTAGCTGTCTTCCTTCTAAGATCCGAGACAGAAAGAAAGAAAGCCATTCTCGAGTCACCACCCTCTGGAATGGAAAGTGTTCACTCCACTCCTGTGTCCTGCCACCTTCTCTGAGGCCCCTTGCCGTCCTTCCCTCTCATTCAGCCATTCTGTCTGTGGCCCCTGCATTCCCTAGATTGCTTTGGACCTTTGAATTTTGTTTCCAAATCTGAGTTGACAAGCACTTTCAGGAGAGGGGTAGTCAGCTGACAGGTGGGCTCAGGAAAGTGAAACCGAAGCCTACTACACACTCATCTGCATGTGTTTCCACACACACATGCACACACATTTGCAATGGGAAGACTTACACATTGGGGACACAAAAATTGCCAAATTCATCAATGGCGGGAGCTGTTTCATGTTCATCTCTGTGCCATGAGAGGCATTCAGTGAAAGTTTGATGCATGCATGCATGAATGGATGAATGAGAATTGTGAGCCCGGAAAAGAAAGTCGGAATATTAGTGTCAGAAAGGATTGAGACCATTGAGCTTCCATCAGTGCAGAAATCTCTACACAGTCCTACTTTCTGCCATACAAGTCTCCTTGTTTCTAGAGGTAGCTCTGTTGGAAATCCTTCTTTATACTGAATTAAAATGCACCCCTCTGTAACTTCCACTTATCCGTACTTCCTTTTCCATCTTTTCTTTCTATAAGTAGTTCTTGAGCGCCTCAGTGATGATGTTGAAGCATGGTACCATCTTTATAGGGCTCACAGAGTAGTGCGGGAGACACCAATACACAACAAACAAAGGTTTCAGATGGGGTAAGGGCTGGGGTGGGGAAACTAAAGAGTGTGAGTGAAGAGGCACCTGTTTAAAATAAGGAGGTCAGGAAGGCACCATTTCTGCTGAGCCCTGGAGGGTGAAAAGGAGCCAGAAGAGGAGCATTTCAGGCAGAAGGAAGAGCAAAGACCCCGAGGCAGGGGCAAGCTCAGCTCGCTCTGGAAACTGAGAGTGGCGCGTGAAAAGGACTGTGCCAGAGCGCACAGGCCCTTCAGGATCACGGTGAGGGGTGTGCACTTCCTCTGACTGTCCTTGGAAACCGCAGGGATGGGCCATTCAGTGGGGAGGATTATATAATCTGATTTTCATTTTTTAACCAGCATGCTGGCTGCTCATTGACAAATGACTGGTGTGGTGAGATGGGGAGCAGCAAGGAGCCTGATGCTGGGAAGGCAGGTGGCAGTGGAAGAGATGGAGCGAGGGGGGCAGAGTCATGACATCACTGGATGGCGAATTGGATGTGAGGGTGAGGAACAGGAATCAGAGACGGCTCCGGGGTTCCTGGCTTTCCCTGAGTGGATGGAAGAGTGGTGTCATTTGCTGAAATAGAGAAGAACAGGAAGAAACCAGTTTAAAGTGAGAATGTGGGGATATATTAGGTTAGAAAATGTCACGTAGGCTGTGAAAATCTGGAATTCAGACAGGCGATCTGGGCTGGAGATGTATTTTAGGAGTCAGCGCCATCTATTCCCTCTGAAGATAGAAACTCCAAGAATCCTGTCCAGAAGCCTTCAAGTCCTGGGAGAAGAGTTGGAGAACATGCAGAATCACAAGGAAACTGGGAGAGAAGAGAGGAAGGAGAAGGAAAGGGGTCTGGAGGCCAAGAGCCAGGAAGGCTGAAATGAGGGGTGGAGAAGAAAATATCATTCCCCAGGATAAGAGTAGGGATGAGTTAAGCCAGCTGCGGAGAAGAAAGAAACGGTCCTCCAGGCCTTCTAGAAACTGAGGACAGGCAGAGGGAGGCCAGAATGCTGCCCTGCTGTCCAGAGGGTGACATGAAAAGGGCCGGACAGAGGCCAGTGTGTGCAGGCCCTTCAGGACCACAGTGAGGAGTGTGGACTTCCTCTGACTGTCCTTGGAAACCACAGGGATGGGTCATTCAGTGGGGGAACTGCATAATCTGATCTGGGGTCTTCAGTGTGCACCTTTACCCTCACCCACGTCCTCCCATACTGAGCATCACAGAGGTCCCTGACTCTGCCCCTCCTTCTCCCATACTAGAAATCCTTGCCCTGGAGGAGCTCAAAAGCCAGGCCTTCCCAGACCTTGCTGGACATGTTTGCGACAGAACCAGGGCCCTTTCCTTTTCCCAGCTGTGCAGAATTGAATTTGCAGTCCTCATGATTCCATAAAAGGAGTTTCCAAGACAGACCTTCTGCACTTCTCTTTGGCTAAGAGGTTCTTTGCTATAAAAAACACAGGATAATGGGGGAGTGTACCCCGCCCCCAGCCCAATGCTGAAGCTAGGGACAGGCGTTCTCATACAGCTCTCTTCTTTCCTTCACAATCTTTCCTCTCTCCTCGCTCTGCCCACCACCCACCACCTCACCTGTGTTCCGCCCCTACAATGGTCAGGGCAGCCTGAGGCTCATAAGTCTGGCCGGCTCAGTTTTCCATCTCCTGGTGGCCTTCTGTGGGGCCTCAGGACAGATCTTCAGGGCCAGTGGCTGTTCTCAGCCTCGTGGGGATAACCCTGACCACAGCAAGAAATGCCCTGCTCTTGGAGTCACTTTTGAGGAAGACGTTTTCATCTCTATGTAGTCTTTCGATGTACAGGGAAATGCCTTAAAATCTTTTGCAGGAGCCCAGGCCTTCGTCGTTCACTGCTCTGTGTTCAGCCCTGCTCTTTGGGAAGGTATTCAAGAACAGTCTAAGATGTTGCCTGAAGAAAAAAAAGTGGCAGTCTAGTGGGACAAGGGTTTAGGATTTGGGATGAAAGGAAAGTGGCTGTGATTGGGTCACGTTCAAACATCGAGACTGTTGGTTCCTGCCTGGCATTCTCCCTCCCATCCCTCCCCTGCCGTAGCCTCTCTGGGTCCCTGCAGAAGCTTCGCTGTTCCTCGTGGTTCTGCTTGGTCCTGAGTGCCCCCACGAGCCTCTCCATGGTTCCCCATTGTCCACAGAGGAAGCTGCTCTGGCCGGCCCCGTCCTCCAGCCCTTGTCTCCTTTTCAGAGCCACCCATGCTCTCACCTTTTCCGTGTAATAAATAATAAACACCTCTAGTGCTGCATCCTTCAAGCTGCCTCCCGAGATCAGCCTGGCTAGAAGTGGTCTCCACCACCTCTGAGCTTCCAGAGCACCCTTTTCCCTCTTTTCTGGTACTTAATCAGAGCTCTTGATGGAAATGTCTCATCCTTCCAGCAGGACTGGAAAGTCTTTGAGCAGGACTGTCTCTTGGTGGCATCCACACTGACCTCCTTCCAAATGCTAGCCCAGGAATGCCGTGTGCCTGTCATCTCTGTCAGTGTCAGCTGAATGAAGGCCAACGGAAGACAAGACAGGCAGCTTCCTCTGGGGTGCCCCTCCTCGCAAAAGTGACTCCAGCCCCTGGCTCACAAGCTCCGGCATCCAGCAAGGACACCCCCTTCAGTTCTCCACCCACCACAGGAGCTTGTCACTCTCTGGGGTGGTCTGCCGGAAGAGAAAGCAGAGATGGAAGGCAAAGACAGTGGCTCCGGAGCCGCCATCCGTGCCGTGCTCAGCAGGACTTAGCAGCATGGCCACCCAGGTCAGGGAAATTCTGGCTCAAGTGTGCTCAGACAGTTCAGTGCAGAACTCAGGGCCAGTGAGAGGTGCTGGGCCCTGAGACTACCTCAGGCCAAAGTTCTGAAATTCAACCCTCCCAGGCTCATTGGAGGATGGGGTCCTTGTTTGGGGGTTTGTTTTGTGTCATTGGTTTTTTGTAACGCCGATGAACACTTCCACAGACCTAGTGTTCTACAGAACACAGTTCTGGAAATCTGTAGGGCGTCACCATGATTCGGGGAGGTAAAACTGACATTTAGTGTTTAGCGGGTGGGACTGAGGATGCTGAAAGTCCCACAACGTGTGAGAGGGTTCTGCCCAGTGAAGGAGCATCCTTGGGCCCTGTGGAATGTTTGGGAAATACTTATCCAAGGAGCACCCTTCATGGGTGATGTTCAGTGACACTGATAGTGGGGGAGTCTTCAGTGGCTGGCCAGGGGCCGAGGCTCAGCAAGGATAACACTGCCACTAGAAATATGACCGTATCTTGGATTGTATGACTGCATTTCCTCACTAACCTGGAATATTCACATTGAAGAACTTGAAGAGCAAGCAAGAATTTTATTTCAAAAATCGTACGGAAACCTAGACATTCTCTTGGGCTAGGTCTTCAATCCTTTCTGGACCCAGTGCTCTTCTTTTTGGAATAGTCTCCGCACCCACTGTATACTCCATGTCCCTACAGAGCTCCACAGCGCCCCGTGGTGGCCAGTGTCACCCCCTCTCTAAGAACCCACACATAGCCTCAGGCTGGCTGACTCAGCGTCTTAGTGACTTTTAGATGAAACCTGTTTATCCAATCTATTGAGAAACTGCAGTGTCTGCCACCGTCCACAGAAATCCCTAGGTAGAGAAATGCATTAAAAGGAGTAGAAAAGGGACCGGGAAAGAAGGGCAGCAGCTGCGGATGAAATGCGGCAACTCTTGCCCCAGCCTTCGCCATCGGCACAGAATTCAGAGGCCAAAGCTGTGTGGGCCAAGCTCCCGCATTCCCCTGATTATTATTTATTTGCAGAGTGCCCACGGGGCACCGGGTGCCACGCAGTGCTCCTTAGACAGGCAGGCCCCAGCTTTGCCAGGAGGACCTTCCCCCGCTCCCCCCGCCCCCCATGGCTCTGCACTCAGGGATTTGCATTTTGTTACAACACTGTGACAGGTTTCTTTCCGGCCTTGTGCTGGAGAGCTTAAAAGTCACTATGAAGCATAAAAAATAATTATATGACTTGCATAAAGCCTTCATGTGGGAAGGCTAGTATTAGCTATTACATTTAATTATTTAATGTAGAAAATTATTCACACGGTGTAAAAAAGCCCGGTGGGAAAGTACACTGTGGTTTCCGTCTCTGGCCCTGCCACAGGGAAGGAAACTGGAACACACCGGTCTGGTAGGAAGAAGAGGGATTCCCAGACCTACAGGGTGCGTCGGCGATAACCCGACCCACCAAAGCCCGAGGTGCTGCCAGTGCTTCCGGCCCTGCGCTGGGTCAGCCTGCCTTAGGGGCAGGAAGGACCTTCTGTGACACAGGCTGCGGGCAGTACAGGAAGGTAGCCTCTCAGCAAGAACCCCACCAACAACAGCAATAGTAGCAACTGTAGCAATCAGTGAGCACGTTCTCGGTGCCAGACAGGGCAGGTGTGAACTTATATCATTCTCACAAAGCCCTATAAGGGGCCAGGCACAGTGGCTCACACCTGTAATCCCAGCACTTTAGGAGGCCGAGGCCAAAGGGCCGTTTGAGCCCAGGAGTTCAAGACCACCCTGGGCAAGACCCCATCTCTAAAAAAAAAAAAAAAAAATTCTATTTTTAAATTAGACAGATATAGTGGCACACACCTGTAGTCCCAGCTCCTTGGGAGGCTGAGACGAGAGGATCTCTTGTGCCCAGGAGATGGAGGCTGCAATGAAATATTATTGCAACACTGCACTCCAGCCTGGATGACAGAGTTAAACCCTGTCTCTAAAAATAAAATAAAATAAAAACCCTACAAGGGCAAGTACTCTGGTTATTCCCATGTTGCAGGTAGGGAAGCTGAGGCACAGAGAAGTTAGGTAACCTGCCTGCACAACCCGAGGCTCATTGTGGGAAGTGAAGGCGGTCTATCATTTTATTCACATCTTGTTCAAGAGTGTGGGTGCAGGTTGCCGGCCAGATGCCCTGGCCATGCCTGGAGCTGGGCATGGCTCCCTCCCCCACAGCCACCTCTGCCCAGCGCCCTGCCTGGCGTACCTGTGCTCTCTCCAGGAGCACTCGCCCACTAGGTTAGAGAGGGCACAAGGCAGGAGTGACAGGATGGGCTGTGGGAGCTTTCTGAGAGTGCTGAGCAGGAAGGGACCTCTCTGTTTGGGGTTTGGAAAGCTCTCTCCATGGCCTTGGTCCTGTGGATTGGACTGGAAGGGGTTCTAGGCAGGCAGGCGGTTTTGAAGGCTGCCACAGATTCAAGCCCTCCCATAGCAAAGGAGAGATTGCTCCTCCTTGTTCCAGCCACATCTGATGCTGCTTGTTTCCTGCCTTCCCTTCTTCAGAGTGCATGGTGCTGTTCATTTGAGCTTAAAGTTGCCTGTGTGCATGGCCATGTGTCTGCCTAGCCTTATCCCTCTCCAAGGAGGCATTGATTCAGCACCCTAGTCCTGGAGGCACCTTTGCAGAAAACGGCTCATTTATTCCAGCATGAGTAGTGTGAAGCAGCTATTGGGATCCCCCAATCTACCCAGGTACAAACTGAGGCAGAAAAAGAGCCTCCTGAGACCCCCAAATGGAGCTTAACCCATAACCCCAAATTTTCATCTGCTCTCAGTGGGGAAGATGGCAGGCTTCAGGAGGGCTGATTCATATTCGTATGCCCAAGCCTTGCATAGTTACAGGCCTCTAGTAAGTGCTTATTATGTGTTGATGAGATAAATAAATGAATGAGTAAATAAATGGACGAAGGCCTTCAAAAATGTCCTGGGGAGGATAAGCCTTAATTCCAAAGAAAAATGGGAGCAGAAAGTGTCCAGTTAAAAGTGTGCATTCTAAGGAGTGTGTGTTCCTCCTGCAACTAGGAGAGCAGCCCCCCTCGCCTCCACCCGCCTGGGGTCCTCTCACGAGGCAAGCACCCAGCCCCCTGCCCACTCCTGCCCTTTGTCCAAGCAGTCCTCAAGCTAGCTGTGCAGCGTGTGTCTTGGGGTGCTTCTGAATTAACACATCACAGGATGGGAGCTGACAGAGGAGGGCAGAAATCCCCACCTCCTCCCAGGCTGCTGGCAGCTGTGTGCTCCAGTTATGCCTTCTCCATTAGGTGCCACTAATTTCCATGATTACTGTTATGTCTAAATGGCATCCTGGTGTAATACAATTTATATTATCTCTGCTTGGTGTCGGTTACCATTGTTTTCATGATATTCAATGGGATCAACTCTGCATAGACACACAGACACGCACTGAGACTTCACCACCACCGCCGCCAGCTGCCAGTGGGACCCAGCTCCTCTCCCCGGTTCATTCGGCTCTCATCATTTCTGGGACCCAGAAAAGATCAGTGTTTCCAGGAGCTGGGCACAGCTCCCTCCCCCACAGCCACCTCTGCCCAGCGCCCTGCCTGGCGCACCTGTGCTCTCTCCAGTGCTTGCTCACTCAAGCAGGACCTCTGCTCTCTTGCAGGGACCCCCTTCCCTAGGTCCGGTGAAGCCATCTGTTGCCCCTCCCTCCCTCAGCGCCACCCCACCGTGGCAGCCTCCAGCTGCTTCCTGACTGATGTTCCTACCCCTGTCTCCAAGGGCCCTTCAGAGGACCCGTTGTCCTTTTCCACTCTCTGTCTCAATCTCAGCAGCCCCACTTCTAATCCAGCCCCGAAGTCCTGCAGCCCCTCCAGCCAGCACGCTCCGTGACCCATGTGTCCTAGGAGGGGAAACCACGTGTTCAGAGTCAGCTTCCCCACAGGGCCGGGGAACTCAGGAGCTGGCTGCCTCCCCTGTGTTTCTTGGGGCAGATAAGGAAGGCAGGCAGGAAGGAACAGAGAAGAGAAAGAAATGAGTCATGGCAGTGACAGCACCTCTGCCCTCCAAATGCCTAAGACTGACAGCACCACCCCAGGCAAGGAGTGAAAGGTGTGCGGACTTCGTCGTGGACGCCTTCTTGCCACCAGCCTGACTGAAAGCTGGTGCGGCCTCTGCTCTGGGCAGAGAAGGAGCGAAGGACTCGGAATTGAAGGGCAAAGGCATGCACCCGTCACCCCTTCCACAGCAGTCCCCTCGCAGCTCTCCTGTAACAGACAGAAAATGGGCCCCTGCCACCACCCCTCTCGATAAAAGAAGAGTGGCTTCTAAGAACCTAGCAGTTAACTGTCTACATGAACTCGAGTCTTACAAAATGCAGCCGTGACAACCTGCACCCTGTCGCCAATCCCAAACAGCGTCAGCCAGATTTCATTCAGGAGAGTTTGAATACTAGTGACCTGGAGGATGGGCAGAAAAGACCTGAGAGACAGACTAAAGGAGAACTCAAGATTCCAGAACCTTCAGCTTCCTCCTTCCTCCTTTCACACACCTAGGCTTTGTTTCCCTGCTGTTCAGTCCCACACCCAAAATAGAACCTGTGACTCCTACGTCACTAGGCAGAGCAACGCTGGTAAATAATGACAGTGGCTGACCGGGCGCAGTGGCTCACACCTGTAATCCTAACACTTTGCAGGGCGGAGACAGGAGGATCACTTGAGACCAGGAGTTCCAGACCAGCCTGGGCAACATAGCAAGACCTCATCTCTACAAAAAAAAATTAAACAATTAGAGGGGCGTAGTACTTGGGAGGCTGAGGAGCTTGAGACCACAGTGAGCTATGATCACACCACTGCACTCCAGCTGGGGCAACAGAGAGAGACCCTGTCTTTAAAGTGAACATTTTTTTTAAAGGTAGAAATTCAGAGATTTTGGTCATCATCCTCTGTCTGGAACATTCACACATCCAGAACACCTATTCCTGAGGAGGCCGGATAGAGTCGGTATAAAGAATAGGCATCTCTTGGATTTTTTTAAAATACTTCCCTAGGTATTGGTCCTCACATTAACCCTATGCAAGACATAGGACTGGTGCTTGTATGGATAATAATCAGATTATGATTACCTCCCCTCAGAAAGCTCAATCTCCAGCCGACTAGAATAAAGACAACGGTGATGACGAGATTCTTGAAATTGCACTTGAAGGTGTAATGAGGTGGAAGCCTCTGGACTCTGGTTGCTTTTTGTTTTAAGCGATTGCACACAGAGGGCTTGGGAAGTGTTCCTCCAGTTGGCAGGAGGCCCATGATTTCTTACATAGGTAGTCATCCCATCCCTTTTCCCACTGGGAGATGGGCATGTCTTGTCTCCAAAAAGCAGAGGACCCGGGAGGTAGGCATTTTACAGCCAGGAAGTACCACTGGACCATGGCCCCACAGTTAAGACACAGTATCTGGGACCAGAAGAAAGCAATAAAAGATCAGGACACATGTGCCTTGTGGATGGGAGCAGAAGAAATGGCAAGTTCTGAGTGCTTTGGATGCATGGTCTCCTTTCACCCTCACCTCAACTCTGTGCTTTATCCCATGTTCTAGGTGTGGAAACAGTGGTATAGGGAAGTTAAGTTATTTGTTCAAGGCTACCCAGCTAGTCAGTGGCAGAGGTAGTGTCTGAATCCAGATCTGCCTCCAGAGATCAAGCTTTTCACCAGTATGCTGCCTCTTTCAACTTGGTATATCTCCAACGATGGAGCCAAATCAGGGCATGGACAACCAAAATGGAAGAAAATCCACAATTCTCGTGCATGTGAAATGCATCCTATGATGCTTTTGCAGCAGTTGTTCCTTCCCAGCAATGATTTTCTGATGTCAATAACAATTTGGTGACCATTTTCTCAGCCCACCCCTATCAGTGAGTGGAGGTGCTCTGGCACTCAGGCCTAGGTACTGGGACCTGCCCTGAGATGGCCAGAGGAGAGGCCCATCTTATGAACACATCTCCAGAGTGGGGAGTTGGAAGGGGGAAATCCACTCAGCCTGTGGGATTGGGGGATGGCGAGGGCAAGGCTTCCAGCTGCAAAAACGCTTTCCCTTCTGGGCAGCCCGCCCTGCGTGGCTCTGAGGAGCTGGACAGTAGAGGTTTGGTTTGCCACTTCAAGGAGAGCCAGGAAAACCCTTTCTCCAACCCCTTACTTCTCAACCATTTGGGACACAGTCACCAGAGAAATAAGGGGCAACAGGTATAACCAGACTCCAGGTCAGACTGATTTCGTAAGACGTGTATGATTTTTTTCCCACCCTCCCTTCTCCATTACACCCTTAAAACCCCTATTACTAATGGTTTCCAGCAACCGAGGGGGCGGGCAAAAACAGAGAGAAGAGAGATGAGACAGCATCAAGCCCTTCCACTCCCGAGAGTGTTGGGAAAAGTATTCCTCCTAGGACCCAACCACCTGGGGACTTGGGGACCAGCAGGAAGGACCTGGGCCTTGTTTCTGGGCAGGGTGTGGTCCAAGTGGGAGGAAGGGGCTGTTGAAATAGTGGGAGGAGGGGACAAAGGGGCAATGGGGATGGAGGCCTGAAAGCTGGCCCTGAAATTGTCTTCATGGTCCAGCTGGAGGACTGAGGGGCTCTGGGCACCAAAGGCAGGACGGTGGGAGGATGGGTCAGGGTGAAGAGCTGCCTCTTAAAGGGACCCTGTTTGTGCCCAGACATGTACCCTCACCCACTGCATTCCAGCTCTGTGGAAATCCCCCAGGGCTGGGGCACAGGAGCTCTCAGCGACAAGGAACCTGGTTGGTTTCTGCAGCTCCCAGGTAGTGTGCCACCAAACAGATGTCAGTCTAAAGCCTGGAGTAGCACAGCCTGCTGAGGACAAGTGTGAGGCACAAGGCCTTAACTCCAACAGAGCCCAGCCAGTGCCAATCCAGTGAGAGCCAGCGTGGAGCCATGGGAGGAGGGGGCTCCCATGGTCAAGAAAGAGGGGGCTGTGCCTTCTGTCTGCACATATACAAAGAAATCTGGGAGAAAGGGTGACCAGGGGTGCACAGCCAGGCGGTTAACAGGGTTCCTTTAGGTCTCAGCCCTTCACCCTGGTGTGCCCGCTGATTAACTGTGTGTGTTTCTCTGGTTTTCAACACCAAACCTTTGCTCTGTTCTGTCCATTTCTTCCTTTTCCTTTCTCCATCTTAGAGGTGTTGCAGACCAAGGCCAACTTACCCATTTTGTTTCAGGTCTCTCTGGTGGATGAAGATTCCAACTCATCCTCCTTTCTTGAGCACTGACACTCACACCTTCCTCTCTCTCCTCCTCCTCCCACACCGAAATAATGTTTTCTTGCACGCTTTCTAGGCTGATGCAGAGAATTCCTGGATTCTGCTCTTGTTCTTGTTTGTCTCCCTTCTCTTCCTTGACTTCCCTGCCCTTCCCTTCTGAAATAGCTCTACCCCACAAAGACAGTATTCATATCGAGAGGGTCACCCAGTGTTTTCCAAAATCTAATTTTAAGTCTTATGCATAGCTGTAGTTCATCTGGGGTCTTCACTTCTTATTTCCCTCTCCCCAAAATCACTATTCTCCTTTTGCCCTGTGAATGATATCTGAGAACCTGAGAGCGAATTGGTTATTTCCTGCTCATAGCATGTGACTTAAATGGGAGAAAGAAGTCTCTCTGCCTCATAGGCTCCACTATATTCAGAAAAATACCCTGGGAAGCCAACAAGAAAGCCCTGATTTGAAGCTGACCCTCACCTCACCCACGCCCTGGTCAGCTAATCTCTGCTTCACCCATCCTGGCTGTCCAGTCTCCGGGGTGGCGTTTCTGTTTTCTTTCGGCAGAAATGCCTGGGAACCGAAAGGCCCCTTTCCCTGTGACCTGACCTCCCACGCTAAGAATAACAGCCCCAGGACAGCATGTCTTTCGGTCCCTCTGGAAAGAGGGCATGGCTGGGAAGTGGGAAGTTAAGGGAGCTGGATAGAGCTGGGAGGAAAGGGAAGAACACAGATTCTTGGCTTTGTGAGTAAAAAATGAAGAGGAAAAGTTGGCAGCCTTCAAGTGAGCTGGGGAGAGATCTGGGGAACCTCTCGGAGGACGCTTCATGCTTTCATACCCCACTCCGACCTCAGAATTCCACCTCCTGGAAGCCCAGAGGGCAGGCAAATACTGGTCCCACTGAAAAAATGTGGCCAGCCCTGTCTTGTCCCCTTCGCAGACCATTTCTAAACTAAAGGCGTGAATGTTTTTTCTTAAAGAAGACAAATCTCTGTAGTACTCGGTCCTTCCCCCTCCACCCATGGGGAATATGACCGCCTGTAGCTGGGGGTGTATGGGGACTATGACCGCCTGTAGCTGGGGGTGTATGGGGAATATGATCGCCTGTAGCTGGGGGTGTATGCACCCATTCAGTCACAGAACATCGCTGTGCAGGCCCCTACACCTCCTACACCCAAGAAATCCATCTGCTAAAGAGTCCACTCATCCAGGACACCTGGGGTCCTATAGGGCCTCTGGGACAGCCCATTCCTTGGTTGACCTGTTGTCCAAGTACATGAAAAAAGTCTTTTAAGAACATTCGTCCCTTCTCTTCTCCAAACATGGTGAAAAATAAACAAAATCCATAGCTACAGAATCAAGTGGTAAAGTCAGGATACTGGTCTTCCCCTTCTGTGCCAGAATCTCTCCTTCAGGGCACCACTGTCTTCATCCCCTTCTAGGCAGCCAGCCTCCCCCAACCTACCAGCCTATCCCTAGCAAACCCATCCTCAGGAAACGCTTTGATCACCGCGTGCCCTCTGCGCGGCGTCTGCATTCAGCAGGACCCTACCTCCAAATGACCATGAAAGAACCTGGGGAGGGGCTTAGAAAGCCTCAGAAAGCCCTGTCAAGAGCCACATAACACACTCCCGGAGTAGGAGCCCAGCCTTGCCTCTGTCTCCTTTCCCTTAGGAAAGTCTTTGCCAGGGTTGGAACTGCCCCTGGAAACACTGGGGCACCCAGTGCAGGAACTAGGGTACCCTGATTTGATCTGCAAGAGTTGCACTTATTATGGATCTTGTTTTAACAATTTGGTCCTTCTTTTATTTTTGAGCTTTATATGAGTCACCAGTGAGCCCAGATAACCTGCCACCCTGCGGCCCACATTGATGGCTGTGGTTTTCAAAGCCTTTTTCATTCCCAGCTTCACCCATAGGACCGAGCCCGCTACCCTCTGAGGGGTCACACACCTGTGTTCCCTCCCTCCAGACAGGCCCTTCTGCTGGAAGAGGACTGGGGGTGCAGGAGATGCTCAGCGTGGACTGAGAAGAGAGCATAGTAGCCACATCCTGCCGCCTGGCGATTTGCACCACCCACGCCCCCCACACCCACTCCTGCCCCTGGTGGGACGTGGACAGGGCCTCTGTGGAGAAGGGGTAGGGTGGGTGGATCTGTAGGATGGGGGCCACGTGACCGAGGGAATGCGGGCAGTAGGGTTAGAGTGTCGCCTCCCTGCTGCTCCTTCCTTGCTGGTGCTCCTGGGCTCCTGGCCATGGTGAGGGCGTCCGGAACTCCAGAGGCAACACGGAGGTGCCTGGACGATGATTCTGATGGTGGTGTTGCTCTGTTCTTGTCTGTCTAATATTCCTTTTTAATCCCCATCCTGCCTGCCCTCCCTTATGTAGGGTTACTTTAGTGATCCCTGGAATGTTTTTGACTTCCTCATCGTAATTGGCAGCATAATTGACGTCATTCTCAGTGAGACTAATGTGAGTATTACTCTGCCCTCCCCAGGAAACCTCCTCATTCCTCCTCCTCTGCCTCGTCTATTTCTCTCTCTCTCACTCTCTCTGTTTACCTTCTTTTATGTTTTTTTTAATTTCCTGTTTTTACCCGCCTCCAGTCATGCCTTTTATTGAACCTGCCGTCGTCCTGTGGGGGAAAAAAAGTGGGAGCTTCTCCTCCTTTTTTTCCATTTACCTCAGCTCTGCCCGGCGCTGCCGGGCTGGGGCGTGGAGCTGAGCAGAGGGAGTGGCGGTGCAGGGGACACACCGCCCGGCTCCCCGGGGCGGCCACAGCCCCACGCCACCTTTGAACTAACCCAGCTTTTGTCAGGCCTCTGCACCCTGCGAAAACCAGGTTATCCAGGTTTGAGCTGCCAGAACTGTAGAGTGGTAAGAGAGTGTTTAATATGCCCACGTAACCTCTTTCTTTTCTCATTTTTTTTCTCTTCTCTCCCTTTTTCCATACCTTTTTTTTTTTTTTTTTCATTTTTCCTCTTCCCTTTTGTTTTGTTTTGTCCTTTCTTGTTGGTTCTTCTTCTCTCTCTCCCCGGCTGCTCTGCCCCATGCAGCACTATTTCTGTGATGCATGGAATACATTTGACGCCTTGATTGTTGTGGGTAGCATTGTTGATATAGCAATCACCGAGGTAAACGTAAGTACATGGCGTCTGTCCCTAACCGTCCGTGCCTGCTCTAACACTCATTTGCCTTTTCCCGGTTTGTTTCCTTCATTTTATTTTCTCTCCCCACCTTCTTATTTTTTTTTTTTAATTTGTTTGTTTGAATTGGTTTGAAGGTTTTTTTTTCCTTGTTGCTTTATTTTGAAATCTTTTTTTTTTTTTAACTTTGGAACGCATTAGGCCTTCCCCTTTTCTGTTAAGTTCTGATTGCTGCATCTTTTCTCTCTCCCATACAATCAGCCTGGCATGACTCACACTGTATCGGAGGAAGCAGCTCTGGGAGCTGTGGAGTGAGAACATGAGGGGATGTTTGCCACTCTGGGCAGCTGCTGGGGCAGGGACCCAAACCTCTTCTGACCTCCACCTTCTCCTCCAGCCACTGCCTTCCCTACTCTCTCCTTTGCATCCCCACAGCATCTCAGAAGGGAGCTCTCTCAAAGTGGAACACCCTGAGATAAGGCTAAGACTCAGCCTACACCGTCAGCCATAGCCCACCCTCGCCCAAGGACCACCCATGATCTCGGGTTGAATGGGCTCTGTTTTCATTTAACATCAGCAGCCCATGCAGGCATCCAGGTCCCTGCAGGCTCATTTGGAAGAGGAACGAGAAGGGGAGGATCAGTCATGTCTGAACTCTTCTCTAGAGGTGGTGGGTGACGTACTGAGAGCTGCTCTGGGTGGACCTTTCCTCCTAGTTGCTGTGGAAGCAGGCCCCATGTGAGCGCCTCACTCCCACATGCACCTGCCACCCCTGCCCTCGACCCCTGACCTCTCACACCCCTGCCTCTGGCTCCCGAGCCTCAGACAGCACCCCAGCCTCTGCAAGGCCTCCTGCCACCTCCTTCTCCCAAGAGGTGCCTCCTCCTATACAGTTCCTACCAGTTCCTGCACATGTCTTTTCTGTTACCTGGCATGTTTAAATCTCTCTTTATCTATAGGCAAGCCTTCTTGCGGTCTTTAACATGTGTTGTTTAATTTTTTCGTTATTATTTTTCCTTAATTAAGAGACTTGGTAATGTTTGCATAGACTTTTGATGCACTGAACTATTGAATAACAGCACAGAGCAGATGCTTTAGAGTTTTGATCTAAGATGTTTGGAACTACCCAGCCCACCACCCCCAGCTCCTCCATGCACCCTTACTCCCCTCTCCACTCCATCTTTTGCTCTCAGTCAGTTACACTGCCGTGTTATCTTGCCTGCCAGATTCTTCCAGATTAGAGACCCCTGTCTGCTCCTCTTTTAGCAGATGGACTATGGAAAGCGGTTGTCACACTTGTCATATGTCCCCCGCTGTAGTCTGGTGCCCCAACCCTGCTCACCCTATAGCTCCAGAGACCATGGCCCCTCTGTCTCCCTGTGTCTCTGAGAACTGTCTTTGTCCGGTGTGTGTGTATGTGTATGTGTGTATATGTGAGTGCATGTCTGTGTGTGTGTGAGCATGTGTGCATGTGTGTATGTGTGTGAGTGTATGTGTGTATGTGCACTCTCTCTTAACTTCTCCCAGTAAATCCTCAGATCATTTTTTTAAAATTAGTCTTCCTACTCGTGCTCTGAGACTCCTCTCCCCTTTCTGAATGGACCCCAGTTTTGCAGCTGGATGAGCCCCAAGTTGCTGTTCCCACTCATACACATAAAGGCCAGAGCTTCTGTGCCCAGAGCTTGTGCCATGCAGTGCTCAGCCGTGGGAGACACTGCAGGGAGAGAAACAGGAAAGACAGGGCAGCAGTGGGCTCTGCCCTCAGGAGGTTTCCTTTCCAGACAGCAGTGCAGAGCCACATTAAAATCTATGCAGAGGGGCCGAGAGCCCCACAGCAGGAAAACGCAGAAAGGTGACCGCAAGCTGCCCCCCTGTACAGTGGCCCACTGCAGCTCTGGGGGTCCTATGGGTTCTTCCTACAGTCACCAAGGCCCCATCGCTCAGTCTGCAATTTTCTCCCAAACTATTCATGTCTTTAAAGAAAAAGAAAAAACAACAAAAAAGCATTTTCTAGGATATAAAATTTATACAGAAAAGGGGGCTCTGTTGGGGATAGGGAGGGGGCCTGAACCCGTCCAGCAGCTCCTGACATTGGAATAGTGGTTTTCTATTTACAAGTCACTTTGCATTTATCTGACAACTCTAAACTACCCTTTAAATTTGACAGGTAAGAATTCTCATCCCCAATTTGCTGATGCTAAAGGTGATGATGGAGAGATTAAGTACCTTTCCAGTGCCTCAGAGTCAGCCTAGCCCTCCTGGGGCCAGCTCACTTCCTGCTAGGCCAGAATTCCTGGTTTCTGTACTCCACAGTGCCTTTTGGTAAAGAGAAACCTCACCTGTCCCTCCTGGTGTACTGCCACTAGCCACGACTTACTCAGAACTTACATTCTGTAATTGATATCTTAAATAAGCACAGGGTTTTTTCCACTTTCTAAATAAGCAATAATCAGCCACCCTGAGAGTTCCGCTGCCCCTGTGTCCTCCCATACTGAGATGCTCCGGGCTGAGGCATTTGTGGCTTTGAAGTCCCACTGAAGGATTGTCGGGGGACAGGGTGGCAACTGTGCATGTGACTGACAGCAAGAGGAGGTGTCCTGAGACCCAACACCTATTTCAGAGCCACTTTCTCCCTCTCCCACACAACTGATGGCTTCCGAACCAAAAGAACAAACATAACATCCCCCAAGGCAGGAAGGCGGTTTGGGAGAGGAGAAAGCTGGACTTGAAGTCAGAAAACTGGCAGATTGTTGAGTCTTGCTGCTGCTTCCTGTCAAAGCGTTACCAACATGCCCAGAGACTCTGTTTTTTCATCTGTCAGAGGAATGTGGTATTTACAGCAGTGTGTTTTGAAGCTCAAATAAGAGCATCTATTTAAAAACTCTATATAAACTGGTAAAGCACTGTGGAATGGGAGGAACTGTGGCACCCAGGCAAATGACATTCCTTCCAAAGTTACTGCTGGTGTCACTCGGAGGGCCTAGTCTCCAACCAAGACCTTTTGGTTAGTCTAATTATAACTTACAACCCACAGTCGAAAGCCCTGTTTCCCAGATATGCTTAGACCCATAGAGATGGCCAACAGGTACAACCAGATCAAAGCCAGCACACACACACTTACCACGGCCCATAACTCTGGGCCTTGAGGGGCCTGCTCTGAAAGCACAGTCCGGCTTGACCCTGGGCTCACATCGCAGCCAGTGTGAGGGACAGCAGCTTAATTGAGCAAGGTCGCTCCCTCCCACTAGATTCTGCCTCCAGGGCATTAGCAGCGTATGGGCGGCCCCAGCATTTTCTTCCAATCCCATGGGATCCTTCAGAAAATCCTGCATCCCTGGGCCCTGCTCCGGGCCTTCCCAGGTATTTTTAGTCATCCTCTCATCACAAGACATATATTCCCAGGGATATGGTCTATTTGGAAAGAGTCTACATTGTTAGCCTCAGTGTGATCCATGAGGGCGTTTCACCTGTAACCTGCCATCTTTAACTCCTAAACCCCTCCCCAGATGCCTTATCCACCCTAACTTTCCTCCAAATATTCCCCACATTTAAACTCGTCTCACCTTTTCTCTTTTCCGGGCTATGGGGCCCTCCCTCTCAGGAACCATCATTCATTCAATCCACAGCATTTAGAGTCTCACTTCCTATACGTCAGGCACCGTTTGAGGCACCTGGGATCCATCAGCTGGCAAACCAAAAGCCCCTGCCTTCACAGATTTGCATTGTAGAAGGGAATAATCAGACAATTCACAATGCAATGAGGACAGAAAATAAGGAACTCATACGGTGTGTTAGAAGATGATAGACGTTTTAGGAAAAAAAGTAGTGCCAGATAAGGGGGCTCCAAGGTGCTGGGGAGCAGTGATGGCAGGCATTGGTTTAAATAAGATGGGCTTCCTTAAGGAGGTGACAGTTGAACAAAGCAAAGGCATGAAGGAATTGAGGATTCTCCATGTGGAGATCGGGAGAAGAGGTAGCAGGGCAGGAGGAGCCAACCTGGCTGGTGCGGACTGAGCTGGGAAAGGAGAGGTGAGGGTAGCAGAGGGGTAACTAACAGGTTCCACTTTTGGGCTTTTACTCTGAGCAAGAAGGGGACATACTGGTGGCTTTGAGCAGAGGTGTCACGTGACCCGACTGGTTTTTAAAGAGACCACTCTGGCTGGCTGTAGGAGTCAAGGGTGGAATCTGGAAGATCATTTAGAAGGCAAATGCAGTCATCCAGGTGGAAGATGCATAGCGTGGAGCAAAGTTGTGGCAGTAGAAGCGGTGGAAAATGGCCAGCCCGTCACTCTGTTTTGCAAGCAAAATTAACAGTGTTTCCTGACAGACTGCATGGGGGCAGGAGGAGAATTGCCCAGGAGGACTGGGAGGTTTGGCCTAAATCAGAGGAGGATGGAGCAGGTAGGCAAGGAGGCGGGCTGGAGGCGGGGCCTGTGTGAGTTAGGAAATGCCAGAGCACAGTTTTGACGTATCTGTTAGCCCTTGGAGGGGAGATGTCAGGTGGACACACAGGTCAGAGGCCTGGGGATGGAGTCATTCACAACAAGATGGTACCCAAAGCCCCGGCACTAGAGAAGAAGAAGCGACAAGAGGCAGAGGAGCGGAGAGGCCTGGGCCAGGGCCTCTGGCGCGAGGAGATCGGGACCCGCAAACTTCTGTTCATCTGGGAGATGCCGCTGAACAACTGCCAGGTGTCACAAGAGGACCGTCTTCAGGCCCCCTCGTGCGGTCATGCTGAATTCAGCCTCAGTATCTGAGCCATGGGCCCCGGCCCTTCTCCTGCCAATGCATCACCTGGGTCTAAATCCGAGCTTTTCTTCCTCTGTGAGCCGGGGAGGTAAGAGTGCGATGTCCTGCTGCTCTAGGGAAGCCTCTTGCTCTTCCTCAGTGCTTGGGTCTGAAATCATATTTTCCTGTGATTGTTCGTGAAAGTTACTACAGCACCAGAAACTGCTCCCTAAACATCCCAAACTGGAATTAATTTGACTGCTTGGGCCAACAGCCTTTCCCGACACACTTCTTTTTCATTTTGTATTTTAAAATATACTGAACAATAGAAAGTGCTGGGCAGCCTGAATTCCTGCATTATGGACATAGAGAAACATTCCCAAGTTGTCAATGAAGAAGCCTTGATTATGCTTCCAGCTCTGGTGACTTAGAGCAATGAACTCCATTCTCTGGGCCTCAATTTCCTTGAATGCAAAAGTGAGGAGTGAGAGGTTTAGGATGGTCTCTTGCAACTCTAGCCTGCAGTGATTCTGACTTGGGCATTTTCTGACAGCTGGAGGTGGATGCTTCATTGCCCCCATTGCCTTGCTGGGTTCTGAGGTGGTGTTTCCTGTCATCAGGCGCCCATGGTGTCATGGGGATGCTTCCTCCAGGGAATCATCTGCATAGAGATAATCCCTGAAGCCACAGTGCTGAAGGGCAGCAAGGGAGGACAGGCTCCCTTGGCTTTGGTGGAGCTCACCTGGAGATTCTCCAGAGAAAAGGAGCAGGAGAAAGACCTTCGGGGAGCAGAGCAGGCACAGGGAGGGGAAAGAACACTGGCCCTGGAGCTTCTGGGCACAGCTCTCAGGAGGAATTGCTGGAGGCTTTGCACGATGCACAGGAGTGTCCAGAGCAGGGAAATAAAGCTAAGCGAAGGTGGCACTGGCTGTGAACATGAGAAGAGGACCGACATGAGGATGACCTGATGAGCACGGATCAGGCATCATGCTGAGGACACCATACACATGATCGGATGAAACCCGTGTGCTTACTCTCCACATGAGGAAATCAAGGCTCAGACAGGACGAACATCTGCCCAAGGCCACACGGTGAATGGGAGGCAAATCTTGGATTCAAACTCATTTCTGTCCAAGAATTGGCTCTTGCATTTCACAGTGCCCGCTGGCTAAATCCCTGGGCCAGGCTGGCCTGGGCATCACTGAAGGGCAGGGCCCAGTGGCTCCTGCACTCCTCATTCAGTGCCTCCTGGCAACGGGACTTGGGGCGGAGCTGCCTGACTTGACTTCTCTGTGTCGGTTGATGCTGCGGATGCTGGATCCACAAAGCCTGGGATCCCCCTGGGATGCTCAGACAGAATGCAGGCTACACACCCGGATCCGTGTCTCTGGTTACAGGGAACAGAAGGCAAACGCCAGGAGGCGCAGAGCAGCACCACTCCCTTTGCCCAGTTGGCATCTGCATCTGCAGCTGAAGAAAGAGACTGGGAGGAGGGGGGCCAGAAGGAGCAAGCAGCGACAAGGCAGGGCAGAGAGTGTCCAGGGATCAGCATGTCGGGATACTGGTCCCAAGTCTTCCCCACCTTCAGGCCCTGAAAGCCTTTCTACCTTAGTATCTTTCCACCATAGGCCCCCAGGCACAACTTCCTATAACTGTCACTCACTACTCTCCACAACAATCACAAGCAAGCCGGGCTCCTCTCTGGCTCTGGGTCCTGGAAGGATGGAGGAAAAGCAGTCAGTCCTGAGTCATAGAGAGAGCTACTTGCTGCACGTCCACCCCCTCAGGGGTGAGTCAGCTCAGCCTGCACGACTCCAGCCCTCTCTCTCGGCCTGCAACCCACAGTGCTTGCGTTGGACAGTGGGCCTGGCTGTCTCTGTCTGCCTTTGTGGCTGTAACCACGCCTCCTGCCCCCTGCCATGGCAGAGAAGGGGCCAGAATGGGCACAAGAAAGGCAAGGCTGAGTGCCCCCCACTGCCCATAGCTGTGATGAGGAAGGAGGGTAGAGAGATGTGGTCAGAAAGCAGATTTGTCCAAGGACATTAGGGTGTACACACCTTAGAGACCACCTAGCCCAAACCCTTATTTGTTTATTCCTCAAAGGTACCTTGAGCACCCGCTGTGTGATGTTGCTTGAGGATATACAAATTTTCTAGATGAGGACACAAAAGGCCAGAGGCAGGAAACAGCTTGCTCATTTTCACAGGTTTTTCACAGCAAGCTGACCGGAACTCCCGGTCAGTAGGGGGCTCCAGTGGGTGCTGTTGCCAACCATTGTCTAGATGACATTGGTGGGTGTGGCCTGAGCTGGTTCTAGGACACATAGATTAAATCAAGTTCCGTGGTCTCAGGACAGCTGGGTGGGGCAGAGGTTATCCTTGACATCTCCCTCCAGCCCCCCTTCTCATTGCTGGAGCCTCCTGTTGCCCTCGGAGTCCCTTCCAGCTTCTTCCCACTTTCGGCAACAGCCCCCACCCCCAACAAACCTAATGCTACCAAGATGCCTTGTTTCAAAATGAAGTGATTCCAGCACAGTCATTCATGCTGGGTGGTAGCAACTCAGTGAGCTGCCCTTCTAATAGATCATTGTACCTTGAAGAGAAGGCGATGCTCAACCTGCAGGTGGAATGTTTATTGTATCTCAGGTGAGCCTTTAGCAACGTGACCCCTGAGTGGGGAGATTACTTTTGTGAGGTCCCTCCCCATCCCCCCACAAAGGCTGTTTTCTACTCTGCTTAAGAGTATGGCTGGCCCTTGAGAGAGTTAGCAGAGCCACCCTCATTCCTAGAAGTGGGATGAAGCATCTGACCATCAGCAGTCCCCTGGGAGGAGGCCGAATGCCCCGGATCTCAAGGTCTAGGGCGAGGCTTGTTGTGTGAACTGGTGTGATGTGGGGTTGAGGGGGTGCAGACAGAGAGACGGGCCTGAGAAGTGGCCTGGTGCAGCAAGTCTTCTCAAAAGCTTTTGCCTTGAGAAGTACCCTGCAGGTTTGACCCGAAAGGTCATGGGAACCTGTTTTTTTATAGGCATCCAATTTGGGTTGTTAATTCAGCTGTGTGAGATTGCCGAGGTCCTGATGCGGCTCTGACCCATCCAGGCTCCCCTTGCCCTCTGCCTTCTGCCCCAAACTGTGTCACTTTTTGTTTCCCTCAAATGCTCTTTCCTTTCCTGTTCTCATCTTATCAACCCACATACGGCCCTCTGTTCCCTTCCCCTCCGTGTAAGGGTGGGAGGAAGTTGCCTAGCACACCTTTTGTTGTGGCCAGACAACTGATTGTACCTGGCCAGTGTCTGACACTTCAGTTCCTACAGGCTCAGCAACCTGCTGCTGGGGTTCTTTCCAGAAAGCTCGTAAAGCAAAGGCACCTAGAAGATGCCATGAGCTGGTAGTGAGGAGACACAGGAAGGCTCAAAGATACGTAGGGTGCCTCGAGAAGCATGGCCACTTCTGTTGATGCCCACTTACTCTCATATTTGGTGCTCCCACCCAGGGAATCATCTGTTTGTTTCCTTTTTGAGTCTCTGCCCCGCCCTGCCTCACCCACTCTGTTTCTCTGCCTTTCTTCTCTATCTTGTGACCTCTCCCTCTGGCATAAGGAATTCTTTGATGTAGTTAGTACTACTGGCACCTTGATTTCATTCGTTTATTCTTCATGGGCTTTTTGTTGGTGGAGGTTGGTTGGTTTGTTTGAATGACTAGACGCTGGGCTGTCCTTCCCAGGGGAAGATGAAACTCCCAGGCAATTCTGTGATCAGTCTTGTTTAGTGTGTGTTTCTGGCAGGTAATAACACCTTGGGAGCCATCAGGCTGCACATGATAACAGTGAGACCCTGAGGCTTCAGCCACTTCCAGCCAGCAAACTGGTCACTGCAGCCAGTAGCACAGGGCATAGCTCTCAGCCATCCACAGCTTCACACACAAAGCAGGAAGAGCAAAAGAGGGCCAGGAGCTGCAGCCCCACGCTGGGAGCCCGGCTGCCAGTCCCCTTGGGGCCAAAGACCCCTCGAGGGGAGTTCTGAAGGGGCATTTCAACTCAGTGTCTGTAACTCCAAACACACAAGAAAGGCAAGAAGGGCCCTCTCCTTCTAGCTGGAATTCCACTTTGGAGAAACACAAAAGCCCGTGGGTTTCCGACCTGGGGGTGGTGGCCCGGGACAGAGTCCTTTCCATGGTCCCTGTCCATCTTTAGCTTTATCCTGGTGCGTTCCCTGCCCTTTGTTTGTCTTCTTCTGCTCAGTTCTTCTCCTCCATCACTTCTGTCTCTCCACTCACACCAAACCAAAATGGGAATTCTGCTTAGAATTGCTTTCAACTACGCATACCTCATTCATTTGCTCTTCTGTCTGAAAGCCATGGCCTCTACCCTCAGCTTCTGTCTATCCCAGCTAACGTTTGTTTAACCTTCGCCTCTCTTAGCAAGTACCTGTTCATTCAGCTTTAGAAGGCTTGCAGCTTAAAACATGTTTGCCTTTGGCCTCCTTAAAATGTCTTGCCCCGCTGCCATACCCAGTGGCTCCAAGATTCAGCACCTCCCGACTCCTCCTGAGATGTGCATTTCTCCTGGTGGGAAGGGGAGATAAAAGGATCGTGAGGATCCCCCCACACACACCCTTAACCTACACCTGCTGGCTCCTGGCCATGAAGTTGGCGTCAGATGTCTCCAGCAGCCCCTGACCCCTGCCATTCCCAGCTCTCTCTCTGCACCAGCCTGACCACCTCCTCCCAACCTAGATCACCTCCGAGGTCTCTCCCTCAAAGCCCCACCCCTTGGTCTTCCTCCACACCATGACACCCCCCAACAGAACCAGCTGTTGTGTCTTGCAGGTCAAATTGAGATTGGAGGTAGTACAAGCGGAGAAGCGGAGCATGGGGAGGGGGTACTGGCTGGATGGAGACCTTCAGGTGGCTTGGAATGAAATTTATATCAGATCCACCTCCCTAAGTTCTGGACAAGACATTTTAAAAAATATAGCAAGGGTTCTGTAGCAGGACCACTATTTAGAGACTCACACTCCCATGACATTACTTTTGACATCTGTTTCAGAGGTGCGTGGAATCTTAGTGACACTGAGGTCATAGCATTGTCTCAATGGCAGCCATTGGAATTGGGCAGCCGTTTTCTGTAGGGCTAAGACCAGCCTTCCCTGGAGGAGATCAGAGGTAATCTGCACCTTTCAAAATCAGCCTGCCAAGGAGAATGCAGCCATGGCTTATGCCCCCTTCACAATGCTCTCTGGCCACCTGACCGCAGGAGAGTATTGTGGAGGACAACTGGGTTGGGTATTCCAGCCTAGAGATCTACTGCTCAGCCCCTGAATTTCTATAATTCTTACCCTTGGCTGTGCTTTAAAAAAATAATAATTTTTAAAAAACTTTTTTTCGTATGGTGAAGAGCTATTTTTCAACTACCTTTTAAGTCTCCAGAGAGACCATGTAATGTGGCAACCAGGAAACACATCCTGCGGCCTCCCACACCATCCTGGTGGGAAAATCCTCCACCTGGGAGGATCCTGTCTCTGCTGGCCTCTGGCATTCCCTGAGTATCGCCCCTCAGCATCCTAAATGTGGCCTAGACCTGGCACTCCAATGAAAATAAGTGCATAGTGAGTGCCTTCCAGAAACAAAGACTTCATCCACTGAGGTGTTACTTCTCATTTGACCCTGAACTTAATTCAGAAAGACAGCTTTCCAGAGACCTCCCTCTCATTAGCTGCCCTGCACCACTCCCCTCCTCACTGCCAGTTCTGCCAAAACAAGGCAATCTGCATAAGCATATTGAAGGAAGGAAATCGTCTTTCCTTTCTGTTTGCCCTGAGCCTGTTATCTGGAACCACTAACCAGAGCTCGCTGTCTCTGAAAATGCCCGACCTCTGCCTCAGATACGGAATAATAACCTCATTTCATTTATATCAATTACGTGAACAAATTAAGTTAATTGCCCCAATATCATGAAATCATTGAAAATTACCAGATCATTAGAAAACAAGGATGAAAGAATTGGCTGCTCAGAAATTTCTCCACGCCTACCATTAGTGGAGACAGTGCCATATGAAAAATCAGCCAGAATGTTCAGGTTATGTAAGCAGCTCTGTTGGCTGCCCTAAAAGGGGAATGCAGTCTCCAGGCTTGGGGGTGTATGTCTTCAGGGAATCCTACGGCCCCTTTCTTCCCCAAGAAAGACCACAGATGGGAGAAACTACAAACTAACTCAGGGCACCGGCAGCAAATCTGGGAAGGGGTCAGAGATTAATGGCCCAAGTATTGATGGCTACCAACAAATTCTGAATTTACATCCAAAGGTAGAACTGATGCTTTGTAGTTTCTCAAGGGGCTGTACTTGGTATTTAAAGAGAGTGGCAAACCACAGAAACTAAAAGTGCTGATCCTGGGATACCACAGATGTCCAACTCCAGCAAGTCCAATCTCTCCTTCCATCTCAGCAGGGGATTCATTTGCCAAGGCGAAAGGGTACCAAAGACTCTAAGGATGACGTGGGATCATGTAGGAAACGCCCAGGGCATCAGTAGACCTCGGGGGCCTTGGGGGCAGGGGCTGTGGCTTAGGCTGCTTCCTATTGTTACCATGTAGAAATCACTCAGGGATTGCTCTCTGATTTCATCGCGAGTGGTTATTCATTTATGAGACCACGGACCTTGTAAACAGCTCCTCATGTGGAAACAGGTGTGAGCGGTGGTAGAGGCAACAGTGTCCTAGCTACTCAAAAATGCCCTGTGAACAGCATGGCTTAAGGCTCAAGAAAAACTTAATCTTTGAGTCTCTAGATTCTTCCAAAGTTGGTCTCTTTGGAGAGTTGTCATTACCGGGGCAGGAGAATGCCACACAGACATCTCAGAGCGTCCTCATTCTTCCTCTTTCTACTGTCCTCATAGCTGCTCCTGACTTTCTCTTGTCTGCCATTATAGAGACATGCCATAGGAAATGTTAAATCAATACATGTTACTAAAATACAAAATACTATCAAGATTATCTGAACAGATCCAAAGTCAAGTCTTGAAGTGAAATATGACTTAAATAAATGAGGTCTTAAATGGGAGCTATAAAATGCAACAAGAAAAAAGACAGTTAAGACAAATGTTTAAAAATCCCAAATGAAGGATTCTGAATGTTTAAGAAGTAAAACAGGTTTTTTTTGGTTTTGTTTTGTTTTGTTTTTGTTTTTTTGATGCCTAGAGGTTGGTTCAATTAGGCCAGGCAAGCCAAGTACCTGGGTGCGTTGTCAGAATTATCTCCATTTTGGTCCTGTTCAGGCTGGGATTGACCCAGAAGACCTTCAAGCATTTGCCCAGGGTTCTTAGAAGTGATGAGCAGCTGTGATGGTTTTCAGGATGGATCCAAGAGGCCAGCAATGGCTCAAGCTTCCTGGGAGCTCTGCCCAACACTCAGGAGTTAACATGGTGTAGGTTACCTCCCTCTGGACCTCCCTCCCTGCCCCACTGAAGCCTGAGAAACACAGAACTCCTTGTCCATGAGCAAGGGAGCTCAAGCACTGGGCCAGGAGCGGGGCAGAAAGGTGCCAGTGGATAGCTAGACCTGACCATCCTGGGCAACTATCACACACCAGAGCAAAAGGGGTTTAGGTGCTTTGCCAAGAAATTTCTTCTGTGCATGCCTGTATGAGAGAGAGAGAGAGAAAGAGAGAGAGAGAGAGAGAGAGTGTGTGTGTGCGCGTGTGTGTGTCTGCCTATGTTTGTCTCTGTGTTCAATCTCAGTCTGCTAGCCAAATCCTAGGGACCCCACACCCTGCA
Source organism: Homo sapiens (assembly GCF_000001405.40). Lineage (NCBI taxonomy): Eukaryota > Metazoa > Chordata > Mammalia > Primates > Hominidae > Homo > Homo sapiens. The sequence goes on from NW_018654718.1 coordinate 994,998, forward strand.
ATCACAAGGACTGACCTGGCAGGTGGAATCTTCATGAAGCAGAAGCTGAGATCTAGAGATCCAGATTTAGAGTGTTCTGTAAAGCCTAGAGAAGTGTCCCTTTCTTTCTCCTCCCTCACCTCACCCTATATCTCCACCATCCCCTAAAAGGGCATCCTACCAACTAGCTATGAAAAAAAAAAGAATTTGCTGAGAAATCTGTTACCCAAGAAATATTTTCAGGCTGCAAGCAAATGTCTAGTTGTGCACATTTCCATCCTTCAAAAATTCCATAACACATTTTCCTTGTTTGTACCTTAAAAACAGAAATACAAGAGCAACCATCTGAAAGTGGAGAGTAAAAGCCAAGTCCTGACTTTCTAGAAAGAGTTAGCAGCTCAGATGGTCAAGATCAGTCGGGGCTGAGCCCTCTGTGCTGGAGCCCAAAACGTAAGGGCACCTTCCCAGATCCAGGCTCCAGGAACTCGGGGAGAGGGCTGGCCCTGGGATACTCACCAGAGGCCAGTTTCCTCAGCTCCTACCCCCAAATGAGTTCAGCAGTCAGACCCGTGAGAACAGCTTCCTGGGGTGTTAGTGTCCTAAATTGTGTGCAGGGCTTTCAAGTTTAGAAAACAATTCAACAGTCATTATTTCATGCCAACGGTCAGGGCTCGCCGCACCTATAGACCAACAGCTAAGCAAGGCCATCTCCTGCCTGAGCCTGAGCTTTCAGAACAAGCCCCATTATGGAGTGGGTTGAGGCCACCTCTGGAGGCCCTCCTCAGTGTTGACTTGAAGTCGGTCTCCCCTAAACCTGAGAGGCCACTGCCCTTGCTTTGTTTAAATATATGTGGGCAAGGATAGGCTCTGGGGTCAGCAAGGCCTCTGTCCTTCAGCTGGCCCTGCCTGGGGTAAGCTAAAGTGCACAAAGCCTAAGTCCTCATAGGTTAACAATGGCTAATAAAAAACAAATTAAAACAGGCTTGGCACAGTGGCTTACACCGGTAATCCCAGTACTTTGGGAGGCCAAGGCAGGAGGATCGCTTGAGGCCAGCCCACGAGTTTGAGACCAGCCTGGGCAGTATAGTGAGACCCTGTCTCTAAAAAAATTAAAATAAAAAATTTAAATTAGCCGGGCATGGTGGCACGTTCCTATAGTCCTAACTACTAGGGAGGCTGATGTGGGAGGATCATTTGAGCCCAGGAGTTCAAGGCTGCAGTGAGCTGTGATTATGCCACTGCACTCCAGCCTGGGCAACAGAGCTGAGACCCTGTCTCTAAAACCAAACCAAACAAAAAAATTATAAACCTCCATCCACAAAATCCCAAAGACCTCATCTGCTTATCTAATAATATTATGAATGTGAGTTATTTAAAGGGCATAGGTAGGAGAATGCCTGTGGGTCCTTGATTGACATGAGACCCAGCAACACAGACCCCACACTCATGGGGACGCCCCAGGACCTGCCAGGCCTACGCTTTCACGTTTCTTTCACTTGTTTCCTTTTGCCCTCTTCTGCCACTGTGTTGCTCCCGTGTCAGCCAAGACCTAGAATACCGGGCATCTTCATGGGAGACTCATTACAGCTTATCTCTATCTGCCTTTCTTTAAAGCCAGCTGAACATACCCAATGCTCTCCCTCTATGGTAAGACCAACCCTCCCGACCATGCTCCCGGCTTCCGTGTCCCCCTCTAACACCCCCACTCTCCCCACCCCGAACTCCAGAGTCCCTGGGAGCCCTGCCTGGCTCTCACTGCATGTGGCCACTGTGTCTGCCGTGTGCCTTGCCTGCCTGTTCCCTTCTCGTGTGAGCTGTGAAGATGCTGTTTGTGCAGTGGTGGTGTTTTACCCCTGAGCTTTCCTTGGGGTGGTAATTCACTGTGATCTTGACTATCTAACAAGCCACTGGGAGAGAATGGGACCCGAGGTCCATTTCCTGTTAAACACCCTGAGGACTCCACCGGCCAAAGCCTCTAACCTTAATCTGATAGGAGAAATTTGCAGAGGGTACCTATGAGAGCCATGGTAGGGCTCCAGGGTAAGGAGGGAAGACAGGTGCTCTAGGCAGGAGATGGAAGGGTGGACGATGATTCCTGTTAATCAGTGTCTGTGGCTCCTAGCTTCCCTGTGCTTCAAGTGAAAGGCCACCATAAAAGGTTTCAGCTGGGATTTGTTACTGAGCGCGTGATTGAATTTCCAGTCACTCCAACCTTGCTATCCCTTGCATTTTTCTAAATTCCTGAAGTCCGTTAAAATTAGGCTGCAGCCACTGTTCCGCAGCAAGCTGGAAGCAGAAAAACAAGCTCCGTTGATTGGACCACTCCTGTTGTAGGAGTCTCTGATTCGCGTTGGTTGAAGTGATAAAAGAGACGCCATTCAGTGTGACCTTGAAGCCTCCTTGGCCCAGCCGCCTCCAAAAGGCTGCCGTTATGCATTTCTAACCGGGCCAAGTATGAGTTTTTAGAAGGACCAGTGGGGTTGATTGACCAAGCCACCAAGTCTGCAGGCCGAGGCAAGCTTGGGTGGGTTGATGTGTTCCCCAGTGCAGCCTGGCGCTGCCTGGCCACAAGGCTGCCACAGGAAAGGCTGAGCCCGGGTGCTCTACCCCGCTTCCTGGGGACTCTGCTTCTGGGATCAGCCATCTGGATCTGCCTCCTTTTTGCATTGTTATTTGGTTTATTAGAGCAAATTGGTGCATCCGAATGGCAGTGAGTTTATTCTCCTTCTCGAGCAGCATTAGGAAACTGCAGCCACAGGGGAGGGCTCTGAACAGTGGAATGGAATTCACGCTGCAAGCTTGGTGTTTGGCGTTTTTTGGGTTTTTTTGTTTGTTTATTTTGTTTTTTTAACTGAGCAGATCCAGATGCCCCTGTGGCACCAACTTCTCAAACTCTTGACACTTGCAGCTAAAGTTCTCCACTTAAGCTTGTTCTTTTTTTTCTCCTTTCTCGAACACGGTGGAACTGACAGCTGAGTTATAAAATCCTAAGCCTCCTCTGCATACTCCTCTGGGGAAACACAACCTCCTTTTAAGGAGTGAAAATAGAAGTTCAAGCAGATACACAGGTGATAGAAATACAGAGATTAAGGTCATCAAAGGCTTCAGAACACACAGGCAGGGAAGAGCCCAGGGCAGGACAGGGCTGCTGCCTGCAGCTCTTGACCCAGCCCCTCAGGTACCCGTGCAGCAGGTCCCGAGTCCCACCTGTCTGTCCCCTGCCTTGAGGGGAACGGGAGCCTTAGGAGGAACTGAGGCAGCTCTAATTTTGAAATATAAGAAATATTTTTGCTCTTCTCCTGTTTGGAAGATCTGGAAAGCAGGAGAGGTCTCTGGCTTGCTTCTGGGCAGAGTGGTGGCTGCCTTCGGGTCTCCCTGCTTCCCTCATAATCTCCTGTCCTGCATAGTGAGGGGAGCGGCCTCTGACGCCTCATCAGGGTGGGCCAGAGCAGGCAGCGCAGTTAGAAGGGCTTTAGCGCTGGATATTGCCAGTGAGAGTCTGACCTAGAAATAATTAAAGATAAAAGGCAAGGTAAAGCAAGGAGTGGGGAGGGCCCAGGTGGCCCTAGTAACAACCTGAGCCCTCCCACCTCGCGGGAGGTGTGGACGGGACCAGTAACAGGAAGCCCCGAGGGTCCATTCTCTCCCGGTGCCCGCAGGTCTGGGTGAGCTGCACTAGCTCCGGATTTGGCAGTGGCTTCCTCCTGGGTTCCTGCTCACCAGGCCGATGTGGGCAGGAGGAGGGCCAAGTGGGGAGTCAGCTCATGTTCTCAGGTTTGGAGGCAGAGGACCGCAGGGCAGCCCGTCCTGCCCCCTGAGCCCTGGCCAGGCATGTGCCCAAGCCCCCAGGCTCCCCCAGGTCCAACAGCAGCAGCCCAAGCACCTCCAGTCACCTTGGCCTGCACTCCACCCTTCCTCCCCTTCACCTTCCCTCTCCCCTTCCCCAGGGCCCCTGAGGGAGACCATCTGCAGAAGCCTCACTTGCAAGGGAGGCCTCCCCTCCCTTACGCTGCCCCTCTCCCTTCCAGGGTCTTGTACAGCCTGAAGGGTTGGAGCCTCCTAGAGGCCCCAGGGCAGAGGGGAGTAGGAGGGCAACAGCTTCGGAGCAAGGGCTGCAAACCAGACCCTCTCCAGCACTGAGTAGCACCCGTAATCCCTCCCTTTGGGACAGGGGCTGTGGAAAGTAGAAGGAGGTGATACAAGGAAAGTGCTGGAGTCCCAAGCAGCTGGGGCATGAGGTCCTTCAGGGGGCAGCCCACCAGGACCCCCAAATCCACGCATACCTACAGCTGGGAGAGAGGCCAGCCACCAACCCACATCCTCGGAGAGTGCTGGGCTCCACTTAGGACACAGGACTGTCTGCCCAGACAAACGGGAGACAGGCTAGGACTGCTTCCTCAGCAGTGCAGAGGAGGGGTTCCCAGGGCAGCTGGCTCTGGGCCTAGAAGATTCCAAAGCCTATGGTAGTTCCTGATGGAGTCGTCTGTCCTCCATCCAGGGCATTAAGAACTAGGAATGAAGGGGAATCGGGGAGAATAAAAACACAGGACCACAGCCCAGCGGCCTGGGCACAGTCTAGCTCTGCAGAGACCATGGGGCTGGGCTGTCCACTCATTAAAGTGGGCGGCCGCCCTCCCATCGGAGGGGGAAGTCTAGTGCAGCAAACCCTGGCCTGCCTTCCGCCACTGCCACTGAGGTCTGTATTTCTCGGAGGGGCCCTCCTGTTCTCACCCCCCTCTTGCTGTGCTAACTGCACCTCCTGTTGCCGACGGGTTCCAGAACGCAGAGGAAAACTCCCGCATCTCCATCACCTTCTTCCGCCTGTTCCGGGTCATGCGTCTGGTGAAGCTGCTGAGCCGTGGGGAGGGCATCCGGACGCTGCTGTGGACCTTCATCAAGTCCTTCCAGGTAGCCGCCCCTCATGTCCTGCGGCCCGGGGAATCGCAGGGCTGCCGCGTGGCCCAGAACACAGCTGACACAAGGAGGAGCCCTCCACTCTGGGGCCCTGCTCCTTCCTCTGTGTGGCAGAACTCGGCCGCTCTGCCTGGCTCCCTGTTTCCGCACCGAGAGGCCTAGACGAAGCATGTGGTTTCCAAGGCAGGCTCAGAGCCCCAGAAGGCCAGGTGGTAAAGGAGGGATGGGAGCTAAGGGGAGGCAGAAAGGGTCTGCCTTACTTTTAACCATCGTTTATGTCTTTCTGCACAAGAATTTACTGGACAAAGGGGTTTTGTGGTAAGGAACAAACCTGAAAAACACGGGCCTGGACAACCTGGTGACCGCTATGGCCCTTCGAGTTCAGCATTTCCAGAATCTGGCCATCGCCCTCCTCCCCGTAGGCGTTTCAGCAGCATCTGCTGACAGCACCTGTCATGTCCTCGGCCAGAGTCGCAGGACCCTGGTGTCCTCCGCTCGGCTAGAGAGGCCCTTCGAATGGGCCCAGGACTGCCTGGCCATGTGATCAGTTCCTCCGCTCAGCCATTGTTTTCCCATTAAAACAGAGTGACAATCAGCCCCTGCCAGCTCGGAGGAGTCTTTGTAGGTTTGAAGTTAAGGAGAAGCAAAGCGCTTGGGTCACTTGACTTCCCCCAGATGAGCGCAGAACCCGTGAAGGCGGTTTCATGCTTCCCTGGGCTGGCGGAACGCAGGCTTCTCTCCCCCCATGGAGGGGCCGCTCTCAGCCTTTCCAAGACGAGAATCTGTCAGGGAAGATGGTCTTTGTGTGCCCCACCCTGGCCAGTCCCTGCCCGGGGACAGGGCATGCCTGGGCCTGGTCCAGGTGAGGAAAGATGCCCGTCCCCGCTCTGCCCCCAGCAGCCTCCTGCCAGGGACTGACCATCCAAGGCTCTCGAGGGAGCTCCCAATGGCCAGGCTGACCCCTGCCTAGTGATGAGCTGGGGCTCCTGCACTCTGAGCCCAGCTCAGCCCAGGCTCTGGGGATTCGGAATAGTAGACACCAGCGGAAGCAGGACTGCCGCTGACTCTGTACTTGGGTGCACGCGGAACCCACGGCTGTGAGTTGCCATACTCTCCCTGCCCCCCCGACATCTCCTGGGGCTGGGAAGAGGCACAGACCGGGTGACTGCGAGGGCCTGATGGCGGCGCAGGCGTTCGGGCCAGGCAGCTGGCGCCTGCTCTGACGGCACCCTCTAGTGACCGGTGGCCACGGCTGAAGCGGCGCCCGGGAACACGGGCTGGGCCTCCCATCCTGGGGACCATGGCCTGTCCCCAGAAGTCACGGGGGCTCTGGAAAATTAGTTGTCTGAGTTGCCAGGCAGATAATGCATGGAGCGAATAGAGCGTATGGAACCCAGCTCTGCAAGGCATTGCACTAAGCACTTTATAAGCCTTAAATCTTTTCAACCACAAAACCGCTGAGAGGTATTATTATTGTTTCCATTTTTCTGATGAGGAGACTGAAGTTCAGAGAAGTTAAGTGCCCCAACCCTCACAGATAGAAAGTGGCAGAAACAGGATTTGAACCCATGATCTTTCTTTTAAATTTTTCCTTATTAAATGTTTCCATTGCAATAGTAATACCCGCTCACTACAACTAGTGGGATGGAATTAAGCTGTGTAAAGAAAGGGTGTAACTTGCCACCACCCCACTCCTCCACAGGTAACCACAGTCAGCGGGGTGCTGTCCTCCACGATTTCTCCTGCCTCGTACAGACACACCGCACATGTGTAGTCGGAGGAGGTTTTGCTCGTTCTTGATTGTTTTGCCCAGGTAGTGTCGCACTATATCGTTACTCTGCGGCCTGCTTTGAAAACCAAGCTGAAATGGGAAGTCAGTTCCGGTTTCTCAGACCTTCTCGCAGGTTCCCCGTAGTCCTGTGGGACTCTTGGAAGTGTCCCCCGGCCCAAACCGGGCAATAGCTGATGGCTGCAGAGACAGGGATGCGGCGCTCCCTGGGAAGGGGCCCAGCTGGCCTCTGCACTCCAGCCTCATGGGAGTCTCCTGCACTTCCTTCCAGGCCCTGCCCTATGTGGCCCTCCTGATCGTGATGCTGTTCTTCATCTACGCGGTGATCGGGATGCAGGTAGGGAGGCTCCCACCACGGGGCTCCTGGCCTCCCGCTCTGTCTCTCCCCAGTTCCCAGCACCACATTCCCTAACGCCTTCCTCCCTCCCTTCTCCCTTTCATTCCTGACTGTCCCTCTCCCTCCTCTTCCATTTTCTGAGGCCCAAAAAGCCACAGGAATTGGAACTTTCCCCAAATGGATCTCCTGTAGGTAGCAGGAGAATGTCCCGGTACAGAATACACAGCCCAGAGAGCCTCCCTCCCCGAGGCCTGGGTTCTGCTCTTGGTAGAGGAAAGACACTCTCCAGTTATGCAAGGGGCCTCGGGACAGACACAGCCCCTTCTCAAGAAACAGCAGCAAGGTGTGTCTGTTTGTGTCCAGCACCCCTGTTTGTGTCCAGGTCTGATGGGCCTGAGAGTTACCCCAACCAGATTCATTTGAAGCTAATGGCTGAGAGGGAGGGAGGGAAGAAGGAAGCAAGGAAGGGCCAAATCAACACAAGGTTCACCGCATCAAATGTGCAGCAGTTTTCTGGGGCCTCCCCTCCCAGGTGCCCACTGCACCATTCACCGCAAACCTAGGGCTCTCCATTCCCGTCTTGGGGCTCCAGCTTGAGTCCCAAGGCCAAACTTGGCAGGGCGCCCACACTAGCCCAAAGCGCTTCCTCGGCCGCTCCTTCAGGAAGTCCCCTACTTGCTCATCGCAGAAAGACCCAAGATTCAGTTGCCAAAACCTTTTGAGACTAAAAGAGCTACCTTGATACCTGATAAAGGTGGCAGTTTCTAAGATAAGCACAGCTTTAAAAGACCAGGAAGAAAAGGGATTTCAGGAATGCATTAAGCTTGCCCTAGCCTCAGATCACTCACTCCACATCACTCCAAAATGCAAGAACTAAATTTGAAAGAGTGCTTGGACATGCAGAACTGAAATAGCAAAGAAAATAACGCAGTGCGTCCTGTGTCCTGTCAGAAGCAGGATCCCGGTCCCAGCATCCACCGCTCTCAGCCCCAGCTCCCACTGGGCTGCAGGGACCTTCCTGAGGCTGTGGGCACTTTGATTCTCATGCTTGTCCAGTGTAGGGATTTGGGCTCAGGGGCTGGGTGGGGCAGCAGGTGCCTGCCAGGTTGCATGGGAAGACTGTTCAGCTTGTGGCAGCCAGTTCCAGGGACACCTGAGACCCCTGAAGAGACCATTGAACAATGGTGGGAAATTAGGACCCTATCTGTCCACAAATCACTGAACACCTCTTCCTTCTCTCTCCTAGGTGTTTGGGAAAATTGCCCTGAATGATACCACAGAGATCAACCGGAACAACAACTTTCAGACCTTCCCCCAGGCCGTGCTGCTCCTCTTCAGGTGGGTCCCTGAAGACATAGGTGCACAGATACACACACACCTGCATGGTGCCACACTGTGGCCTGGTGGTAGAATGAAAGGGAACTGCTTCCCGGGGAGTAGGAAGGGAGAGGATGTGTTGCTTGCTCTCTGCCTGACAAGGAGGCCAGTGGGTCCATTGTCATTTATGATAACTTTCCACAGAGCAACCCACTATGCACTGGCACACCTGCTGGAAACCAGACAAAACCATTAGGGGAGCAAAAGTCACATGCTAAAAGCAGCCTGGCTTGGAATCTGAACAGGCCCAAAGCCAACCTGCCGACACGCTTTGTGACCTTGAGTGAGATATCTAACTTCTCTGAACCTCAGTTTTCTTGTCCAATAAGTACAGATATCTATCACTATACCAGCACCTGTGCCATTTGCCGTGCTGGGCGCTTATGTCCACATGCACTGGGCGTCATCCTCACTTAATCCTCAACACAATACTAGCAAACTGAATCCAATAGTACATGAGAAAGATGATACATCATGATCAAGTGGGTTTCATTCCAGGGGTGGTTCAACATATGCACATCAATAAATGTAAGACACCATATTAACAGAATGAAGGAAAAAAGACCCACATGATCATCTCAATAGATGCAGAAAAAGCATTTGACAAAATTCAACATCCTTTCATGATAAAAACTCTCAACAAATTAGGCATAGAAGGATGGTACTGCAACACAATAAAGGCCACGTATGACAAGGCCACAGCTAACATCATACTTAGTGGTGAAAAGTTGAAAGCTTTTCCTTTAAGATGAGGAACAAGACAAAGATGCCCACTCTCACCACTTCTATTCAACATAATAATACTGGAAGTCCTAGCCAGAGCAATTAAGCAAGTTTTAAAAAGTTATCCAAATAGGAAAGGAAGAAGTGAAATTTTCTCTGTTTGCTGATAACATGATCTTATATATAGAAAATCCTAAAGACCACCAAAATCTATTACAACTGATAAACTAATTCAGTAAAGTTGCAGGACACAAAATCAACCCACAAAAATGAGTAGCATTTATTTACACTAACAATGAACTATCTGAAAGAGAAATTAAGAAATCAGTCCCTTTTACAATAGCATCAAAAAACTAAAATAAAATACTTAGGAATAAATTTAATGATCTAAACTGAGAACTCATAAAACATTGATAAAAGAAATAGTTGGTGACACAAATAAATGGAAAGATATCTTGTGTTCATGGATTGGAATAATTAATATTGTTAAAATGACCATACTACCCAAAGCAATCTACAAATTCAATGCAATTGCTATCAAAATGCCAATGTCATTTTTTATGGAAATGGAAAAAACAATCCTAAAATTCATATGGAACCACAAAAGACCCTGAATAGCCAAAGCAATCTTGAGCAAGAAGAACAAAGCTGGAGGCACCACAATGCATGATATAAAAATCTGTTACAAAGCTACAGTAACCAAAACAGCATGGTACTGGCATAAAAACGGACACATAGAGCAATGGCTCAGGAGAGAAACCTGAGAAATAAACCCACTCATTTACAGCCAGTTGATTTTCGACAAAGGTGCCAAGAACACACAGTGGAGAAAGAACAGCCTTGTTAATAAATAGTGTTGCCAAAGAGGAAAAAGGGAATTACTTTCAAAATCATCATTAGCATTAGACTTCTCATTAACAAAAGTATATATGTAATAGAAGACAATGGAATAATATGTTCAAAATTATGAGGAAAAATGTATTTTTGAATCTGGCCCTCTAAATACAGTCTAATCAGCATTCCAGTAGTCAAGCAAAATAGAGACATTTCCAAGTGTTTAAGGACCCATAAAGTTTACTCCCCAACATAAGTCTTCCCTGGAGCAATTACTCAGGCTGTACTTCCACAGAATGAAAAATGAATCAAAGAAATAGAATGAGCAGAGTAATGATATGAGTAAAAAATAATGAAGTTTATAGTTATGAGTTATGAACAAGGACATTATAAAGTTTATATAAAGTCTAGATACTTGTTAAGGGGAAAATGTACAAAACCTTAATGACAATTTGGAAGTAATATTTTATGTTATCTCTACAAGGTAGGAAGTGAGGTGGTAGAAGAATGAGAAACATGAAACCATGCTAAGATTCTTCTCTTGTTTGGGGATAAGAGTATATACTGTTTAATTCTGTACATAACTAAGGGAAAAGTGTGTATACATATATATGTTAAAGATTTAAAGGTCAATCACTAAAAAAATAGAAATGGAATGTATATATTCTAAACCACTAGAGGAAAAAAATGGATGGATAAAACTTAGCAATCCATCAAAAGGAAGCTAAAGTAAAAGTAGAAAAATAAATAAAACATGGAAATTAGAATAATAAAATGAGATGGCAGGAATAAGAACAAAGATAATAATTGCTAAACTTATTGAGGTAAAGTTCACTATTAAAACATAGATACTCTGATGTTGGCTTTAAGAAATCTAGCTCTAGCCTGTTTATAACAGCTACAGTAAAACAAAATGGCCTAAAGAAAATGCAAATAAAAGGATGGAAAAACGAATACCATGTAAGGCTCACAATGTAGACGTAATAATAGCAGTAGCAGAAGAAATAGAATTCCAGGTGAAAGGCATTAAACAAGACAAAGAGGGATTTTATATTGATAAAAGGTATAATCCATCAAAAATATATAATAGTCATAAAACTACATGAGCCTAACAATATAGTTTGGAAATGTATCAATTACATACCAATAGAAGTATAAGGAGAACACACACACACACACACAGTGGAAGATTTAATACAGGTAGAGCATGACAGACCAAATAGACCAAAATAGAAAAAAGGGTAAAGAATATCTAAATAATACAATTAACAGACTTGAACTTATCGAGTTATACTCAGTAAATGGCCAAAAAAAACACATTCTTTTTAAACACCTCAGAAACATTCACAAAAATTAGCCAAGATTTAAGTCACAAAGAATTTAACAAATTCTACAACTGCCCCTACTTTGATATAGCCAAATTAGAAATTAGCCATAAAAACAAAAACCCCTCCAAAATCTACTTAAAAATTTGGCACTCTTCTTAGTAACTCAAAGCTGAAACTACAATCTACAGTCATGCACCACATGATGACATTTCAGCCAATGACAGACTGCCTAAAATTAAAATGGAGCTGAAAACTTCCTATCACCCAGTGACGCTATAGCATCAAAATGCAGTGCAGTGCCTTACTCAGGTGTTCGTGGTGCTGCCAGTCATAGATAAGTATGGCCCATACAATTATGTACAGTACATAATATTTGATAATGAGAATAAATGACTGTGTCACCGGTTTATGTCTTTACTGCACTATACTTTTATCATTATTTTGCAGTGTACTGCTTCTACTTATTTTTTTTTAAGTTAACCGTAAAACAGCCTTAGGCAGGTCCTGCAGGAGGTATTCCAGAAGAAGGCATTGTTATCATAGGAGATGACAGCTCCATGCATGTTAGTGCCCCTGAAGACCTTCCGATAGGACAAGATGTGGAGGTGGAAGACAGTGATGTTGATGATCCTGACCTTGAGTAGGCCTAGGCTAATGTGTGGGTTTGTGTCTCAGCTTTTAACAAAAAGCTAAAATTAAAAAAAAAAAGTTCAATATTAAAAAAACATAAAATAAGGATATGAAGAAAAATATTCTGCACAGCTGTACAATGTGTATTTTAAGTTGCGTTATTACAAAAGAGTCCAAAAGTTAAAAAAAATTTAAAAGTTTATAAAGTAAAAATGTTACATTAAGCTGAAGTTAATTTATTACTGAAGAAAGAAAAGTACTTTTTATAAATTTGTGTAGCCTAAGTTTATAGTGTTTCTAGTCTCCAGTGGTGTACGGTAGCGTGCAGTCATGTCCTAGGCCCTCACAGTCACTCACCACTCACTCACTGCCCCACCCAGAACAACTTTCAGTCCTGCAAGCTCCACTCATGGTATGTGCCCTCTACAGGTGCACCGTATTTAAATATTTTTTACTGTTCCTTTTTTACTGTTCCTATTTTTACTGTTCCTTTTCAGTGTTTAGATATGTTTAGATACACAAATACTTACCATTGTGTTCCAGTTTCCTGCAATATTCAGTACAGTCACATGCTGTATAAGCTTGTAGCCTAGGAGCAGTAGGCTGTACCACAGAGCTGAGGTGTGTAATAGCTACGGCATCTAGGTTTGTGTGAGTCCACTCTATGCTGTTTGCACAACAGAATTGCCTAACCATGCATCTCCCCACTGTTAAGTGACACAGGACTGTACTTAGAAATGAGGGCCAGGGCACCAGATCTTAAACGTATGAGATGCATCAATCAGCACCAAAGAAAAAATTCAGAGCCTGAAATTTATTTATTTATCTAAAAAGCTGTATATTAAATAAGCTAATAGATGGGGAAAAGAATAGTAAAATAATCCCAGAATATGAAGGAATGCATTTTTAAAAATAAAAGCATAAATTAATAAAATATGGATTTTATCAATAAACCCTAAAGCTGATCCTTTGAAAAGACCAATAAACAGACAAACCATCAAATCCAATTTTTTTAAAAAAAAACACAACAACATCAGAAATGCAAAAAGCAACATAATTACAGATGTGGAAGTGATTTTTAGAATGATAAGAGAATTTCATGCCTCTGTTTTGTGGCACTTCAGAGGTGATCATCTACTTCAAGATGAAGCAGAAAGTCTCCTTCCCAGCCAGTGGCTGCCAGAAACTCATTGAAGTGGACAGTGAATGCAAACCATACCTTTTATGAGAAGCATATGGCCTCAGAAGTCGCTGGTGCCACTCTGGGTGAAGAATGGAAGGCTTATGTGGGTGGAATCAATGGTACAAATGACAAGCGAGGTTTCCCTATGAAGCAGTGTGTCCTGACCTGTGGTTGTGTCCACCTGCTACTGCATACGGGGCATTCTGTTATAGACCAAGGAGAACTGCAGAAGGAAAGCACAGATTGTTCAGAGTTGCATTGTGGGTGCCAGTCTGACTTCTTAATTTGGTTTTTGTACAAAAAGATGGGGGGGAGAGAAAGATATTTCTAGACTGACTGATACTACTGTGCCTTTTCACCTGGGGTCCAAAAGAGATGGCACGGTCCGATAACTTTTCATTCTCCATAAAGATGATGTCCATCAGTGAGTAAACCCCTAAACAAAGGATGTCAGGAACCCAGGACCAAAGCACCCAAGACTCGGCATCTTCTTACTCCACATGTCCTGCAACACAAATGCTGACGTATTGCTCTGAAGAAACAGAACACTAAAAAAAAAAATAAGTAAGGCCCGGTGCGGTGGCTCACACCTGTAATCCTAGCACTTTGGAAAGCCGAGGCAGGTGGATCATGAGGTCAGGAGTTCGAGACCAGCCTGGCCAAGATGGTGAAACCCCATCTCTACTAAAAATACAAAAATTAGCCAGGCACGGTGGCGGGCACCTGTAATCCCAGCTACTCGGGAGGCTGAGGCAGGAGAATTGCTTGAACCCGGGAGGTGGAGGTTGCAGTGAGCCGAGATTGTTCCACTACACTCTAGCCTGGGCGACAGAGCAAGACTCTGTCTCCAAATAAATAAATATAAGGAAGAGGTTAAACAATATGCTAAACTTTTGGCCAAGAGAATGAAGGAGACCAAAGAAAAATGCCAGGAACAGATTTCCAAGACATGGAGGCTATGCTCACTGAGAGCTTCTGAGTCTATCAAAAATAAGATTTTCACCAGGCATGGCAGCTCACACCTGTAATCTCAACAACTTGGGAGGCTGAGGTGGGAGGATCAGTTAAGACCAGGAGTATGAGACCAGCCTGAGCAACACAGCAAAACCCCATCTCTAAAAATAAAAAATAAAAATATTAGCCAGGTGTGGTGCCATGTGCCTGTAGTCCCAGCTACTTGAGAAGCTGTAGCGGGAGGATCACTTGGGCCCAGGAGTTTGAGGTTACAGTGAGCTAAGATGGCTCCACTGCACTCCAGCCTGGGTGATGAAGTGACATCCCATCTCTAAACACATACACACACATACACACACACACACACACACACACACACACACACAAGATTTTTCTAAGAGTAGCAGACAAATAATATCAGACTTTTAAAAAGAAGACAGAGAACATCATGAACAAATATGCAAATATATTTGAAAACCTAAATGAAGCAGACGCTTTTATGTAGAAAATAAGAATTATAAAATTATCTTAAGAATTAAAAAAAAACAACTACAACAGAAATTGAAAAGGTAGTTGAAAATTTAGCCTTTGAAAAGGCCCAAGGTTCAATATTTTTATTTGTGAGGTCTACCAGACTATCAAGGAGTGGATCATTCCAATGTTATATAAACTTTCCAGGAACAGAAAGATGTAGAAAACCTCTTCACCCACTCCATAAGACTAATATAAAGCTAATGCCAATGAGAAAAAGAGAAAAAAGCAAGCAGTTATAAATATGAAAATATGTACACATAATTGTCATTGTTTGCAGACAACAGGCTAATTCAAGTAGAAAATCCATGCAAATTAACTAAAAACCCTTTAGGACAATAGAATTAATAAAGTGGAAGATTAAAAGATTAACAAAGAAAAATAATTGCTTTCCTGTACTGGTAATAACTAATTAGTAAATGTAATAGACAAGATCTTATGCTATCACTTTTTCAATGTTATTATTTTGTAACTCTTACCCAATAAAATAAGACAGGAAAGGCCGGGCGCAGTGGCTCACGCCTGTAATCCCAGCACTTCGGGAGGCCAAGGCGGGTGGATCACGAGGTCAGGAGATCGAGACCATCCTGGCTAACACCGTGAAACCCCGTCTCTACTAAAAATACAAAAAATTAGCCGGGCGTGGTAGCAGGCGCCTGTAGTCCCAGCTACTCAGGAGGCTAAGGTGGGAGAATCTCTTGAACCCAGGAGATGGAGGTTGCAGTGAGCCAAGATTGCGCCACTGCACTGCAGTCTGGGGGACAGAGAAAGACCCCATCTCAAAAAAAAAAAACAAGACAGGAAAAATAAATCAAAGGATAAGAATTGGAGAGGAAGAAACAAAATTAAATGCCAAAAAAGTTGATTGCCTGTGTATATATACAAGAAAAATTACAGAAAATTGCTAAAACTGATAGGATAGTTTAGCAAATATTCTGTAATATGAAATCAATTGTATTCCCTCTATATCAGCAGCAAATGGACATAGCTTTTAAAATATAATGTTGAAACTATACCATTTTAAATGTACAACAAAATAAAAGGAGAGAGATGCCACGTTTCTGGCCAGGAGACTTAATATCATAAAGATGTCAGGATTCTGCAAATGAATTGACATCTCAGTGCAATTCTAATAAGACTCCCAACAGGATTATTCACAGAGGCTGAAACTGATTCTACAGTGTCTATGGAATAGAAAAGGAAACTGAATAGCCAAGACAAATGTTGAAGAACAACAGGTTGGCAGGACTCCTGCACTGTGAGAGGGCAGGACTTACTATAAGGCAACTTACTATGCAGACAACACAGTACTTCTGTACCAAGATAAACAAATAAACCTGAGGAATGCAATGACAAGGCTAGAACAAGACCCACACATCTACGCAAATACAACTTACGGCAGAAGAAATATTTCAATTAAGTAGGTGAAGATGTACTATTCAATAAATAGTATTAACAAAATGACTTATCTATGCAGAAAAAATAAAAGCATATTTCTACCTCATATCAAACATGAAAATAAATTTCAGGTCAATAAGTTATTGCGGAAAAACAAAACTTTAGAACCTTTAGAAGAACACAGAAAAGAATGTCTTTATGACCTAAAATAGAGAAAGATTTTTTAAACGTGATGCAAAAAGCACAGAACATAGAGGAAAAAACTATAAATTTGACCTCATTGAAATAAAAAACTTAGATTCACCAAAATACACCGTAAATAATACCAGAGACAACCCACAAATTGGAAGAAGATATTTCTGTTGCATATAACTAACAAAGGGTTAAGAATAGACACGAAACCACCATGAGACTCCACCTTCCTCCTGCAAGAATGGCTGCAATTTAAAAAATAAAAAATAATAGATGTTGGCATGGATGTGGTGGAAAGGGAACACTTTTACCCCGCTGGTGGGAATGTGAACTAGTACAGCCACTATGGAAAACAGTATGAAGATTCCTTAAAGAACTAAAAGTAGACCTACCATTCCATCCAGCAGTCCCACTCCTGGGTATCCACCCAGAGGAAAAGAAGTCATTATGTGAAAGAGACACCTGCACACACACATTTATAGCAGCACCATTTGCAAAATGATGTAATGGACTTTGGGGACTCGGAGAAGGGCAGGAGGATGGTAGGGATCAAAGACGACTGCTTGGGTGATGGGTGCAGCGAAATGTCAGAGATCACCACTGAAGGGCTTGTCCGTGTAAGCAAAAACCACCTGTTCCCAAAAAACTATTGGAAATTTTAAAAAAGAATAGAGAATAGAGTATCTTTTTTTTTTTTTTTTTTTTTTTTGAGACGGAGTCTCGCTCTGTCGCCCAGGCTGGAGTACAGTGGTGTGATCTCGGCTCACTGCAAACTCCGCCTCCCGGGTTCACGCCATTCTCCTGCCTCAGCTTCCCAAGTAGCTGGGACTACAGGCGCCCACCACCGCGCCCGGCTAATTTTTGTATTTTTAGTAGAGACGAGGCTTCACCATGTTAGCCAGGATGGTCTCCATCTCCTGACCTCGTGATCCGCCCACCTCGGCCTCCCAAAGTGCTGGGATTACAGGCGTGAGCCACCGCGCCCGGCCAGAGAATAGAGTATCTTAAGCACCCTACAAACGAACAAGAAGACAACCTGAATCAAACAAGCAAAAACATGAACATGCAATTTAATGGAAGATAAAATTTAAGTTCTCAACCCACTAATCATTTTATAACCAAATTAAAACAGCAGTGACATATTATCTCACACAAATTATATGAGCAACATTTAAAACAATTCACTAATGAACTGATGAGTTTGTACAGTAGTGTTATTTCTCCTACACTGGTAATAGGAGTCTAAGTTGGACAAATCCTTGGAGGTCATGGAATATCTAGTAAAAATAAAGATGCATGTAGTTTAACTGGCAATTCCACTTCTAAGTGGATACCCAAGATATAAATCTGCATGTTTATTGCAGTGTTATTTGTACTAGTAAAAGAAAAAATGAAAAACCTAAATGTTCCTTAACAGGACAGTGGATTTTTTTACGGTAAGTTCATAGAGCATACTCCTGTACAGCAGTTAAGGTGAATGAACTGGAACTAAAATACATCCAAAGGGCTAAGTCTCAAAAACATCACATGGATTGCAAAAACAGCAAGTTTTCGGAAAAGGTGCAATTTGTTACTGTTTATATAAAATTTTAATAATGCTATGTGTTTCATATTTAGCAAATATATCAGAGCATTCAGGGAATGATGAACATCAAGTTCATTTTAGTAACTCCCTCTGGGGAAGGAGGAAAGGGACAGGTGGGGAGGGATGCAGAGGGCCCTCCTTGGCATCTGTAGGATGGGCTGCATGAACGTGGCTCTCCCTCCCCTCCAGGTGTGCCACCGGGGAGGCCTGGCAGGACATCATGCTGGCCTGCATGCCAGGCAAGAAGTGTGCCCCAGAGTCCGAGCCCAGCAACAGCACGGAGGGTGAAACACCCTGTGGTAGCAGCTTTGCTGTCTTCTACTTCATCAGCTTCTACATGCTCTGTGCCTTCCTGGTAAGCCAAGGGGGAACTCAACAGCCAGCAGCCATGACTGCCCAGTTCCAGGGCAGTCTGAACCGTCCATCTCTGCAGCTCATGGTCAGGGCAACCCTATCAGAGGAGCTGGCTTGGGAAGACTAAGTTGGCAGGAGTGTCCAGCCACATGGAGAGAAAGGCAGAAAGCCCTGGGCCAGAGTGAGCTCCACCAGCATCTTGCTTGTCTGTTCTTGGCTGTTGTCATGGTGGCATTGTCCCAGAGGACAACGGGGACATGTGGGGGCCTAGAAAGAACTGTACTTTTTTGGCATCTTGCTGAGGAGTGAGGAAAAGGGGATAAAGTCCCCCTCTGTCCTGCACAGCCCTGCCCAGCAGCTCGGTAGGAGGGAAGCTGTCCAGCCCACCTGTGGGTTCATCACACACAACTCTCAGGGAAACTGTGTCAAGTTTATGTCCAAGAGACCCAGGTTCTCAGGCTGGTAGGATGGATGACTGGTCTTTAGAAATGTTGGCTTCTGCCATCAGTAGGCCCCAGCTGGCAAGGGGGTTCCAGAGGCAGGTGTGTAGGAAGGTCTTCTCACAGCACCTCATTGTACTGTTCCCCACAGATCATCAACCTCTTTGTAGCTGTCATCATGGACAACTTTGACTACCTGACAAGGGACTGGTCCATCCTTGGTCCCCACCACCTGGATGAGTTTAAAAGAATCTGGGCAGAGTATGACCCTGAAGCCAAGTAAGTTCCCAGAGGGAAATCCTGATTCCCCAAGCTGAGAGAGGGTATAGCTGACCATACCTGCAGGAGGGGCTCAAGGTTGGCCAACACTGGGTGGATCAATTAGAAACACTGGATTGTATCACACCCTAGGGTGAAAGGTCAAGGGCCAGCAGGAGGAGGCCCGGCACCTTCAATTAAGTCAAGAATGTATCTACTAGGTTGGGTGGGGTGGCTCACACCTGTAATCCCAGCATTTTAGAAGGCAAAGGTGGTTGAATCACTCGAGGCCAGGAGTTCAAGACCAGCCTGGCCAACACAGTGAACCCCATCTCTACTAAAAATACAAAAATTAGCCGGACATGGTGGCACATGCCTATAATCCCAGCTACTCAGGAGGCCAAGGCATGAGAATTGCCTGAACCTGGGAGGTGGAGGTTGCAGCGAGCTGAGATCACACCACTGCACTCCAGCCTGGGCGACAGAGCAAGACTCCATCTAAAAAAGAAAAAGAAAATAATATATCTACTATATTCAGTTGAATGGAAGGATAGGAAATTCTAGTATCAGGAATAACTAGTAAGTGCTCAAGTTAGGATAGGTAGGGCCGGGGAAAATCTTGATTCCATTCCCGCTTCTGGTCTAAAGATCAATCACATTCGGCTGACCCTCAGTAAATACCTTTTGGTCAGAAGGTTAGTTCATTCAATCAGCAAGTATATATTGAGAATTTTGTTGCACTGCTAAAATCCCTTCCACCTTGAACATAGCATGGGCAGAAAATGATTCATTAAAATCTAAACACGTGTATATGTATATTGGTTTGGGGCTGTGTCATGCAATTCTGCAACTCTGTACTGAGTGTGACTAATAGGGCTACCACACTGTGCAGTGTTGCCCATATGAGTGGGCCCTACCCCTCAGGCGCATGCGTCCTGGGCTGCTGGCAGAGACCGTGGCTCTCTGATGCCCTGTCCCTCCTCTCCCTCCTCTTCTAGGGGTCGTATCAAACACCTGGATGTGGTGACCCTCCTCCGGCGGATTCAGCCGCCACTAGGTTTTGGGAAGCTGTGCCCTCACCGCGTGGCTTGCAAAGTAAGAGATAACGGGGTTCATGGGAGGGAGAGGGAAAATAGGGGAAGTGAAGTGCCCATTTCTTGTGATCCTTTAAGGGAATGAACATACTAGTTTATGTGCCTAAAGATTACATTTTAAGGGTCCTTCCAGCTCTAAATTCTCAGACTCTATGAGGGAATAACAGAGTGAATGCCTCCTGTCCTACTGAGCCAGGGACCCAGTCCTGGATAAAGGACTTGTTCAGTCCATCCCACTGCACCATCCGGGCATCCTGGGGTGGGAGACTTCCCAGCCTAGGCTAGAGGGGTTCGGCGTTCTTTTCCTGGAGTTGGAAGGCCATTAGAAAGCCCAGGCATTGACTTCAGGGGTCTTTGAGTCCTAAAATTTTTCATAAAATCACTAAAATACAAAGTTTACCAGGGAGAGGATTTCTCACTTTAATCAGATTCCTTAGTGAGACCATGACCCAAAAAAAAAGTGTCGTTTCCTTTTCTCCCTCCCCTCCACCATGGCCACTCCACGCTCCTTTTCTCCCTCCTCTCCACCGTGGCCATTCCGTGCTCCTTGTTGGGGCAATAATGAGCTGACAGAGAGCTGGGGGAAGGGAGACCAGAGGGCTGGAGAGAGGAGGAAACTCAGATGGCAGGAGGATTCGGCTCTGTGAGAATCCACTCATGGAAAACGCAGATTGAGGGAACATAGAACCTTCTACTTGTGCTCTGTTTACTGAGTTTCTTCTCATTTGTGCCTCCACTTTGCTCCAAAAACAAACAAACAACAACAACAACAAAAACAGATTTTAAGAGATTTCCAAGGGCATAGAAAATATCAGAAAAGAGCATAAAATAAATGCAAGGTACAAACACCATGCAAGGCAAGGGTGGGGAGGGGTGCAGCCTGGAGGGGGCTAAAGTGCGTCCGTTGTGGCCTCCGGACGGGCCTGGGCAGGCTGAAGCCTGGGTGCGAAACTTTCCGGTGGCCAAGATACAGTTCACACCGTCCATGAGGCTCATCAAGATCTGGTCACTCAGGAGAAGTGTAACCCTTCTAGACACTGAGATTAGCAGGAGGTCACCGTGTGAGCTGACAAATAGCCCCCCTTGAGCATGCCCTTGGCATGGACGCTGTGGTGAGCTTCACACCGCGCTTGCTCGTCATGACCCATTGCATGCTGAAGGCCCCACACCAGAGCTCCGTGCCAGGGAAGCCTGTTCTGGGGGTGTGTGCTGGGAAAGAAGAGGGCAAGACAGCACTATCCAGTGTCAGCAAGCTTCTGCTCCAACTTGATGCAGAAGCATATTTGTCAATACACAGAGAGGACATGTAGCATCTCCTGCAGGCAAAGCTCCTGTGATCCTTTCTCTTCTCTGGGCTGTGGACGAATGCTGCCTGGCAGGTGGGCTCCCAGCACATGCTGGCGTACAGCCGGTCTTTGCTGCCAGTGGAGAGCACACCTGCACGCCTGAGCAGACTTTCGAGCAGGGCGCAAAGTTGGGTGGCCTTCACATCCTTTTGTGGAAGTGAAGGTCTAATGAGGACAAATTTCATACCTCTCCCACTCCACGAGGAGGGTCAAAAGTAGTTGTGGCAAAGGCAAGATTCTCCCTGGAATGCTTCAGGGAGCATTCACTCCCTGCCCACTCCAGCAACACCCACACAAGCTGCGTGTCACCCCCAGCATCCTCTGTGTATTAGGCCATCCTTGCACTGCTGTAAAGAAATACCTGAGACTGGGTAATTTATAAGAAAACAGGTTTAATTGGCCCACAGTTCAGCAGGCTGTACAGGAAGCATGGCACTAGCATTCTGCTTCTGGGGAGGCCTCAGGAAGCTTCCAATCAATCATGGTGGAAGGCAAAGGGGAGGCAGGTACGTCACATGGACAGACAGGGAGCAAGAGAGAAGGGGGAGGGACCACACACTTACTTAAACAAGCAGATCTCATGAGTACTCACTCACCAAGGGGATGGTACCAAACCATTTATGAGAAATCCACCCCATGATGCAATCACCTTCCATCAGGCCCCACCTCCAATTCTGGGGATTACAATTCAACATGAGATTTGGGCGAGGACACAGAGCCAAACCATATCACTCTGCCACGGTGTTCTGCGGTCCCCTAAGCACCGCCTGCCATCATCACCAGCTTTGCTTCTCTTCGCCTGCAGCGCCTGGTCTCCATGAACATGCCTCTGAACAGCGACGGGACAGTCATGTTCAATGCCACCCTGTTTGCCCTGGTCAGGACGGCCCTGAGGATCAAAACAGAAGGTAAGGTCGCCCGTGGGCACTGGGAGAGACACTCAGAAGGTCTAGCAGACAATCAGAGAGGAGCTCGGCAGCCTGCAAAGTGCTCAAGGGAACTTCCTGCCCCAGACAGCATCCGAGCTGGGATACGGGGGTAACGTGCGCTCCAGGACATCGCAGGGCCCCAGCCTGCTCATGACTTCTTTGCTCCTGAATGGTCTCCCTGCCTCTAGCTCAGGGGTTTCCAATCTTTTGGCTTCTCTGGGCCACATTGGAAGAATTGTCTTGGGCCACACATAAAATACACTAACGATAGCTGATGAACTGAAAAAAAAAATTGCAAAATACTCAATGTTTTAAGAAAGTTTACGAATATGTGTTGGGCCACATTCAAAGCCGTCCTGGGCCGCATGTGGCCCATGGGCTGCAGGTTAGACAAGCCTGCTCTAGCTTATTCATTTTGAACTCTAGCTTTCCATGAAACTCTGGGACTCATTCTGGGTGGTATCTTGAAGTCAGAGGGTATAGCTCACAAAACAGAAGGAGACGGGTGTTACCTGAAGCAGGACCAACCCCTGTCTAAAAGAACTTACACTGGCTACAGGTGGGTGTCTCAAATGCTCAACTCATTAAATTAATAGGACTGTGCTGGGAAGACGTGTGGGAAAGGGGACACAGTGACAAGTGGTGGCCGTGGTGGAGGTCATCGCACACATTGTGCGGGCTGAGCCTGGCTTAAGGCTCTTAGCCAGCGGACAGGTGAGGATTCAGACCTCACCTGTGCCACCTAGTCAGACCGGGCTCCCTCAGGGCTGCGTCCACCTGGAGGGGCCCTTCTAGTTTTCACAAGGCACCCTAAGGGCTAGCAGCAGCCTGAGTGAGATAATCTGCTTGCTTTATGATGGATAAGAGTTTGCGAACCACTATGGGAAAGGCTGTATTAAACACACCTAACAAGATACCATTTCTCTCCAAGAGTGTCCAGCCTTGGAGTGTCTAGTGTTTCTTAGAGCGTGGTCAAAAGACCACCGCTGCAGAATCAGCTTTGGGTACCTGTTTAAGCTACTGAGTCCCAGGCACCCACACAGACCTGCTGATGCCAAATCCCTGAGCATGGGGCCCAGGAATCTGCATCTTGAACCAACTACAGAGATGATTCAAACCCACTGGTGTAGTAATTACAGAAAACACAGATGAGACAAGCAGTATGCTTCCTTCCCCTTCCTACACTTCCAGCTTAAAGCTCAGGCTGTCCGTCAGTGTGTTCCTCGGGGCAACAGAAGGAGCCCCGGGCAGGTGGGAGGCTCGAATCCGAGTCCCTGCTCTCTCACTAATGACATGAGTATGAGCCATTTACTCTCTCTCTACTTCAGTTGCTCCATTGGTAGACTAGAGAAAGGTGATGACATCTGGGAATTTAATTCATTGAATAACCCAGACATGGGCCTTCTCTCCGTTAGATCCTTCAAAAACAATAACAGAAACATTTCAAATGAAGTGAAACAAGAACCAGTCCACCAAGACACAAGTCAAAATAATTAGCTGATTTTTAAAAAATAAAAATAGGGGCCAGGCGTGCTGGCTCGTGCCTGTAATTCCAGCACTTTGAGAGGCCCAGTCGGGCAGATCCCGAGGTCAGGAGATTGAGACCATCCTGGCCAACATGGTGAAACCTCGTCTCTACTAAAAATACAAAAATTAGCCGGGCGTGGTGGCACGTGCCTGTAATCCCAGCTACTCAGGAGGCTGAGGCAGGAGAATCGCTTGAACCTGGGAGGCAGAGGTTGCAGTGAGCCGAGATCACCCCACTCTAGCCTGGGCGACAGAGTGAGGCTCCATCTGAAAAAATAAAATAAAATAATAAAAATAGGACAAGTTCTGCTACTAAATTAAAAAAAAAAAAAAGAGCAAAGGCTTAAAAAATATACCATCAGTAGCCAATGCAATCACTCAATCTGAAATGGGTGTAAATAGGCCTATTTCTGACTGCCAGAAAACCAAAACACACTTTTTTTTTTTTTTTAAATGGAATCTCGCTCTGTCGCCAGGCTGGAGTGCAGTGGCACAATCTCGGCCTGCTGCAACCTCTGACTCCCTAGTTCAAGCCATTCTCCTGCCTCAGCCTCTCAAGTAGCTGGGATTACAGGCACGTGCCACCACGCCCGGCTAATTTTTGTATTTTTAGTAGAGACAGGGTTTCACCATGTTGGCCAGGATGGTCTCAATCTCCTGACCTTGTGATCTGCCCGACTGGGCCTCCCAAAGTGCTGGGATGACAGGCATGAGCCACCGCGCCCGGCCAAAACACACATTTAATTCACACATATGTGTGTATAACAAGGAAGAAAACTGGGAAGGAAATG
This sequence comes from Homo sapiens, assembly GCF_000001405.40. Classification (NCBI taxonomy): domain Eukaryota; kingdom Metazoa; phylum Chordata; class Mammalia; order Primates; family Hominidae; genus Homo; species Homo sapiens. Next base: position 1,019,491 of record NW_018654718.1, read on the forward strand.
TGTTCGTATGCTAACACTGATTATCATGAGTAGAAAGATCAGCAGTGACATCCACCTTACTCCTTTAGTTTTTTTACTTTCCAAATGTTCTGCAAGGAATGTTACTCCCCTATGTTCAGAGGGAAGGAGAGGCGATATAAATGACTGCCAGGAGGAATATGCTGTAATACTTAAAGATTGATGTAAATTAAGGATGTGAGATTTTGTTCCCTAGAGGAACAAAAGGCAGGGAGGTATGGAAGCAAGAATTCAGCAGGGTCGAAGGTTCACTGTCAAAGCCAACCACATGCCAACTAAGGAAGACCAATAGCTAGTAACAATGCGAAAGACTGACCAGTCAAATGCAGGGACCCAATTCTGAGGAAATAAGAGTTCCAGAGAAAAGAGGAGAAGCCAGCCATGTGGGAACTACAATCCTGTCAAGAATTACAGACTATCTTTTAAACACAAAGACATTTCAGAACAGCTACCAAAGGGCCCGAAACGCCCCCACCCAAGGGTGAGCCTTCATCAGACATGGGCCCTCCATAAACTTGTTAAAATCGAAACGCCCCCACCCAAGGGTGAGCCTTCATCAGACACGGGCCCTCCACAAACTTGTTAAAATCCTAAGAAAGAAAGACAAAGTCAAGTCTTGGAAGCAACTAGAAAGAAATGTGAGAAGACATCTACATTTGTGAAGATGAGGCTTGCATCAGTCCTCACCCTTCAGACTTCTCAGCGTGGAAGGAATTGGGGCGAAATTAACACCTACCTCAGAGAAGCAGAGCTGTCATCCCAAGTCCAGTACCAAGCCAAAGAAGCTTCTCTCTTGGAACGTAGAAGGAAGAGCTCTCATCCCAAGTCCAGTACCAAGCCAAACAAGCTTCTCTCTTGGAACATAAAAGGAAGATAGTGAAAAATACTTAGATGACATGAAACAATTGTCGGTGAACTTCAACAATTACATAGACCATCATGAGAATAAATTAAGGCTGATAAAAAAAAATGAAAGGTCCTTTTGGAAACTATGTTAATTTCTTAGGTCTGCTGTAACAAATGATCACAAACTGGGCAGCTGGAAACAAGAGAAAGTTCTCTCAGTTTAGGAGACCAGAGACCTAAAACTAAGGTGTCAGCAGAGTTGGTTCTTTCTGGAGGCTCTGGGGAGAGTCTGTTCCACCCTTTCTCCCAGATTCTGAGGGCTGTGGATGATGCCTGGTGTGCACTGGCTCACAGCACATCACGCCATCTGTGCCTCCATCTTCAAATAGCCTCCAGGGTCTTGTGTCCTCTCCTCTTCTTGGAAGGACACCAGCCACATTGGACTTAGGGCCCACCCTCATCCAGGATGACCTCACCTTAACTAATTACATTGGTGAAAATCCTATTTCCAACTAAGGCCACATTCTGAGGTTCTAGGCAGACATGAATTTTGGGAGGACACTATTCAGCCCAGTACCGAAGCTAAGTATATTTGAATACCATGTGTGTTAGGATCTTGCACTGCGTGTGTCAGAAACCTCCAGCTACCTCTCCCGTGATGGGGACTGATCATCTGTGCAGCTGGAAGGCCCAGGAGTCGTCCCCTGCCTTCAGGTCCTGTTTGGATCTGGCATTTGGGGAGCTCGGGATTCCGTCAATCCCTCTACTGCCACCTCTGCATGCTCTGCCCTGTGGCCCCAGAGGTGGATTTGAACCCAGGCAGTCTGACACAAGAGCCCTCAACCACAATACTGGACTGCCGGTCCTATGCGAGAGCAGTAAACATCCCGTGTTGGTTTCCTACTGCTGCAAAGCAAATTACTACAAGCTTTTCAGCTTAAAAAGACACCCCGTTGGCTGGGCACGGTGGCTCACACATGTAATCCCAGCACTTTGGGAGGCTGAGGCAGGTAGATTACCTGAGGTTGGGAGTTCGAGACCAACATGGAGAAACCCCATCTCTACTAAAAATATAAAATTAGCTGGGCATGGTGGCCCATGCCTGTAATCCCAGCTACTTGGGAGGCTGAGGCAGGAGAATCACTTGAACCCAGGAGGTGGAGGTTGCAGTGAGCCAAGATCGCGCCATTGCACTCCAGCCTGGGCAACAAGAGCAAACTTCCGTCTAAAAAAAAAAAAAAAAAAAGACACCCCGTTAGTAGCTCATGGTTTTGCAGGTCAGAAGTCCAGCAGTGGTGAAGCTGGGCTTTCATAAGGCAAATCCAGGATATTGATCAGGCCATGGTCTCTTCTGGAGGCTCTGGGGGAGATCATGTTGTTGGTGGAATTCATTTGTTGCAATTGTAGGCCTGAGATCCTCACTTTCCTGCTGGCTGACAGCTGGGGACCCCCTCTGCTCCTAGAGGCTGCCTCTCTCAGTTCAGCCCACATGACTGTTTGCTTTCTTCCAGGCCGGCTGGAGAGAACTCTGCCTTTAAAGGGCTCATGTGACTAGGTCAGGCCTGCCTAACCTCCCTGTCTTAGGTCATAGGTGCCGTGTGCCATATAACCTAATCTCAGGAGTAAAATCTATGATGGTCAGGGGCCCAGGGCTTTGGCAGCATGTGTACCCTGATGAGGAGCATCTTAGAATCCTGTCCCCTACATCTGCCCTTACAGCTGTAAGGCTCAGCTTTCCTTTTTCATCACTGTAAGGCTAGGACCCCAGAGGCTGCATAAGGCAGGCATCTAAGTAGGGGAACTCGGGACAGAGCCCTCATCGACAGATGTACCCTCCAATCATCCATGTTCCCTGTGACTGCCGAAGGAGGTCCATGAGAAATGCCACCCATGGGGACCAGCCCCCCACTGCCCGTGGCAGGGCCATACGTGTTCCAGCTGGTGAGCGCATGGCCGCCATTGTTCCTGCCCAGGGGCTGGGCTCAGTCTACAAGGAAGAGCACTGAGTGCCGGTGGAGGGGCCCCCTGGCTGGCCTGAGCCACAGGCAGGGGGAAGGGGACAGGAATGGCATTGGACGGGGCACAAGAGGGAAGGGGGAAGGAAGGAAGGTGGACAGAGGAAGGGGAAGAGGAAGGAGGTGGAAAATGGGAAGACTGGGGAGAAGTGAAGCAAGCAAGAAAGAAACTGATGAGTCAGGGTTGCGTGGGGCAGATGCCACCATCTGTGGCTTCCTACCTTACGCAGAGGGACCCAGCCCATCAGAGGCCCACCAAGGGGCTGAGGATCCTTTCCGCCCTGCAGGGAACCTAGAACAAGCCAATGAGGAGCTGCGGGCGATCATCAAGAAGATCTGGAAGCGGACCAGCATGAAGCTGCTGGACCAGGTGGTGCCCCCTGCAGGTGGTGAGTGCTCCCTGGACTCCCGCACCTTGGCCACTGCCTGGCCGTGCCCCCCTCTGCCTGCCTCTCCTCCAGCTGTGGCACCCTTAGAATGCGGAAGCATCCCCTGAGACTTGCTTCTTGAGTCCCCTAGGCTTGCTGGAGGTCTGCCTTCAGACCCTTCCTGTGGGGCTCAGAGGCCCTGTTGGTTAGAAGGGAGGCAGGTGCAACGCCCTGCACAAACTCAGAAACAGAAAGTCAGGTTGGAAATCTGGTACAACCCTGCTTTTTACATAGGGTAACAGGCAAGTCCCTGATGCTTAGGGGTTTGGCAGAACTTCTAAAGAAACTCCACAAAGTATAGGTTTCCCATAAACCTGATTGCTGTAGGATTGCTCTAAGGCCCTCAAACGAGAATCCCCTGAGATTCCTCCCCTCTTGGATGACATTCTTTTTGTTCTTCCAAGAGCAGTGTTTCTTGACCCTATCAAGCCTCAAATCCCTTTTTATAGCAAAGAGTTTATATTGCCTTTACTATGATCCTGAATGAAAATTATAGGTAATATAACTTTCCTATACATATAATTTCCAAAATATTAATATAATGCCTTCACTCTAACATAAAATCTATTAAAAGCAGATGTTTCCAATATGTAAATACTCAGGCATAACTATACCAGCAGGTACATTTAATTGATGAGATCTTCTCATGCACCCACTTACAACACATACGGCTGGGTTCACAGGAAACAAGACAATACTGAATACTGTCAACACTTTGATTTGCCATTTTGAAATAAGGGGTAAATCAGTATATTAAATAAGTGTGTGTATAAATAGCCCCCCACACATAAACACACACACATACTTACACATATGCAGAACAACCGTGATGTGACACTTACGGTGAGTGACCCACACACCCTAAAGAGCATTGCCATCAGGAATACAGTTTTCCAAAATGCGAACCTCTCTTGGCCAAGTTTAAATAATCCAAAGTATAGTTTTCCTCAATTTACACAGCAGTTGTATTCCTGGAAATTGTCAGGTGTGTTAAAACCATGCAAAACAATGTCCTGTGTTCATTTGCAAAATGAAATTATGTTCCGAGCCCAGAGACTCCTAAGCAGAATCATGGATGTGTGGCATAAGCTTGAGAGCCATGCAGAGTGCAAAGCTGTGATTGCAGAACATGCCTGCACTTTAAGGGACAGGTCTGGAGCTACTTAATGCTAGTGGCACCCCCACAGTACCCCGACAACTAAAAACCACCCCACACATTTACTGTGCCCTCCTTAAGAGGCGACACCACTTGTGTTGAGAACCATTTGCCAGAGGGAAAGCCGGATTTGGGCTAAGCGAAAATCTCGCCAGTGCCATGTGATGTTTACATACATCGTTTTATTGAATCCTGACAACATTTCTGTGAAGTTTGCTCAGGGAACTAAAGTTCTTAGAAGCTAAGTTGCTGGCCCAAGGTTACCTGGAGAGTCCACAGCAGATTCAGGATTCAAACCCAGGCCCCAGGGAACCTAGGACTCCAGGTAGGACTCCAGGCTTGTCCCACCATGCAGTTCTTCCTTCCTGACTATGCTGGACAGGGGACCCTGGGTTTTTCCCTCCCACGTGGAAAGGGGGTGCTTGCCAGAGAAGGGAGGGGTCATCACTGCTATGGATGTGGCTATTTTGGAGGGACAGGTAGGAGGAGGAGAACCCTCACCAGCCCCTAGATTTAATCCCCAGCTGTCTCTTGGGCCCGTGGCATCTCTTCACAAAGAACCAGGAGGTAGATCCAAGGGGCTCCTCCCCAGGCATGAAATGTTTCCTCTAAGAACTTATGGCTTCTCCACCATCAGGTTTACTCCCAGGAAAGGGACTGATGATGTCACATATAATCTTGGGTATCCAGCCCAGCAGGGATGCAGCCAAGCCACCTGGCACAAAAACTCAATCGGGTTTGAAAGAAAAATCCAAACTTCCATGGGAAGAAAGCCCTCCTTCCACCAGCCCCTCCCTCCGAGCTAAGCTGAACCGTTTTGCACTTGCACTTGGAAGAGTGGCCAGTTGATGAGGGACATTTGAAGCTCTGGAATCAAATGTATCAGTTCAGTTAAAAAAAAAAAAGCGGGAAATAATTTTGATGGTAGGCTACCTTTTGCATAAAAAAAACAGGAGATAATATGTTTGATGATTTACATAACTAATTTGCACTAAGAATCTCTGAGAAAATACTCAAGAAACTAGATGATCTACAGGAGGTGGTGACTAGGCAGATAAGGGCTGTGGTGGGAGAGACTTTTGACCATAAGCCTTTTTATGGTTTTTTTTCTCTCTTTTTAAGCCATGTGAATGTATTACCTCTCCAAAAATATTAAAGTTTTAAAAAGTTTTGGATGCTGAAAAAAAAAATGAATGAAGTTCAACTGAATTCCCCTGCTCCCCTCTTACCCCCTCTCCCCTCTCCATACGTCTCAGATGATGAGGTCACCGTTGGCAAGTTCTACGCCACGTTCCTGATCCAGGAGTACTTCCGGAAGTTCAAGAAGCGCAAAGAGCAGGGCCTTGTGGGCAAGCCCTCCCAGAGGAACGCGCTGTCTCTGCAGGTGAGGGCCTGGGGGCGGGCCCACACTCCAGGAAGGTCCTGGTCATTGCCTCTGACCTCCAGTCAGGGTCCCGGTCCCTCCCCAGCAGGCTGGAGGCCAGGTCCCTGCAGAGGGAACCTTTCAGAGAGCTCCAGACCTTTCCAAAGATGGCTGTGAGAAGGGGGTGATGTGCCCTTCCCTACCTGCCACCCACCGACTGCCCTCCATGGTTCTGCCTGCTGTCATAGCCCCCAGATCTCTCAAATACTTCACTGAGGCTCCCGTGACAGCCCCTGACCCCTGGTGCCCCGTCCTAATGAGCCTTCATCCCTCCTGGATGGGCGAGTGGATTGTTCCATCAGAGGGCAGCCCAGCCCCCAGTTCACACACACACAAACCTTCCGGAGGGTCGACTGGCTGGGTGGAGGATGCCAGGGCCCTGGAGGGACAGGTCTTGGCCCGAGGCTGTGGCTGGCTGGGGAGCTTGGAGGAAAGGGAGCGTGGTCCTCACCATCCTCCCCTTGGATTCCAGGCTGGCTTGCGCACACTGCATGACATCGGGCCTGAGATCCGACGGGCCATCTCTGGAGATCTCACCGCTGAGGAGGAGCTGGACAAGGCCATGAAGGAGGCTGTGTCCGCTGCTTCTGAAGATGACATCTTCAGGGTGGGTGGTGCCATGGCGCACTCTCGACCCCTATAAAGTTCAGTTTGGAGCAAGAGGTTGGGCTGGGGTTTTGCGGGGAACGTCCAGGGGAAGGAGCTGCACCAGAGGAAAGGGCTACTTCCAGGCTCTTCCTGATGAGCTGTCTCCTCACCCCTTTGCCTTTTCCAAGCCTGACTCCATCCCAAGGCAGGGCTCCCTGGAAACAGCAGCTCTCAGTGTCACTGGCTCTCAGAGAAGCGGGAAGGAACCGCCTTCCTAAGGGAAATGTTTCCTAGGAGAAACTTCTGCATTAGAAGTTGCAGAGTGGTCACCCCTGGGGCACATCTAATCTGCAGGCTTGTTTTGTTTGTTAATATTTGAAAATCAAGACTTCTGGCATTCTTTGGAAAAGTCAGGAGACCTGGTAATATTAAGCTTGCATTCCCACAGGGCAGCAGAGGGCCGGAGCCTAGAGGCGGTGGCCCTTTGAGATGGAGCATAGCGTGTGTTCTCCAGGTCTCCAAGACCCCTCCAGAACTCCCCTTTCCCTCTCCTTTCCTGGAGACTGAAGCTGCCCAGCAGTTGCAATAGTGAAAATTAAAACGGCTGTACCAGAATAAGGGGCGTTTATCACTCATTTGTGTTGCCTGCCTCACCACGCTGGTGTTTGGTTACAAATCCTTCTATAGCAAGGGAGAAGCTGCCAGCCATAATTGTGCAGGACCCTGCTCACACCGCTCTCTCCCGGCCGCGGGCCCAGTTCCCAGGCTGTGGAACACACAGGGGGCAAGCTGAGCCCATCCTGCCCCTGCTCCGTCTCTTCCTCATCCTTATTCTTGTCACTGGGAGACATTCGTCACTGAGTGGCCTCAGGGACATGGCATGGTGGTGACACAACCCGACAAGACACCAGAAACCAAAGCCTCAGTCACCAAGGCCCAGGGATGCTCTGATGTCAAGGGTTGGAACAACCGTGCAAATAGCTACTTGCCCACTTCCCCAGGACAAGGAAAAGAATACTGGGGAAAAACATTGGCTCCTGGTTTTAAATCTCTCTGAGTCCCCGAGGGGAAAAAGACCATCATGCAGGAAATTCTTCATTTTCAAAACCGTTTGGCCAACCAGCTTTTAGCTCTGTGAGCACACTGGGTTTCCATTTTTTAAATCTGGTTAGAATCTTCTGGTCGCTCTCCCAGCCCCCGCCCTCACGGTGTGCTGGCTGCTCTTAGGGACCACCATCCTAGACGTGCCCTGGAAACTCACTCCCAGCCTTCAGGGGCTTCACTGGAAACCTCCAGGGCAGCTCGTACCAGCGGCAGCCCCTTGCCCAATCCCATCCCCACTGGTGGGTGGGTTCTCCCAGCTGCTGCAGAGGGGAGTCCAGAGCCTTGAGACTCCGGGTCCCTCCCTCTCTGGAGCAGCCAGGCATGAAGAAGGTCCTCAGGTGCTCCTGGCTCCCAGCAGGGCTGTGCCTACCCGAAAGAAGGCAGCCCGCCTTCCCAGGCCCTGCACTTCCCTGACCTGGCTGTGGAGGCTGCTCTCTGGGAGGAGTGGGTGCTAAGGGGCTTCTCCACCCACCCCTCCTTCTTGCCTACAGAGGGCCGGTGGCCTGTTCGGCAACCACGTCAGCTACTACCAAAGCGACGGCCGGAGCGCCTTCCCCCAGACCTTCACCACTCAGCGCCCGCTGCACATCAACAAGGCGGGCAGCAGCCAGGGCGACACTGAGTCGCCATCCCACGAGAAGCTGGTGGACTCCACCTTCACCCCGAGCAGCTACTCGTCCACCGGCTCCAACGCCAACATCAACAACGCCAACAACACCGCCCTGGGTCGCCTCCCTCGCCCCGCCGGCTACCCCAGCACGGTCAGCACTGTGGAGGGCCACGGGCCCCCCTTGTCCCCTGCCATCCGGGTGCAGGAGGTGGCGTGGAAGCTCAGCTCCAACAGGTAAGTGGGAGGCTGGCCACCCCAGGCGGCACACAGGGCCCACGTGCTGCAACCCTCAGGAGACAGTGGAGGAGACGGAGGCCTCGGCCAGCCACTTGTCCCTCAAGCTTCCAGGAGGTTGCTGCCCCAGACTCCAGCAAGAGCAGGAGGCACTATGCTGTCTCCCAAGTCCTGCCCTTGATCAGACCTGGCAGGCTCAGGGCAAGTCAGCAGTGGCCTGCGGCGCTGGTTCTCCCACAGGGCCCTCTCCTCTCCCACACTTCCTGAGTGGCAGAATGTGATCATCAGATGTTTGTGTTCCGGCTTCACAACAGAAACCATCCCGTCTGCCCTTCCCCGAGTCTCTGCCCAAACCTGGCCTTTCTCCCAGCCGAGATGGGAATGGTGTTTCCATTGCTTCCCTGGAGCCCCTTTGCCAGCCTCCCGGAGAGGGCATCCCCTGTGGGAGGCGCCATCTGTAGCACTGGCCCATTCTGCCCAGCACAGGATCATTCCTGGAGGTCTTGACTGTACCTCTTACTCCTGACTCACTCTTTTCTCCTTGTCCTCTCATCCCTGTGCTCTAGGATGCACTGCTGTGACATGCTGGATGGTGGGACCTTCCCTCCCGCCCTGGGCCCCCGCAGGGCTCCTCCCTGTCTGCATCAGCAGCTCCAGGGTTCCCTGGCGGGGCTGAGAGAGGACACACCCTGCATCGTGCCTGGCCACGCTTCACTGTGCTGCTCTTCCAGAGTAGGAGAGTGGCTCCCAGCAGGCTGCACAGCCCCCCAGCATGCCAGGTTCTTGACATGCTCGCCCTCCAGCTCAGAAAATAATAGAGAAGTAGCAGCTTCCCTCTAAACCCCTGGAAAAGTGTCCATCCAAGGAGCAGGCACACCTGCCGCTGGCCTGCCTGTCCCTGCAGAGGGCCCATTTCAAGAGGGCTGCATGCAAGCCCATGGGACTCAGGCATTTAATTGTGTCAGACGACAGGCCAGTTAAAAGGACCATCTCCCTGTCTGCTTTCCTTTCTGCAAGGTTGGCTGGTTTAGCCACCCAGAAGCAGCACTGGGGGCATCCTTCAATTCATGAGGCCTGCACTGCTGCCTTCTGTGTGCACAGGGCAGTGTGCTGGGCACTGGATTTTATGTGCCGGCCTGAAGGGCTGGCTTTGCATAGGAGAGGATCTAATCTAGGCATCTAGTCTTGGGGGCCTGCACCTGTTGTGGGGGCCTCATCCTTCTCTGCAACCTCACTCCCCTTCCACGGCCTTTGAGGACCCAAGTACTGGGTCCCCATACCCCCTTCTCCCCTCTGGCCTCATGAAGCTTCTGCTTAAGGAGGGCTCCACGTCCGTCTTTAGCATCTCAGGGTGAACTAATTCCCCACCCTCTAAGGGCATTTTCATGTGAAGCTTTGTTCTCTGTGACATAAGGGGAGAGGGATGTTTAGAGGAGCTGGGGGAGGAGACCCCAGGGGATTTCCTTGTCCCCACAGATATATCTCTCCACATAGCAAAATACATGCAAAGCACCCGGCACAGTGCCCAGCACACAGTCGGTGCTCATGAAATGTCGGTTCCCTCTGCCCACTGCAGATGGTACAAACAACACACAGGGCATCAAGCTTCAGCTTGGTGAAGAGGAGGAGCATAGCCCACGTCCCAGCTCCCTTGTCCCCGTGTCACAGCTCAAGGCTAACGGCAGCTCTAGTGCCAGCATTGCTTGTGCTGAGGATGGGCCAGCACGTCCTGTGCCCGGTGGCCCCCAAAAGTGCTGCTGCCTGCCTGCTGCTGCTCTGCGTCTCCAGCTCCTCCCTCCGTGCTTCACCAAAGCCCACTCCACCTCCCTCCCCTCCCAGTCCTCCTGGAGCTCCCACCTCTCATCTTTCCTTCCACTGCGGGGCGGGTGGCAGTCTGCAGTCCTCCTCCTCGAGAGAGAGAATTGCTTCTACCCTGCCTGGGATGCTCAGAGCCAGGGCACTGATTTAGCACTCGGCTCTGAGAGGATGGACCAGGATCTTTCTCTGATGCCCTCAGGGGTCTGAGGATAAAGTGGGCCCAGCATGCAAGGTCTATAGAAAGCAAGACAAAGGGAGGCACTGAGCTGAGCTCAGACAGGAAAAGGAAGAGGCCTTGGTCCAGAGCTAAAGATGACCTGACCCTGTCCCAGCAGGGAAAGGCACGTTCCGATGTGTGAGGATCTGGAGCTCAGGAGGGATTCAGGCTCAGCAGGGACTCAGGCTCACTGCCTTCTGCTCAGGAGAGCAAACCCCTCTAGGTGAGGCTTCCTCTCTGTGCCTTTACCCCAGGGTGCCAGTGTCAGAATCAAGGGCACCATCAAAATAAGAGGCCAAGGACTTCTCAGCTATGCCAAATGCCAAAGACCCAGGTGTCATAGCTGGAGGTGAGTGGGGGGCAGCCTCTAAGTTAGGCAGGGCATATGTCATTCCAATTTCATAGGGAAACTGAGGCATGAGGTGGACCAAGTGACTTGGACCAGAGGGTAAGTGGATTGGGGTCAGGACTCCTGGATCCACAGCAGACATCCTTCTCCCAAATGGGACCCTCACCCTAATCTGAACACTTCTATGGATCCATCAGCAATCACAGGAGAACAAAGCACCAGCAACTGTATGCCTGTTCACGTGTGTGTGCTTGTGTTTGTGCACGTGTGTACACCTGCATGTGTGTGCGTGTGTGATGCTTTACTTGCTGAAGGAAGTGGAGGAAGGTTGGCAGTTTCTGATGTTTTTCTTCATCTTGGATATTGTAGGTGCCACTCCCGGGAGAGCCAGGCAGCCATGGCGGGTCAGGAGGAGACGTCTCAGGATGAGACCTATGAAGTGAAGATGAACCATGACACGGAGGCCTGCAGTGAGCCCAGCCTGCTCTCCACAGAGATGTGAGCTCTGCTGCCCTCTGCTGAGGCTGACCCAAGTGTGGGAACAAATGTGGGGAGGCAGAGGCAGGTCCCTGAGATCCCTCCTCTGGGGCTGATTGCAGGAGGAGAGGAGATCACAGAGAAAACATCTGCACCGCCTCTTTCATCTCCTCAGTGAAATGGGAGCCCCCCAACACACAACACACACAAACACACACACACCACACACACACACAGACACACACAACACACACATACACGATGCCCTTTTTAGCTTGGGGTTTCCTCGCCAGGAAAATTTCTGAACATTGTTTTATAAACATTGTAGGCTGTAAGACACAGTCATAAATATATTTTCTGGTGAGACTCAGTATGCACATACATATATAGATAATTAAACAAGTGTTTCAAGACACTGCTTATAATGAAGCTGCCCAGAAGAGGGCACTGGTGGCAAAGCCAGGCCTGAGATTTTTGTCCTTGCTGCCATTCTTAGAGTATTTTTAGCTGCAGTTCTAGATCCTTTAGAAGGTGGTGACATCCATTTGGTCACTAATGACTAGCCCTTAAAAGCAGGTGCAGCACAGCACAATATCAGAAACTATCAGAATGCGTCAAACGTCACAAAGGTAAGCGCTGTGCTGGGAAACACTTGCTTAATTGCCAACAGATGTGGCTATCTGGGGGTCTCCTTGAGAAACATCTTTATGACTCTGAGTCACATCCACAGAAGTTTGAGACACAGAGTGACATCCACAGAAGTTTGAGACACAGTGTTTCCGAAGCTTTTCTGGCTCTTTTCACCCTCAAAGCCCTGTCTCATCTGTTACTGTATACATGACTCACAACAGGCCTCTGAGACAGAGAGGGCATATGTCATTTCAATTTTGTAGAAAGGGAAATTGAGGCATGGGGTTTTCCCCAGGGGGTAATGCCTGGGTCCCATGGGCTTGCGTGCAGCCACTTGAAAATGGGCCCTCTGGAGGGACAGGCAGGCCAGCGGCAGGTGTGCCTGCTCCTTGGATGGACACTTTTCCAGGGGTTTAGAGAGAAGCTCCCACTTCTCTATTATTTTCTGAGCTGGAGGGCAGGCATGTCAAGAACCTGGGATGCTGGGGGGCTGTGCCACCTGCTGGGAGCCACTGTCCCACTCTGGAACGGCAGCACAGTGAAGCGTGGCCAGGCACGATGCAGGGTGTGTCCTCTCTCAGCCCCGCCAGGGAACCCTGGAGCTGCCGATGCAGACAGGGAGGAGCCCCACGGGGGCCCAGGGCGGGAGGGAAGCCCTCACCGACCCCTCCCAGCATGTCAGTCCATTCAGTTCCTGAAAGGACTTCAGAGTGAGGAAGGACTAGCCTTGCAGGCTTTTGAAGACAGGAAAGGTGTGGCTGGAGGTGGTGGGAGGGGACACCAGGTGCCCCACCCTGAGGAGTGTGGGGAGAATGGCAGCCAGGCCAGCACAGCATGCGGCTTCCTGGGGTCCAGTGCTTTCTGCTCGGGAACTGGATGGGAAGAGTAGCAGAAGCACCTCCTTTTCCCCAGCATAGAAAGAAGAATCGAGTGAGTAAGGAAAAGCATGGAAAGAGTCCCAACCAGCGGCACTTGACAAATCACTCAACTGCCCTGTGCCTTCGTGTCCCCATCAGCAAAATGGGACGGTGGGGGTGACAGGCCTTCTACTTTTCTGACTCAGTGAAACACGGTCAATATAAAAAAGGGAAATACCTGAAGCTCCTTATGAGATAACTGTCTCTAAATTGATTCTTAGAGAATACAAACGAATGCCTGACCACCTACCCTAGAAATCAGGAAGAGCATATATTTTAAACTATTTCGGTTATTCTAGAGTGCTTGGTGCACCAGGCACTCTGCTAGGTTGTTAAGAACCCAGTCTCCATCCTCAAGGAAATTCCACAAACTAGGAAACTAAGAGGGTCTCAGGAGAGGAAGATAACACAGAGTTTCTCACTACCCCCAGAGTGGTACAACCCCCAGGGGTACAGGCGTTCAGAGAAAGTTGAGGGCAGGGTGACCTGAACTGGTACCACGCACAAGGTGAAATGGAAGCTGGATCTGCAAGAGCCAGGGTGATTTGCATAAGAAGAAAATACAATAGGGAGGCCTTAGCTAGCTGAGAGTAAGAGCTAGTCTTGAAGGTATAAATACTGCGGTCTGCACTCTACCAGCCTTCCTGCACATCTATAAATCATCCAAGTCTCTGTGCTGTACCATGAGCAGGCATGGAGTCACCCTCAGAGGTGTGGGGTGGCACCAGGGACCAGTGAGTCAGTGGTCTCATCTGGGAATGAGGTTGGAATGCAGCTGTGCTTCTTGAACTGCAGGCTGACCCAGCAGAGATTGTGAATCAAAATTTTAATAAAAATAGAACAGACTAAAGTGGACTGGGACTCACCAGGGTGCAACGCATGCACCGAGGGTAACCAAAGGCTATGAGGTTTCATTCCATCAGGTGTGTCTGTGCATGATGAGAAGCTGTCAAATCTACTTCTCATCGAGTTTCCATCAAAGGCCTGGAAGCCATAGACTAGATGCCCCATGAGGTCCCTCACAGCCCTGCTGTTCACCTACTGAGTGACCGTAGAGTGGTTGTAGGCAGCTGCTTATGTGCTCTTGCTGATGAGGGGGTGGCAGGGCGGGAGAAATCGGGGGACGGGCATAAGTTTGGGTGAAAGTTGAGGGTCACTGGGGAAAACAGCATCAGCTCATGCAAACACGGGAGCCAAGGCCATTCCCCAAAAGAACTTCATGGGCCTAGGATTCTTTCCGCTTTCTCAACACCTTTGACCCCAGAGTGCCTTCACTGCCCCAAGTCAGAACTGCAGGCTTATGAGACAGGCTGCGGGTGAGGAGCTGGCCATTCCCACTGAGCAGGCCTGGAAGACGTCAGGGGCAGGCCAGAACTTCTTGGGGTGGCAATTCCCCAAACCTGCATGTAAGCACAAAGTGTGCGTCCCTTCACTAAGGATCAGAGCAAAGTGCTTTCCGGGGGTGCAGCTGTCCCTGTGGGTGGCCACTTCTCAGCCTCCAGGAACAAGCCCCATGAGCTCTCTGTTCCAGGCTCTCCTACCAGGATGACGAAAATCGGCAACTGACGCTCCCAGAGGAGGACAAGAGGGACATCCGGCAATCTCCGAAGAGGGGTTTCCTCCGCTCTGCCTCACTAGGTAAATGCACCGCTCGCTCTCTGGATGTGGTCGGCGGTTACTCCCTAGAGAACACTGGTCAGGGATGATTGGGAAATCGTTGTGGCCTGCCTCAAATCAGCCCCACACAGTGGGGCATTTCCAAAGCAAGGAGACAACATTCCAAAGGCAGGGTGTGCAGGGATGAGCCCTGGACACCAGAATACGTCTCAGACGAGGGGAGGGGAAAGGAGGAGCGTCTCGGGCCATAGTTACTGCTCCTGGCACCCCACCAGGGTGTAAACTGTCACAGGCCAGTGCCCTGTTTTCCTGCCCTGATGGTGGCTCTCTGGCTGGCTTTGCAGGTCGAAGGGCCTCCTTCCACCTGGAATGTCTGAAGCGACAGAAGGACCGAGGGGGAGACATCTCTCAGAAGACAGTCCTGCCCTTGCATCTGGTTCATCATCAGGTAGCTCACACTTTTGGACAGGCCACTGTCACCTGCCAGCAGGCCAGACAGTCCCCAGGGTGACGGACAAATCCTGAAGACTTCAGTGGGTCTTGCCTGTCTCAGATGGCTGGCACGTCCTGCCCCTGCCCTAAGAGCCATCCCTGTAGGGCTTCACACTCCTGTGCAGGTGAGGGCCACGGCAAGGTCTGCAGCATCGCAGGTGGGGGCCTAGGAAGTGCTGGTGCACAGGAGCTCTTTGTGTGATCCTGAGGACCCACAGCTGCAGGTTCCACCTGAGCTTTCTTCTTAGGCTGCCACAGATGCCACTGACGCCTCTGACACTGGCCTATGCCTCAGGGCACTCAGGAAGATGTACTTGTACCTAGAGTTTGAATATACCTGGAAATTTTGCCACACAAAAATCCATCCAGTGACATAAAGAAGTGATTAAAGAACCCACCAGCAACATGGTCAAGAGTAGGGAATGACATCCGTGGGAAGCAGGTCCAGGGAGATTCCATAAATGAAATGTCTCTTGGCATGGCTGACTCCAGCTGAGACAGTGAAATCCAAGATGCCAGGACCAAACATGCCTTAGTATCTTTGAACTTCAGTGTTATCTAAGGCCAGTCTATTAACCCCAGGCAAACTGAGGTCTAAACCTGGGTTTCCCAACATTCTGACCTTATTAAAGTTATACTCTTTTATAGCATGGACCTATGTTTTAAATAGACCTATGCTTTGTACCCAAAGGCATTCAACTGCCAATCAAAAGTCATAATCAGCATGAGATGGCCAGTGTGGCCTGGCTGAGTTGATAGTACTTCAGCTCCAAAAAATAAACAGGTTTTCTTAGCCTGTGTGGTGTTGTCTTCCACTGGGCTTTCTGAAATAATGAATATGGCCTTACACTTTTCTCAGATTCCCAGGGACCCAGGAGCCCCAGGCTGAGGACCACCATGGGCAGGGGCAGGAGGTGGAAGGATGTGGGGACACTGTGTGTGCTATCTTAAAAGATTTCTAGAAGTCGATTTCACCTATCTGTTCTTGTCGTACTGGTAGGCACGAAACTCTCCTCTTCATCTCTTTCTCCTCCTGTACTCTGTGACCCTAGAGGTGGTCTTTCCCCACCACAGTGTCGCTCTCTCCCGGGAGCACATCCCATCAGAGCAGCTCACCCTGCAGAGCCTCTGCCCTGGCAGGTTGTCATGGCAACAGCCAGACAGGCCTGGTCCCTACCCTCAGGATGCTCAAGAATATTCAGGGACAGAGGGCGTACCGTGTGACTTTTTTTTTTTTTTTTTTGAGACAGAGTTTTGCTCTTGTTGCCCAGGCTGGAGTGCAATGGCACGATCTCGGCTCACCACAACCTCCACCTCCCGGGTTCAAGTGATTCTCCTGCCTCAGCCTCCCAAGTAGCTGGGATTACAGGCATGCACCACCATGCCTGGCTAATTTTGCATTTGTAGTAGAGACTGGGTTACTCCGTGTTGGTCAGGCTGGTCTTGAACTCCCGACCTCAGGTGATCTGCCCGCCTTGGCCTCCCAAAGTCCTGGGATTACAGGCATGAGCCACTGCTCCCAGCCCTGAATCTTTTAATCACAATACAGCACCGGATTTAACAATGGCTCAAAGACAACCTGAGCTAGAGACTGGCAGGGCATTATGAATGGCCCCATTAACTGTGAGAACTAAAACCACAAATACTGGTTTTCCCAACTCTTTGTGAGGTGCACAGCGCTTCTTCACAGACCTCATTGCGCTTGAGCCTCACACCAGCCCCACAGGGCAGATGGATAGACAGCATTCGTTTTCTGGCTTTACAGACATGCAGGCCTCACCCTGCTCTCCATTCTATTGAGGACAAAACCAAGAGCGAGAGAATGCACAGCTGACAGGTGACCAGGCCAGGGCTAAAAGCAGGTTACCACGACTTCACCCAATCCCAGCTTTCAGAAGTTACAGGAGAAAGAGATCACTTCAGACCCAGATGATCCTAAGATGTATTTTGAGATAGTTGAAAGTCATGCCAGGTTGAGATAGGACCGACAGGGGAAAATAATGGCATGGGAATACCAGGCAGGTGGAGCTAGCTGGACACAGCAGCTGCAAAGCAGTGCTTGCTCAGAAGCAGGGGCCTGCCTTGTTTGGGGTCGGCCACTCCTATTAACTCACACTCCTTGTGTGTCCGCAGGCATTGGCAGTGGCAGGCCTGAGCCCCCTCCTCCAGAGAAGCCATTCCCCTGCCTCATTCCCTAGGCCTTTTGCCACCCCACCAGCCACACCTGGCAGCCGAGGCTGGCCCCCACAGCCCGTCCCCACCCTGCGGCTTGAGGGGGTCGAGTCCAGTGAGAAACTCAACAGCAGCTTCCCATCCATCCACTGCGGCTCCTGGGCTGAGACCACCCCCGGTGGCGGGGGCAGCAGCGCCGCCCGGAGAGTCCGGCCCGTCTCCCTCATGGTGCCCAGCCAGGCTGGGGCCCCAGGGAGGCAGTTCCACGGCAGTGCCAGCAGCCTGGTGGAAGCGGTAGGTGACTCGCAGATGGGCAGGGGGGAGAGGCCACGGGCAACAAGGGGACTTGGCATGCGGGGCTGAGAAGGGAGCACCTGGCTCTTGCCAAATTCATTGCAGTCAATATCTGAGCCCGAAAGACCCTCCCTCTCAGGGCTGCAGGAGGGCTCGTGTGCGGAAAGCCATGACTGCACAAGATGCTATGGGCTCTCTTGAGGCTGGGCCCACTGCAGAGGGCGGCAGAAACCACTGAGCAACTTATCCCTTATACTGCAGCTGCTCGACATGCAAATGTGAGCCTGGCTGCCTTTATACACAGACAGGCAAGATCCAAGGTGCTCAGGCCTGACTGCCCGTGAGCATCACCTGGGGAGCTTTGGAAACCCGGGACAGATTAACTGATGATTGTTAAAGCTCTTCGATGATTTTAACGTGTAGCAAGGTTGAGAGCCACTAGCCTAGAACAAGCGAGCTTTCAGTCCCACTGTGCTCTGCCTGGTCAGAGCATCTAGTGCAATCCCGGCACCACATTATTAGGGACCTTTGACACACTGGAACAAACCCAACAGAGGATGACCAGGATGGCAAGGTTCCTAGAAACCATTTCCTAGGAGAACCGTTTCAGGGAATTCGGGAAGAAAACCTGGAGAGGAGGTGACTTTGGAGGGTGCGATACACCTCTCACACCTGCAACGGGTGGGATGGGGAAAGGGTGGCAGGCTCAGCCCACCAGCGGACAGATTTCAGCTCACATGGGGAAGACCTTCCCAAATGAGCTCTTCCAAGATGAGAGGGGCTTGCCTGAAAGGTAGTGAGCCCCCCATCATCAGACATAGCCAAGCAGAGACTGTGCTCATCCGGGCGTCAGGCTGTGGTGCAGGAGGTGGGGCGTTAAACCAGGTGGCTTCCAAGGTTTACCTCTCAAAGTCTGGTATTCCTGTGGCCTCGATCATCCTGCATTCATTTCACAGACCTTCCCTGAGCGCCTACCATGTGCAGGCCCTGTTCTAGGTACAGGGACACAGCTGAGAAACAGAGCTTCTGCTCTCATGAGCTCACATCATGGTGAGGAGAGACAGATAATAAACACATACATATATAACACATCAGGAAGGTCAGGAGTGCCAAAGAAAAACTAAGCAGGGCAAGGAGAGAATGAGTGGCGTGGGCAAGGAGCAAGACAAACAGATGCCTGAAAGGAGCGAGTGCCAGGCTGCACTCAGCTTCCCCCGACCCGCTGGCTCAGGAGCCGATTTTCCCATAGCCAGGCACTAAGCAGCCGGTAGGGAGGACAGAGAAGCTTAAGGGTCACCTGCTGGCCCTTCCCAGCAGAAGCAAGGCAGGGGCATGCGCCGTGTTTGCACAGATACCTCACCCCTGGAAAGGCAGCAGCAGGCAATGGGCAGTGGGCCTGTCTCAGCAGTTTCACCAGGGAGAATGGTTTCTCTGAAAGAATAGTATAAAGGTTCAGTGGGTGTCAGAAAGGAGAGAGGCAGGCTGGGATCTGCTGATACAGCATCAGGGCAACCCCCCGGCCCCTCTGAGAGCCAAACCTTCTCTGGTTTTTGTTTTGGTTGTTTTTTGAGACAGGGTCTCGCTCTGTCACCCAGGCTGGAGTGTAGTGGTACAATCACAGCTCAGTGCAGCCTGGCGCTGCTGGGGTCAAATGATCCTCCCACCTCAGTCTCTGGCCTTGCTAAGATCACAGGTGTGCATCACCACACCCAGCTAATTATTCTTAAATTTTTTGTAGAGACGAAGTTTCCCTGTGTTGCCTGGGCCTGGTCTCGAACTCCTGGGCTCAAGCAGTCCTTCTGCCTGGGCTTCCCAAAGTGCTGGGTGACAGGTGTGAGCCACCGTGCTGGGCCATAAGCAAGTCTTCATATATTTGATGACAGTGTTTGACCACCCCAGCCAAAACTTCTCTGGCCTGCACATCCCTAATTCTGGCAGATGCTCCATCTCCACTTGTTCCCCATGGGTGCCCCTCCCAACACACACACGTACACGTGCACACACGCACACTTCCCCAAGTGACCTACCAGATACCCCCTCGCTCTAGCCCTCAAGGGAAGAGCTGGGCTCCAGGAGTAATGTTCCTTTGGTTCTTCATGGCTCCCACCCCGCTCCTTCAGGTCTTGATTTCAGAAGGACTGGGGCAGTTTGCTCAAGATCCCAAGTTCATCGAGGTCACCACCCAGGAGCTGGCCGACGCCTGCGACATGACCATAGAGGAGATGGAGAGCGCGGCCGACAACATCCTCAGCGGGGGCGCCCCACAGAGCCCCAATGGCGCCCTCTTACCCTTTGTGAACTGCAGGGACGCGGGGCAGGACCGAGCCGGGGGCGAAGAGGACGCGGGCTGTGTGCGCGCGCGGGGTCGACCGAGTGAGGAGGAGCTCCAGGACAGCAGGGTCTACGTCAGCAGCCTGTAGTGGGCGCTGCCAGATGCGGGCTTTTTTTTATTTGTTTCAATGTTCCTAATGGGTTCGTTTCAGAAGTGCCTCACTGTTCTCGTGACCTGGAGTTAACCGGAACAGCGTCTTCATTCATTTCTGTTGGGACCAGACGCGGAGCCTGGGTGCGCGAGCCGCCCTCCGGGAGGAAGGCGCCCGGCTGCGTCTGCAGAGGCGGGGAGAGGAGGCGGCGAGGGTCCCGGGGCGCGAGGAAGGCGCCTGCCCTCTCCCAGCTCGCAGGCCCCGGGCCCGGCCGCGCCTCCGCGGGGAGAGCACCCCGGCTTCCCGCGCGCCCTCACCAAAAGGACCCTACAGCAAACGGGTGTCTTTCGACTCTGCTTGTAGAAACCATTTGCACATATTCTGTACGAGCCTCGCTGTCTCCCTAGAGCCAGGGCCCTGCGGATTTGGAGAAGGGAGCGGGGCAGGACTTCCAGGAGGACCCCAACCCGGCCCGGAGAGGGAGGAGGAGGCCTCCAGGGGCGCGGAGCTCTGGGGATGGGCGTCGGGCCGGCAGTGGTGCGGCTCACTCCGTCCCTGCCCACCTGCGACGGGATCCCCCGACCGGCACGGGCCACGCCGAGCTCCCGGCCAGCCGCCGGCCCGCAGGCAGCGCGAGGGAGGAGCTGCGCCGCCGGCTCCGCCCAACCAGGTGGTGCTGAGCTTCCGCTGAGCGCTCTTTTGTTTTGTGGTTTGACACTTTTCTTGACAGCATGTTGCAGTTTCTTTTCGGTTTTGGTTTTTTTTAAATGTTTTATTTTGCTTTCCCAGCGGGAGGGGAGGAAGAAGAGTGTTTACAAAGTCCTGTAGCCCCCTCACCTTTCTGTTTTCACTTTTGCCAATGTACATCGGGTTTGGTTTTCTTGTATTATTTAAACGGTTGTGGTTTCCTTTTTCCACGGAGGTTCAATAGAAGCCGCTGCAGGAGAGTTTTACCAACCATTGTGTATGCCCAATAATTTGTTATCATTTCCTTAGGTAGTAACCTATTTTTGTTCTGGTTTGGTTCGGTTATCTAATGGAAAGGTAACTGGCAATGCACTTGATGTGGTCTTGCACATGTGGGTGATAGAGTTGGGTTCCTTTTTATGCTGGGTGTACAGGTGGGTTTGGGAGAGAGGAGCATGCGCGAGAGAGTCTCCGAGTGTGTGCGACGCGTGTGTGTGTGGTGGGTTGTCTGTGTGCATATGTCCTGCCCGTGTATATGCACCCACACCATGTGCCCGTGCACACCAGTGACTACGCAGTCCCCCCTTTCTGGTTTAGCTGTGGGAAGATCTGAATCTGGGGCCGTTTGAAAGCAAAAACAAACCACTGTCTCTGCTTCTGAAACGGGAATCAGTAACTCTTTGCATTTTCTGTCCCACAAGATATGCAAAAACAATGCAATAATATTCATTTAAAAATACAATTGTGAGTTGTGTTGGCATTAAAACTGTATTTTAAAAAAAGACAGAAATTTAAGGGAAAAACACAAGAAGGCATTTTGCTTCAATATATTCCGTGTAATGTTTTATTGCATTGATAATGTTTCTGTTGAAGAAACCGTTATACTTGAATTCAGGTCAGTTTCAGTATTTTTCAAATATTTTTTTAAAACTGAATTGCAATTGTGCCAAGCGAATATAATGAATTGAATTAAGTTGGTTTTCGGATTCACTTCTTGTATATTTTGCTGCATGTAAAGTAAATCATTTTGTATTTGGAGTGTGACAAGCTTTACCTTTGAACTCAAGTGCTTTTCTATATGTGGTTGGGGGAAAGGGAACAAGTTTTCTTTAGTTTGCACAATGAGCAAAGGTATCACCAGTGTAGTCATTATTCTGCTCTCCACAAACAGGTTTGGACATTACTGTTTTGCATATCTTGTGTTTGCTTACATTTCCCTCAATTTTTCCAAAATCGTTTGCTGGGTATGTTTGTACCGCCTCTTGCTGTGAGAGACCAGGACCTATTTTATTCCAGTCTTCACTCTGTCCACTCTGCTCTGGTCATCTGATTTGGTACTTCTCCAAGAACAGCCCTTCACTGTGAGGTGCAGGGAGGCGTTCTGATGAGCCCTCAGTCACTGGGCCGTCATCCGCATCCCCCATGGAAGAGGTAGCTGGCTTTCCCTTCCCTTCCACCACACGGAATTTTCTCTTTGGCTTCCTTAGGAAAGTGTACACTAACCGGGAGGATAAAATTAAAGTCAGGCTGCTTGGAGGGAGGGGCATCCTCACTTCCGGATTCTTGTTGCTCTACCCAACAAGGACAGCAGGGGCTCGAGAAAGGAACTGGTGAAACCCTGATCCATCTGAAAGTCAACTCTGCGTGCTCCTTTCTCCATCCCTTCCTCACTCTGGAGCAGCCTTTCCTTCAGGCTTGCCCTAATGTTTGGGCTGCCGGGGAGGGGGCCAGGACAAGGGAAGAGGCATCCGGAGCTCACAGTGGGGGTGGGAACAGATTTTTGTGGGGGCATCTCTAATGCTCACTTATATCTCCCTAGAACATCACTCTTTTGGTGCTGTGTCCTTCAAATGTATGTCAACAGTGGTGGCTGAAAAGGGACTGCTTTGGGGAAAACAGGACCCAACCATTCACCCAGAATTGACCCATTAAATCTCTTCCAGTCCTAGTGTTCCCTGAGCCCCTCTTGGCACATATATAAGTAAGCTAGAAATTACAATAAGGGACAGTCCATTCCTCTATGACAGCTTGCTGGACTGATTCATGACAAAGTGGAGAAATGTACTCAATACTCCCCGGTTAACACAGTCTAGAAACAGAGTTTCTTTATGGATATCCACACCCAAGTCATCCAAACTTTCTTGATTCCTTTTCACTGCCATCAAGGTCCTCTAGAAATTGAGTTTAGGTATCATCCTTTGAAAAGTTCCCAAGATTTCTACCAGGAGGTACACACAGGCGTTCCCTGTCTAGGGCAGGAGGACTATCCTAGCTTGACCTTCTGATCCACTAGAATAAGACTGGCGTATGATGCCTGTCATCAGAACAGACTGGCACAAGTAGTGACATCAATGAACCACAGCACAATCTTCCAAGTGATGTCTACTCTCCACCTAAAATGGAATTTTCCCCATGACCTTGTAAAACATAATTGTCACATCTTCCATACCCCTCCTGACAGCCCCCAAGTGTCAGGAGAAAACAGTCAGGGGCTAAGGGCCCAAGGGACTTGAAGAAACAACAGTTTAAGGTCTGCAGTTTGGTCAACTTAATTCTTGTCCTCCGACCAGCCCTGCCTCTTTCATTTCCAGACCTTGGAGAATTTTTCCCAGCTTTGATTCAGAAGGTACTAGTTATAACCCCTTTCCTTCTTCTTAATCCAATAGGCCTCACTCTCACTGGGAAATCCACTCAAAGGAACAAGGCAATGTCTCTCATTCTATTTCCCAGTTCCAAATTCCAGGTGCTTGTCTGGAGTGAAGCTACCCGTTACTTTCTCCCAGCTTTTCTCCACCCAGCATGTCTCCTGCCCATGCAGCTGAAGACAGTGGGGCAACCTCAGGAGAAGCAGACCTTTCCATGCCCAAGTTCATCTCCTGAGCAACAGTGACACCTAGAAAATGAGGACTTTGGAAGTCACCCAAAAGATGGTGGCTACTTTATGGAGTCCTGAAGATACACAGCCACCACTCCTAAAGGCAAAGAAAGAAAACACGAATGTAGGTCAGGGATAGAGTGGAACCCTGGTCATCGGGGTTTTTAGCCTCATCGTGGGAAAGGTGGTAAAGGAGGATGATGGCATCTCCATCCCTAGAGGCCAAGAATTGAAATATCATTGTCAAGGATTAGAAACAATTCAGCAAAGAGGCCACAAAAAGGGCCTGCTGACTCCCAGAAGACCTCTTTAAACCCCAGGGGAGGCAAATACTTGCTGATGGAGTCTGGGCCGTTTCCATATTTTAAAGAAGACCTGCCTCTGGGGCAAATGTCAGCACAGAGAGGACTGGGAGGAGAATGGAGGCAAGAAAAGGGCATATTTTGACTCCCTCTGTGCCTCTTCCCAGTTCATGGAAGGATGTGTTCAGCTTACCCACCCACAGTGACCAGTGTGGTGGAGCCGCTGACATCTCAAGGATCTATTTGGGAAGGTGAGAAGAGTACTCATTCCATCTGGGGGTGTTGTTCCAGCCACATCAGCCTACCTGGTGGGATGTGGGGGTGTCTGCCACCCTGTCCCCCCTCTGCTGATGTCCCTCCCCTCAGGCTGTCCAGGTGCCACCTGACACAGGCTGCTGTGCAAAGACAGGCGGGGAAGCCCAAACCTCACTCCCAGGGAGGCCCTCAGCCGCCAGAGTCCAGGTTCTCCAGAGGCTACGATTTGAGGAGGTTGAGGGGGAAGACAGGAGGGAAAGAAAAGTCCTACAACTGTCAGGAATGGGGCACCTTTCCCTGTCCCTAAGCAAAGCTCCCTCTTCCCACTGCCCTCCCCAGCCCCAGCTCCCTGTCCTCCCCAACACCTAGTGAGAAAGACGGTGCGTGGAAGGGAGTCCCATGGGCAGATGCTTACACGACCTCTTTGTGAAGCCTCTTCTGGGTTTAACTTCATTCATCAATTTATTCTTATGTCAAAGCAATGAAACTTTTCTTTCTGGAGCCAGATACCAATACAACAGGTGAACGGGTTTCTGCCACATCTCTACATTGACGGGGGATGCTTGAACAACCCCCCTCACTACACAGACACACACCGTTAAGGCACAAGGGCTGGGGTTGAGCTCTAGATGAGGGACTTTCCTGCTCCTGCAAGGGTGAGCACTGTATACACAGACAAGGAGGGTGCAGTAGAGTGACTCCCTTGGATGGAAGTAGTACCATCAGAACCTACTATTATTATGACATAAATTCTATTTACATACATTGAGAGAATACTACAATCAACACTTTTTCCTGGGATGACTTTAAGAGGTTTGAGCCACAGCACCTGAAGTGGCAAAGATCCATGGTCTTTGTAGGGTATTAGAGAACTCTTCCAGTCACCTCTGAAAGCACTCTAGATCTTGCAGCTGAGTGGATGAAGTGTAACAAATCTGTTGCACGCTGAGAGGAGTCAGAATTAGCATTTTTCATGAAAGTTCCCCACGTCTCTACTAAGAATGAGGAAGAAAAGACTAAGACTAGGTAATTACACAGAGGCTTGAAATGTTACATCACCAGAGCCAAGTCCTCTCCCTTCAGATCAGTTACTGGCTGCTACACAGGGACACCCCCACCTTTTCAGGGCATCCCATGCACTCCACTTCTCAGGATCTAAGGAATTTGACTTTGTAGGGATCCCAGAAAGGGCACTGTGCCACTTCCCCTGGTGTGAATCAGACATACATTGTACATTCATTTCTAAAATTCACTCATGCACCTCAAACCAAGGTCATTATCCAAAAAAAAAAAAAAAAAGCTCTGGGTGGAAGAGTTTGTAAGTTTTAAGAGAGGGTCATTTCTATGTGAGGAAATGCAGAAATGGACAGAATGATTCTTATTCACTGTTTGGGTCTGGAGAATTCCCATTGTGGAAATCTTAGAGATCTCAAGTTTATTACCAAGGGAATAAGGAAAAAAAGGTGAGCAGGCACCAGGCCAAGCAGTGGCTCCCTTGCCAAGGAACCTGAGGCTGCAGGTTTCAGGGACCCCCTTGAAGAAACCTCTCCTGGCCATTGGCCAGGAGAAAAGAGAAGTCTCTCCTGTAGAGTCACAAGAGAAGCAAAAGAGGGTGGGTCACTGGGTCCTGGACATAGCCCCCAACCCCAAGACTTCCCAATATGGAGAAACTACACCAATGTTTAAAAGGGGAAAAGGAAAGAACTTGTACATCAAGGGAAGATGATTTGTAAACACACAGTCCTGTGCAGAAAGATCCCCTTCAGGAGGTGTCTCCAGCATCCCAAAGCTGTGCGCACCTTCTCTTTTCCTGCCTCAGGCCACCTATGCATCCAGCTGCAGCCCATACCCACACCTGAAATCCATCTCTTGAATCCCAGCCAGGTTATATACCACCCCATTGCCATGTCCTGTCCTGGCCAGAATGCATGCTGTTCCCCCAAGCCTCGTGGGAGTGAGGCCATGGGAAACAGAGATGAGCATGTCTGGACAAGTCTGTGATGGTAGTGGATGAGAATAACCCATGGCAAAACACGCACATTCATTAAGAAATAGGGCGACAGATTCCCCGTTGGTGAAGCACTGAAAGGTCTATTACTCTCATAATATTGCTGTTTTATTTTAATCCACCAGAGCTACCATGCAAAACTTTCCTCCTGTGAAACGCTCCAGATAAAGCTCCTCTAATCTCCCCTTCCCTCATGTCCTCCAGCTCAAACCCACCTTCATCCCCCAAACCAATCTGTATCATGCCTGTTATCAGAGAGGCACAGAAAGATGGGCAGTGCCTCCGTTGTCACCATTCCCCACACCCCTACACACCCCCACACCCTCCCCTCCAGGCTCCACGACTTCACAGTCTTACTGTTGTAAATATCATTGTACAGTTTGTAATCCTCAAATAATCCCATTGTCAGAGGCCTCGCCTGATGGGCCTTCTCACCCTCGAGAAAGGCCAGGGAATCTAGAAGGGGCAACCCTTCAAGGAGAGCTTCAGGGTCATCTCTGTGTGAGACACTATTGTATATTCCTGTAAGATTGCATTTTTATCTAAGGAATGATGTTATTTAAAAAACAAACAAAAAACACAAAAAATAAGAATTGCAAATAAATTTCTTAACAATGTCTACATTGACTTCATTGTATCTTCCCTCTTCCTTATTTCTTCCTTTCTCCTGTTTCCTAGAGGTCACAAATACAAACTTCACTCAGTTATCTCAACTGTCTGGGATCCCCAAAAGGAAGAAGACTGGAGAGAACACAGGAAATATGAATCCAATGATAATACCTAAGTCCATTCAGCAGTTAACCCATCCCCTATTTCTTCCTTCTCATGAAAGAGTTGACAGAAAAATGGCCAAAAGTTAAAAAGGAGACAAAATCAGAGGAATTAAATGGCTAATTCACATGGATTAGACAGGAAAAGCAGTCTCTGAAATTGGTTTTGAAAGGACAGAAGGGAAGAGGGATGGAATGTAGGAGAGAAGAAAGGAGGGGGAGATATGATAATATATAAAGTACTATGAGGACTATACAAATGTAAGATTGCTTTTCTTTTTTTTTGTTATTATAACTTAATCTGATTTCGATAAACCTTTCAGAATAACCCCTTAAGTAAAAATAATTTGTCCCAGAGGATTCTGGGAAGATGGCAGAGTAAGGAGCACCAAGAATCCTCCCCGATAGACAACAAATACACTGGCAGAATCTGTTTTGTTTAACTATTAATATTTTGAAACTCTGGAGTCTAATGAAGGTTTGCAACTTTCAGGGGGAGGCTTGGACAGTAAATCAAGGTTGATTTTGGTCAATTTCAGCTCTTAGTACAGTAGCAGCTAACCCACTCTCCTCCCCTAGCCCACTTTCTACTCCTGGAAGGGTGAGCACTGCATAGACAGGCA